>NC_000007.14:70082536-70385566 GCF_000001405.40 Homo sapiens
CGTGTCTGAAGTTCAAGAACAGTATATGGTTGGTCTGAAGACTTTAATCCTAGTTGGAAACTTTGAATGAGAAACCTGGCCTTTTAGTCTTGTATTTCTTGAACTTTCTGTTAACAGAATATCTCCTCGCCTTTTATGTAGCCCTTAACTAGCTGCAGACTGACTTGGTCTTCTCTAGTAAAGCATTTTCTATGTAAGGTCACCAGTAAATTTCTTTTTGTCAACAGAGTACCTTCTTGCCTCCTATTCAGCCGTTAACTGTTTTGTACTGACTTGGTCTTCTCTACTAAAGCATTTTGTATATAAGGTCACCAGTAAATTTCTAAGTCATAAAATTAAGTGATTTTTCTTATTTCCCATCTATCCAGTCAACAGTCATTTTATTCAGTACCTACTGTGTGACTTGGTGCTAGGGATTCATTAGTAAACAAAGCAGGAATATTCTTTTACAATGTGGAGCTTTCAATTTTCTGACCCTGTTGACCTTCCTTCTTCAAATTTCATAAACTCGCTTACTTCTGGTTAGTGAAATCAATGATGATTATTTTAATAATGATTCCTCCCCTCATGATTGTGCTCAGGGCCCTCTCTTTCCCTGATGATTGTTTTTCTTGATACTTTGTGGATGATTTTATATGGCTAAGACTTCCAGGTTGTCATCTGCCCATACACAGAGGAAGTCCTGAGGGAACCCACGAGTTTCCTCTCACTGCTTCCGTGCTGTGTAGGCACCTTCTCCTGTTAGAAAACCATCAATAGGAGCTTCCATGATCATGGTGGAGGCGGCAAATAGTGTGTATTTTGCAGGGATAAGGCAGCGAGGACAAGTTGCCTCTATCTACTTTAGCCAGAAGATTAGTACTAATTTCTAAAACTTTCAAATTTGTCTTTAAAAAATTGCACCCATATAGCATATACATTTAGTTGTATGCACACACACACTAAAATAAACTTCTTTGTATACAGTGATTTGGTATAATCTTAGGACGATTGTATTTTCCTTTTGTTTGTAACAACTTTATTGAGATATAATTGGCATATAATGAACTGATCATATTTAAACTATACAACTTGATAAGTTTTGACATGCATACACCTATAGAACCAACACAATCAAGGTAATGAACAGGCTAGGTGTGATGGCTTACACCTGTAATCCCAGCATTTTGGAAGGCTGAGGAAGCAGAATCACTTGAGCCCAGAAGTTCAAGATGAGCCTGGGCAACACTGGAAAACTCTCTCACTACAAAAAAATTAAAAATTAGCTGGGTATGTTGGTTCGTATCTGTAGTCCCAGCTACTCAGGAGGCTGAGGTGGGAGGATTGCTTGAGCCCAAGAGGTCAAGACTGCAGTAAGCCTTGATCATGACACTGTATTTTAGCTTGGGTGATAGAGCGAGATTCCATCTCAAAGAAAAAAAAATGAATATATCCATCACCCCCAAAAGTTTCCTCCTTTCTCTTTGTAATTCCTTTCTCCCCCACCTCCCTTCCATCTCCACCCCAGCTTATTCCCTGGCAAAAAAACAAAACAAACAAACAAAAAAAACAAAAAACAAAAACAAATTAACTGTTTTTTGTCACTATAAAGTTGTATACATTTTTCTAGAATTGCATATAAATGGCATTACATAGCACATACTGTTTGTCCTTTTTTTTGGAGGAGGGGGGGTTCTGGCTTCTTTCACTCATATTATGCTTATCCACATTGTGCTGTATATAATGTTTCACAATATTACTCAATTTATGGATATACCATAGTGTGTGTTTATACATTGGACTGTTTTCAGTTTTTGTTATTATGTATAATGCAGCTATGAACATTTATGTAAGAGTACAATGTACATTCTCTTGGACAAATAAGAGTGGAATGGCTGGATAATGTACTAGGTATATGCTAAATGTTCTAAGAAACTGCCAAACAATAATCAAAGTGGTTGTACCATTTTATATGCTCACCAGCAGTGTGTAAGAGTCCCATTGTTTCCATATCCTTGCCAATACTTGTTATGGGCAGTCTTTTCCATTTTGCCATCCTAATAGGTATATAGTGCTATCTCATTGTGGTCTTGAATTGCATTTCCCTAATGAATAATCATGTTGAGCACCTTTTCATGTGTGATTTTTCATCTGTATATCTTTTTTGGTGAATTCTGTTTATATCTTTTGCCAATTTTTAAAAATTACATTTTTTTCTTGAGTGTCGAGTTCTTTATTCTGTATACAAGACCTTTATCGGATATATGGTATACAAATATTTGCTTCCAGTGTGTTGTTTGTCTTTTTATTCTCTTAACAGCGTCTTACAAGATAAGAGGTTTCAAGGTTGTTTTTTAATTTTTATTTAATTTTTAGAGATAGGATCTTGCTCTGTCACCCAGGCTGGAGTGCAGTGGCATGGTTATAGCTCACCGTAACCTTGAACTCCTGGGCTTCAGCCATCATCCCACCTTGGCCTCCTGACTACCTAGGATTACAGGCACGAACTACCCTACCCAGCTAATTTTTTAAAAACTTTTTTGTAGAGATAGGGTTTCACCGTGTTGCCGTGGCTGTTCTCGAACTTCTGAGCTCAATCAATCCTCCTGCCTCAGTCTCCCAAAGCAAAGGTTTCAAATTGTGGTGAATATAATCTATCAACTTCTTTTTATGGGTCATCCTTTTGGTGTCATATCTAAGAAATTATTTACATACCAAGGATACAGGGTTTTCCCTTATGCCTTGCTCTGGAAGGGTTACAGTTTTAACTTTTACATTTATGTCTGTGATCCATTTTGAGTTAATTTTTGTATATGAAATGAGACATATAGTGAATTCATTTATTTTTGCATACTTTTTTTTTTTTTTGAGATGGAGTCTCGCTCTGTTGCGCAGGCTGGAGTGCAGTGGCACGATCTTGGCTCACTGCAACCTCCGCCTCTGTGTTCAAGCAATTATCCCTGCCTCAGCCTCCTGAGTAGCTGGAATTACAGGTGCCCGCCACCACACCCAGCTAATTTTTGTATTTTTTAGTAGAGACAGGGTTTCACCATGTTGGCCAGGCTGATCTTGAACTCCTGACCTCAGGTGATCCACCTGCCTCGCCCTCCCAAAGAGCTGGGATTACAGGCATGAGCCAACATGCCTAGCCTATTTTTACATACTTCTATACAGTTGTTCCAGCATCATTTCTTAAAATGACTGTCCTTTCTTCAGTGAATTACCTTTGCATCCTTGTCAAAAATCAGTTGTTTATTTACATGTAGGCCTAATTTTCTTCCTTTTTACTAATCAATTTGTCTGTCTTGAGGTTGCCAACCCAAGGCCCATGGGCCAAGAAAAGCTCACAGCCTGTCTTTGTATCATCTGTTAGATAAGAATGCTTTTTTCTATTTCTTAAGGGTTGTATAAAAAAAAAAATTAAAGGAAATGTGACAGAAAACATGTGTACTGCAAAGCCTAAAATATTTACTGTCTGAATCTTCTCAGAAAAAGAAAATTTCTAAACTTGACCTATCTTGACACCAATACCACGTCTTGATTATTGTAGTTTTATAATCTATTAAAATCAGGTAATGTTAGTCTTCCAACTTACTTTTTCCTTTTCAAAGTTGTTTTGGCTATTCTTGGCCCTTTGCATTTGTGTATGAATTTTAGAATCACTTTGTAAATGTAAATTTCTTCAAAAAGACCTGCTGGGATTTTTATTCATATTGTATTGAATCTATAGACCAATTTCAAAAAATTGATATCTTAGCAGTATTGAGTCTTTTAACTCATAAACAAGGTGTGTTTCTTTATTTCTTTAGATTTTCTTTAACTTCTCTCAGAAAAGTTCTGCAGTGGCCGGGCACAATGGCTCACGCCTGTAATCCTAGCACTTTGGGAGGCTGAGGCAGGTGGATCACCTGAGGTCAGGAGTTCAAGACCAGCCTGGCCAACATGCTGAAACCCAGCCTCTACTAAAATACAAAAATTAGCTGGCTATAATGGCGGGTGCCTGTAATCCCAGCTACTTGGGAGGCTGAGACGGGAGAATTGCTTGAACCTGGGAAACGATGGTTGCAGTGAGCTGAGATCGCGCCACTGGACTCCAGCCTGGGCAGCTGAGTGAGACTCCATCTCAAAAAAAAAAAAAAAAAAAAGTTTTGTAGTTTTCAGGTTACAAATATTTCACAACCTTTGTCAGATTTATCATTATGTATTTTTGAAGCTGTTGTAAATGGCATTGTTTTATAAATTTTAATTTCTAATTATTCCTTGCTGCAATGTAAATGTACAGTTAACTTTTGTATATTTATCATATATTCTGTAATATTGGTAAACTCACTTATTAGTGTTAATGGCTCTTTTTAAAATTTATTTGTATTGTATATATAGTTGATAATGTCAAAGAAGAGTAAATATAATTTTCCTTTTTTTTTTTTAATCTGGATGCTTTCATTTCTTTTCTTATATTATTGCACTGGCTGCAATCTCTAGTATAATGTTGAATGGAAGTGGTGAGAGTGTACATGCGTTTTCATTTTAACTCATATTATGGGGAAGCATTTGGTGATCTTCCATTATTTATGATGTTAGCTGTAGGTTTTCTGCACATACCTTTATCAGTTTAAAGAAGTCCCTTTCTATTTCACATTTGCTGAAAGTTTTAATCAGGAATGGATGTTGGTTTTGTATCAAATGCTATTTATTAATCCATTGAAATACTCATTTTTTTATTTTTTAGTTTAATATGGCAAATTTAACTGATTTTCAAATTTTTTTTATAAAAACATGATATATTTTTATAAAAGTATATTAAAAATTATTCGTATATATATAGTTGAACTTAATTAGCCTGTCATTTTCTTTTTCTTTTTTTTTTTTTTGAGACAGAGTCTCACTCTTGTAGCCCAGTCTGGAGTGCAATGGCGTGATCTCGGCTCACTGCAACCTCCACCTCCCAGGTTCAAACAATTCTCCTGCCTTAGCCTCCTGAGTAGCTGGGATTACAGGTGCCCACCACCACGCCTGGCTAATTTTTTGTGTTTTTAGTAGAGATGGGGTTTTACCATGTTAGCCAGGATGCTCTCGATCTCCTGATCTTGTGATCTACCCACCTCGGCCTCCCAAAGTGCTGGGCTTACAGGTGTGAGTCCCTGCGCACAGCCTATTCTGTCATTTTCTTTCATTGTCTTTGGTTTCTATATCAGGATAATTCTGACATTATAGAATATATTGGGAAGTATTCCCTTCTCTCCAATTTTCTGAAGCAGTTTGTATAGAATTTATATTATTGTTTCCTTAAATGTTTGGTAGGATTTATCAGCGAAGCCCTTGGGCCTGGAGTTTTCTTTATAGGAAATTTTAAACTCCAAATTCAATTTGTTTAATTGACAAAGGGCTTTTCAGGTTTTCTATTTTTTCTTAAGTAACATTTGGTAGTTTGTATCTTTTCTGAGATTTATTATTTCTTTAATATTTTGAAAATCTGTGCTGTTGTAACCTTTCTTATTCTTGATAGTGACAATTCATGTCTTTTTTTTTTTTTTCCAGGTCAGTGTGGCTAGAGGTCTGTAAGTTTTATCGGTCTTCTCAAAGAACTAACTTTTGGTTTCATTCATATTTTTGTTTGTTTGTTTTTGAGATGGAGTCTTGCTCTGTCGCCCAGGCTGGAGTGCAGTGGCGTGATCTCAGATCACTGCAAGTTCCACCTCCTGGGTTCACACCATTCTCCTGCCTCAGCCTCCCAAGTAGCTGGGACTCCAGGCACCCACCACCACGCCTGGCTAAATTTGTTTTTGTATTTTTAGTAGAGATGGGGTTTCACCATGTTAGCCAGGATCGTCTCGATTTCCTGACCTCGTGATCTTCCCGCCTCAGCCTCCCAAAGTGCTGGGATTACAGGCATGAGCCACCGTGCCTGGCCACAGGTTTCATTCATATTCTTTATTGCCTTTCAGTTTTCTATTTTATTTGGTTTCTACTCTTATCGTTGTTATTTCCTGTATTCTACTTACTTTTGCTCTCTTTTTTTTTTTTTTTAGTTTCTTATGATGGAAGCTGAAGGCATTGATCTGAGACCCACCTTGTTTGTTTGTTTGTTTGTTTGTTTTGTTTTGTTTTGTTTTAAAGACAAAGTCTTGCTCTTGTCCCCCAGGCTGGCGTGCAATGGCGCGATCTCGGCTGACTGCAACCTCCGCCTCCCAGGTTCAAGCGATTCTCCTGCCTCAGCCTCCCAAGTAGCTGAGATTACAGGCGCTTACCACCATGCCCAGCTAATTTTTTGTATTTTTAGTAGAGACGGGGTTTCACAATGTTGGCCAGGTGTGAGCCACCGCGCCTGTCCGAGACCCATCTTGCTTTCTAATACAGTTTAATGCTATTTCTCCTTCAAGTATTATACTATTTTAGGTTCATCCCACACATTTTGATATGCTGTGTTCTCATTTTTATCCATATCAAAATACTTTCTAATTTTTCTTTAAGTTTACTGAGACTTGCTTTGTGACTCAGACTATGGTCTGTCTTTGTAAATATTCCATGTGTGCTTGAAAACAATGTATATTCTGCTGTCGTTGGGCTGAATGTTCTATAAATGTCAATTATGCATAATAGTATTTTTTAAGTCTTATATCCTTCTCGATTGTCTATTTATTTGTTCTTTCAATTATTAAGAAAGGGGCATTGAAGTCTCCAGCTAATATTTGTTCTATCAATTATTAACAATGGAGCATTGAAATCTCCAACTATAGTTATAGATTTTTTTTATTTCTCCTTTGAGTTCTATCAGTTTTTGCTTCACTTATTTTGAAGCTTTTTTATTAGGACATTTAAGATTGTTGTATTCTTTTCATGAATTGACTACTTTATTATTATAAAATATTCTTTGTTCTGAAATATATTTTGTCTGCTATTGATATAGCTATTGCAGCTCACTTTTGATAGTGTCTTTTTTCATTCCTTTGCATTTAACCTATTTGTGTCCTTATATTTAGAGTCCATTTTTTTTAAGAGAACTTGTTTTGGGGTATTTAGGTCTTTATAATTCTTTTTATTGTGTCTGACAATCTTTTGCCTTTTTAATTGTGGATATTTAGACTGTTTATATACTTTCTTGATATGGTTATGTTTATATATTTTATCTTATTTTTTCCTATGTTCCTCTGTATTCTTTACTTACTTTTCCACATTTTGTGCCTTTTAAAAATCAGTTGAGTATTTTTAAAGGCCGGGAGCAGTGTCTCACGCCTGTAATCCCAGCACTTTGGGAGGCCGAGGCAGGTGGATCACTTGAGGTCAGGAGTTCAAGGCCACCCTGTCCAACATGGCGAAACCCCGTCTACTAAAAATACAAAAATTAGCTGGATGTGGTGGTAGGCGCCTGTAGTCCCAGCTGCTTGGGAGGCTGAGGCAGGTGAATTGCTTGAGCCCAGGAGGTGGAGGTTGCAGTGAGCCAGGATCGTGCCATTGCACTCCAAGCTGGGAAAGACAGAGAGACTGTTTCAAAACAAATAAATAAATAAATAAATAAATAAATAAATAAATTTAAAAATAATAATAAAATAAAATAGAAATCAATTATTTTTAATGATTCCATTTTATCTCCTTTCTTGGCTTATTAGCTGTAGGTCTTTGTTTTTTGGTTTTAATTGTTGGTTTTGGGGTTATACCATATCTTCAACTTATACCTTCAAGTGATATACTACCCATTCATGTATACCATAAGAATCTTACAAGTGTATACTTTTGTTTCAACTCTCTTGTTGTCACACAATTCTACTTTTATATATGTTCTAAAGTCTATACTATATTGTTATTGATATTTAATTAGTTAATTGTTCTTTGAAGAAACTTACATAATATAAATTTTTTTTTTTTCTTGAGACGAAGTCTTGCTCTGTCACCCAGGCTGGAGTGCAGTGGCACAATCTCAGCTCACTGCAATCTTCACCTCCTGGGTTCAAGCGATACTTCTGCTTCAGCCTCCCGACTGGCTGGGACTACAGGTGCGCACCACCATGCCCAGCTAAATTTTGTATTTTTAGTAGAGATGGGATTTCACCATATTGGCCAGGCTGCTAGCTGTGCTACAATTTCTGGTGCTCTTCATTCTTCTTTACATAGATGCATTTCTATGTAATACCATTTGCCCTCTTCCTAAAGGTTATCCTTTAAGATTTCTGTCTTTTTTTTTTTTTTTGAGGCGGAGTCTCGGTCACCCAGACTGGAGTGTAGTGGCATGATCTCAGCTCACTGCCGCCTTCGCCTCTTGGGTTCAAGCAATTCTTCTGCCTCAGCCTCCTGAGCAGCTGGGACTACAGATGTGCACCACCATGCCCGGCTAATTTTTGTATTTTTAGTAGAGATGGGGTTTCACCATGTTGGCCAGGCTGGTCTGGAACTCCTGACCTCAAGTAATCTGCCCACCTCTGCCTCCCAAAGTGCTGGGGATTACAGGCATGAACTGCCACACCTGGCCTAACGTTTCTTGAAGTACAGGCCTACTGGTGATTAATTCTTTCAGCTTTTGTATATCTGAAAACATCTTCATTTTACTTTAATTTTTAAAAGACATGTTAGTTGTGCATAGAACTAGCGGTTGATACTTTCTTTTCCCTTCTCCCAGTACTGTAAAAATGTTTCACAGTCTTTGCAATTGCATTTTTTAAGTAAGAAAATTAGGTATCATTCTAATCTTTAACCTCTGTATATAACCTGTCATTTTTCCCCTGGATGCTCTTAAGAATTTCTTTTATCACTAGTATTGAGCAATTTTTTTATGATCTGCATTGGTGTACTTTTCTTTATGTTTCTTGTGCTTAGGGTTCTTTGAGCCTTTAGATTTGTGGTTTTATAGCTTTCATCAAATTTAGAAAATGTTTTATCCTCATAGGACTATTCTGATTCTCCTCAGCTAGTAATTTCTTTACCTAATGGACCCATTTACAAAATACACTCCAGGTCCTATAAATTTTTTTTAATAGGTCATATAAAAGTTACTACCAGGAATCTGATGTTTATAGTGACAGAATCAAGTCTCGACACTTGGAAAAGAACATTGTCTGTTTTCTCTTGTAAACTCTGGGATTGCTGAGGTTTTCAAGGAAGCCAGGTACTAAACCACTCTGCTGTTACAGTCACTGTTCTTCTTTTTGGCTTTCCTACCTCCTGAGATTCTTGGCAGATGAAGGATAAGTGCTTCATAAGCCTGAAATGGTGGCCCTTCTGGGTCCTGTGGTAATCATCTGAGCACGTACTTTTCATTTCTGAGTTAGTACGGAGATTCCTGAAGTTCTGTCTACATCTTTCCAATGTTGGATTTATACCCAACATGTAGGAATATAAAATTTAGTGCTAAGATGATAGGTGTTCACTTTGTTCCAATCCTGTAATTTGCTGTGGTGACATACAAGGGAAAGAGAAGAGCCTTAAATATTTGCCTGCTAGCTATCAAGTAGGGGGGATTATACTCTTAATCTCATTTACATTTTCTTGTAGCTATAGCAAAGTTTGACAGGCAATCGTCATATCCCCCAAATTATATTAGTGTGCCAGTTACAGGTCTGTGACTCCTAAGTATTATTTTTAATACTTAGGAGTATTTTAATACTCCTAAGATTATATTTAAAAAACATAATCTCACCAGTACATTTTTATTCCTTCCTTTTTAATAAACCAGCTTTGACAGATGAAAAGGAATCTGTGCTGTAGCTCAGATTTCTCATGTTAGGCATATTTTAGCCGTAAACTTAATTATCGCAGGAATTTTCAAATGACTCCAACTTTTTCTGCACTTGGTATCAGAGGATACCAAGTCCTGTTTTTGAGCTGATAAAATCCTCCTTCTGAAAGCATTTGTTTATTATATTACTGCTTCACATGAGCTGAGCTCTATCCTGACCCCGTGTTAAGTGTCTGTGGTAGATTTCATTACATCCATATACTGGAAGTCCTGCCAATACACTGGCAGCAAAATCCTAGTGGAAAATAAATGGCAATAAAAAAGAGAAATGATAGCCTGTGTGAGTGGTGAGGAGCACAGCTTTATTGAGACTGGACAACCCCAGAGTAGTGACTTGGCATGCAGACATGAGCTTAAGAGAGTGTGAGTGAAAGCTGATATTGGAATAACGACTCTGTGGCACAGACATGGGAATAATTTAATTAATTGCACTGAAATTTCTTTGATGAATAGTTATGTGGTGATAAGCATGAGGTCGAACAGCAGAATGAGTCTCAGCTTTTTAATGGGCCAGCACAGCTGCGGTTTTGGATGCCTTCCCACTTTATTTCTGCCTGCAGCTCTCCACCGCTTTATTCATCCACATCTCAGCTAGGAGCACCACTCGCGGGGCCCCCTCTCCATGTCGGCAGAGCTGAGGGGCAAGTACATTTGGCCATGGGAAGCAGGCTGGTGACTGCTTTGAAATGAAAACCAGATCAAACGAAAATTGTAGGATGGTGTCCTTATGATGCCTGCACCTCCCCTCCTCCCCAAATCTCTAGGATGCTTTTACAGAGTCTTTGCTGCTACGTTGTATAAAGATTTTAATAAAAATTTCTTGTCCCTGGAGAAACAGGCATGTCTTTGTTGTCAGAGAGCTAGAGGGAAATGAGCAATGCAGCCCAGCTGGAGTACCAGCATTAATCCCATGATTCGTAGCCCGTATTTTCAGACAGATCAATTACTTATGGCTGTAACCAATCTCTCATCGTTTTCTTGCTGTGCAGGGCTCCATTTCCAGACTCGGCAGCTGACATAACCTTCCAACTTGATAGGACTTCAGCTGCAAATCTCTTCAGGTCTGCTGCCTCCATTCATCGTGGTTATACAAATGAGTTGTTAAATAAAAATCAAAAGTAAAAAATTATGGGTGGTAATCTCTGCCTGGCTCAGTAATACCCATGGGCCTAGGCAACATTTTCAGTTGGATTTTTAAAAAACAAGATGGATGATTCACTTGTCTGACTTCCTTCACTTTTATGGACAGGCTTTGCATGAGAGAAAAGCCATCTCTAGAGGGAAGAAATTATCCACAGTGGATACATTTCTTATCAATTTATAAGTTGAAAGATTAACTTAGAAGTGGAGAGAAAGGAGATTATGAGGAGACACGAAGGACATGTACAGGTGAGCTGTGTCTAATGCATTTCACACTGAGTGAGTCACCCCTTTTCAGCTGCTAGGCTGCCTGGGCTTAAGGCCAGGAGATTCTGTATCAAAAAGAAATGACCCTTGCTAACACAGAGGTGTCATGGAACATGTAAGCTGTTTATAGAGTATGTCACTGTGTGAATGTAGAACTTGTGTGAAGGATCTAAACCCAATAACCTTTGAAGAATTTACCCAGAATTTATTTAGTGTTTTCAAGTTATAACTACTCCTTGTG
The DNA here is from genome assembly GCF_000001405.40 of Homo sapiens. Classification (NCBI taxonomy): domain Eukaryota; kingdom Metazoa; phylum Chordata; class Mammalia; order Primates; family Hominidae; genus Homo; species Homo sapiens. The sequence goes on from NC_000007.14 coordinate 70,093,891, forward strand.
TGTATTGAACCCTTCACAGCTATGTCAGGCCAGCTAAGCCTTCCTGGAAGAGGTACTTAGGGGCCAGATAAAGCAAATTGGAGAATCTCTTTGTGATTTGACTCACTTTAGATGCACAGATGCTCATCTGTTAGGAAAGCATGTATTGACTCTCTTTGTGCCCTTTTCTTTCATTGTCACTCCATCATTTCCATCTCTTCAATGAATAGTCCTTTGAGGACTTTCCCATTTTCCCTATAATAACCAACTACGAAAATTTGCAGGAAGCAAAAAGGAAAATGTGGACATCTAGAGAATATAAATGGTTTTATGTTTAATCTAGGGGGAATTATGTATGTATTTATATATATTTGTGTATGCGCCCTGCATGCTTGTTGCATTTTGCTGTATGCTTTAGAAACCTTTGCCTACATGGAACCCATTAGTAGTGTCCTGGGACAGGTATTCATGAACTCTGTTAACAATTAAGGAAGTAAGTTCCTGCTGCTACAGGCTGACAGCCACAGTTTCCCCTTGGGCTTGTATGGCTTTGGATTGATTCTAAAGAAGCAAAGGAAACATACAGAACATACTTGTTTGATTTGAAAGTTAAAAACCGGTCTGTGTCTGTTTTCTTCTCCCTTTTCACTCTAGCCCTTCTTAGGCATCCCAATGCGAGTAGTAAAACATAAATCATGCAATATCATAAGATACTGCTACAGCTCTTGCCCTGCCCTGGATTTGTTTTTTTGTGCATCTGAATTTTATTATGATCCATAAAGCAGTATGGAAATGGCTCATTGGTAGGGTTGCATGGCAGTACCCCATCCTCAGACCCTGCCAACAATTGAAAGTCTGAGAGGTAATAAGAAATAAAAGGGAGATGAGATTTATAGTTCGTGAGTTCAAGTTGCTTTTTTTTCTCCGTGGAATGTTGCCTGTCTTATTAGGAGTTCTTTAGTGAAACAAAATGCAGTGGTAGCTTAGAGAAATTATGGATACTTTCCAGGGGTGTGGGAGAAGCTTAGGAGTCTGTAAGCCTTCTCCCCTGGTTGCAGTTAGGAAGCCAGTTGACAGTATAATAGGCTTTTGGAAGTGGGTGCAATGGTTTGTGTGTTCTGTTTGATGTTGCAAATACCAAGCCCGCAGGGAGATCTGCAAAGAGGATATTCTGTTCTTAAAGAAAGGAAAAGATTAACCTGAAACGTGAACTGAAAAACTCCTGAATTCTAGAGGACTTAGGTGCAGCCAAGGAAGGATCTCATTTACTTACGTGGAAACATCATTTGGCAAGCTGCCTGCTCCAGACAAGCAGATATTTTTTAATGATTTCAATTAATGAAAAGCAATCACTAATAAACTTGAGAGGATTGGATCACATATTAAGAGTGTGTGTGTGTGTGTGCGTGCGTGCGCTCACGTGTGCGTGTGCAGTATTTGCATGGTTAAGGTTTGGAAATACGTGCATTCTCATACACGCATAGAAGTCTTACAACTACGTGTACTACTTGGAGCCTGCCTGATGGTCCTTTTCTTCACATTCAGAATCATGCTTCTGACCCATTAGGAGAGGCTAACTCTTGTTATTTTGGAGACATTTTCAGGAGTGGTAATGAATGGGCATTAAGGCACTTCTGTTATTCATGAATATGTACATTCACTTAACATATTTATTGAGTACCTACTGTATGCCAGGTATTATGCTAGGTGCTGAGGTTATAGCAGTAAAAAAATAAAAAGATACATAGTCTCTGCTCTACTTTAGTTTATAGGTTATTGGAGAGACAGACAAGAACAAATAATAATACAGTTATACACTTAAAATTTTTATATTGCCTTTGTATTCAATAAAAATTTGTTGAGGGCTTCTAGATGCTGTAGACTCTGTGATAGAGTCTAAAGAAAAGCGTCTTGCCTAATTTCTGTTAAAATCAGTGGTTTGCCATTTACGAGGAATAAACTGGCCATGTTTAGTTATGGTATTGAAGAAAGGGTTTGATCCATACAGGAACTATACTTCACCTCTATGTATTAATTTAGTACACAGTTTTAAGAACAGCAAGGTAGCATTCAAGAAGAGCATTCTGTTATATACTTGTATATAAACCCTATTGTATCTACTAAGGATATTGTTATAACTTCCTCTTCACTGGTATCTCCTCAACTCTGAGTTCAAGACCTACCCTTCTCTCCAGCTGTGGGAAATGGGATTTGTCAACCTCTCTGAGACAAAGTTTCACATCAGCAAAATGGGAATAGTTGTACTAGTTCACACGGGGTTGTAAAGAGTGAATGGAATTGTGTATTTGAAAACACTTCATTAAAGGGATGGATATTTCAAGTACACTGATTTAATTTTTACAAATAATATGAATGTATTAGATCATCACATGTACCCTGAAACTATGCATATCAATTATGCATGAATAAAAAAATTGTTGAAAAAGCCGGTCGCAGTGGCTCACGTCTGTAATCCCAGCACTTTGGGAGGCTGAGGTGGGTGGAGCGCCTAAGGTCAGGAGTTGGAGACCAGCCTCGCCAACATAGTGAAACCCCATCTCTACTAAAAATACAAAAAATTAGCTGGGCATGGTGGCGGGCGCCTGTAATCCCAGCTAACTAGGGAGGCTGAGGTAGGAGAATCGCTTGAACCTGGGAAGTGGAGTTTGTGGTGAGCCGAGATCGCGCCATTGCACTCCAGCCTGGGCAACAAGAGTGAAACTCCATCTTAAAAAAAAAAAAAAAAAGAAAAAAAAAGAAAAAGAAAATACTGTGTAAAGGACTATACTCATTTGAGTTTGTATAATTTTCATTATTATTACATCAGATTTACAGAGAGAATAAAATTTATTGAAGCCAACTGTGTTGTCTTAAACCTCCGAAAATTCAGAAGGAGGATAATGCTGAGTTCAAGTACGATATAGAAATCATCATATCTTTTCTCTAGCAAGTGTTCCAAGAGAATTAGAATATAATGCCAAAATTAAGGTAGAAATTAAGTTATTCTAGAAGTGGGATAGCCAGTGTCAGCATGCATGCATGATCCTTGAAAAGTGATATTGGGCAGCATTTACACCAAGCTTTGCTATCTTACGTTCTCTTTTTGCTTCTTCTACCTGGTGTTATTTGTGCCTTCCCTAAAGGGCTGAAATTGAAAAGAATTAGTACGAATGCATTTTCAATGACACCTTGGCCAAGAGGTTCATGCATTTCAGCTTTGGACAAGGTGCTATGGTTCAAATACTCATGAATATGATATAAGAACAGTCATTATTTAAATGATGAACCTTTATATGAGATTACACTGGGTGTTACTAATCTGCAAGTTGTATTTTCTGTGGGGAAAAATCAGTATGAATGAATCAAGAACTCAGTGTGCATCCTGCAGTGCATGTTGTATTTGCATGAACGGAGATGTAATCTCTTCACCTTTTGAATCATTTTGTTTAAAGGCCCTATATAGATCATTCTGCTCTTACTGGTGGGTGACATTTTCTTAAGGTTCTCTCCCTAGATAGACTAATTTGAAAAAAATGCATCCCTCTTGATGTCTGCATGTGCATGTGTGTATGCATATGTATAAAATATAGAGGTGATCACAAAGCATACTGGGCCACTTAGCACTTCCACTAATTCCACATTATCAGAGATTGTTTGGAGAGCATATTTCATTCTCCCTACTTTGTCACTTATTTCTAACACTGAGTATATCTGTACAGTTCTTAATAGTAAATGGCATAATATCTTATTCTCTGTATTCTATACATTGTCAACCCCATTCCTAGCTGATAATCAGTAGTCAAAAATGGGTGAATAATTTGAATGGTACTTGTCTTTAATTGTGATTCATGTCTGAATGGCTTGCTGGTAACTAGGAGCTAAATTTAATGTTAATCCAAGGTCACACTCTAGTCCACATACTGGAAGCTCAGCCTCTTGACATGCATGCTTCATGCAATTATCAGGCTGCTCCCTTGTAGGATAAAGTGCGGCAGTCTAGAAAGCATGGCACTCAAATGGGAAGAACTGTTGGTGAGTCTGTACAGAACAGATGAGGTTGCAGATATTTGAAAGCATTTGCTAATGGAAACTCTGGGTAAGGCAGCATCTTAAATAATACGTAGAATCAGCATGCTGTCTCCAAAACACATTTGCAGCATTTATTAGCTGGGTGTGAGCTAAAGGTAAGCTCCCATTAAAAGAAAAAAAAATCTTCGTAATGATTAGCAGGGGCCCAGTATAATTTAAGGTATTCTTTGGAGTTTATAAATATGGCCTCATAAAAAGCCTGAATATAAGAGAACTGTGACTTTAAGTCATTAGAAGCCCAGTGGTTTGATAAAATAACAGGAAACAGACAATTTATTATGAGCAGTCTCAGTAGCTCTGGATTATCTATAAAACTTTTACGGCCTTCCCCAAGTGGCAAGAAGCCATAAAACTTGCCTGAATGAGGGACTTGTTAATTTACTTGTTAAAGCAAATTAAAAATTTATAAGTGCTTTTAGGTAAATGAGATCTTCTCTCATTGCTGCCCTTGCGGGGCTGGGAGTCCTAGGAGGGGAGAGTGGATATGCTTAGACACCACTGCAGAACAATAAAAGCTATTAAATTTTTCCAGTTTATTACAGCAGAGCCATGCAGCTGTTGCCATGGCTAGCTGTGGGGTACCGGTGGTTGACAGCCTGGAGTCTCACTCAAAGGGGGAAAAAATAAAAAGCCAAGGAAAGGGATGATTTTTTACTTTTATAATTCTCCAATTGTTGATGTTGTAGACCATGTCTTTTTATTTTTCCTTGACCTTGTAAATCCAGAAGTTTTAAACTTTTTTCTTTTCTTTTTTTTTTTTTGAGACAGAGTTTTGCTCTTGTTGCCCAGGCTGGAGTGCAATGTCACAATCTCGGCTCACTGCAACCTCCGCCTCTTGGGTTCAAGCAATTCTCCTGCCTCAGCCTCCCGAGTAGCTGGGATTACAAGCGTGCGCCATCACGCCCAGCTAATTTTTTATTTTTAGTAGAGATGGGGTTTCTCCATGTTGGTCAGGCTGGTCTCAAACTCCCAACCTCAGGTGATCCGCCCACCTCGACCTCCCAAAGTGCTGGGATTATAGGCGTGAGCCACTGTGCCTGGCCTTATACTGTTTTTTCTTATCCCCAGAAGTGTTTCTGTTTATTTTGTCATACATTGTTGGTCCTTGAAAATTCCTGCCCGTCATGATTCCTTTTAGTCATTTAGTCCATGGACAAAGGCCAGGTCTTAGGCTGTTTTTGTTAACCTCAACATTTCTTGAAAAAAACCTCTTTCTCTCTCTTTTCCTTTCCCATATCTAGCCACAAAACTAGGAGAAGGAAGAAAGGGAATCTGGTACATGTTCTTGTGTATTTAACTCCAAAAACTGTTAGAATCAATATTTTTTGTGGAAGCCAAAGTTTATAGGTAAAGGCAGATTTTCTTGCACTCTCCCTTGGATGAAATGTCAGCGTAGGTTAAAATTCTTGGATCTTAGCATCTTCCTTAACTTAGGGCTGTTCTCTACGTGTTGAATTTCTTCTGTAATAATAGGTTTCTGAATGGTGACTTTGGCTGGTGGGGGTCATTTTTTTGGCTTTAAGCCCTGTGACTCAGGGGATTTTTTTTTTTTTTGGCTCCCTTAAATACAATTCACAATGAGCAGTTTTCTCCCTGCCCTAGTGACAGTAAGGTTTCTGGGACATAGGAAATAGCTTATTCTTCCACTCAGATCAGAAGTTTTGATTGAGCTCTGTGGCATTTTTAAGGCAGAAAAAGACACGTTATGCCTCAACTACCTACCCTATTTAATGTTAAATTAAAATGATGGTTATTTTTAAAGTGTGTTTACATTTAAAAATTCCTCCAGAAAAGTCAAGTTCTGCAAACATTTTCTTGTAGTATTTCCAGTCACTGCACAAGAAAGGTACATTTTATTAGTTTTAAGAACAGAAATAGTAGAAAGACATAATTGGTACAAGTGTTTGTTCTTCTACAGTATTTACTCTTCAGTTTTTACATATATATCCATACCTCTGATTTGTAGTTTGTTTGGAATTATGTTTAGAAAAGCATATTGTTGGCAAGTAAAGCATCACAAAATTAAGGGTAGAGAACAGCAGTAAAAAAAAAATGACAAATATGTATTTTTAGACTGTATTCCAGTTTTAGGAGGTATCAGCTTTTAGAGATTCCTTAACGTTAAAATTTGTTTCAGTAAGTAACTCTTGTTGTGGTCGCTGTCTTCAGTATTCCAGAAATAATGCTGTATCTCTTATTCAACTTCATGAACCTCTTTACTGGCTTCCATATTAATGTCATTTGCATTTAGAGTGTGTCATCTTCATTTAGAATCTCAGCAAAAATTCTGGTTTATAACCATCTTTGCACAAATTATCTCTGTGCTTTAGGACACTTTTCTGGGCCTGGTCTTGCATTTTTTATGAATACAACTTTAAGAGTGGAACTTAAATATGTCCCCTTTTATTGGATTATCCCCATAGACCTGACCACAAAGTCTGTGGAAGTAGAAAGCTATAACGGTTGTACCATTTTTTTTTTTTTAAATACTTTAAGTTCTAGAGTACATGTGCACAACATGCAAGTTTGTTACATAGGTATACCTGTGTCATGTTGGTTTGTTGCACCCATCACCTCATCATTTACATTAGGTATTTCTCCTAACGCTATCCCTCCCCCAGCCCCCCACCCCACAATAGGCCCTGGTGTGTGATGTTCCCCTCCCTGTGTCCATGCGTTCTCATTGGTTGTACCATTCTTTTGTTCAAGAGTATCAAGTTGAATTTCATGTACTGAAAAAGTAGATAGATTTAAAAACATTTAAATTTAGGTAGCAAATGACATTGGGCCAAAGGTCCATTGCTAAGGAGACCCAGGAAAGAATTTATTACAATAGGAATATGAGGTGTGGAACCCAAGGACAGCTGTCATGAAGGATAGGTAATCACAGTAAAGTAGTGATGCTTCATATACATTTGTTTTTGTTTTTGTTTTTTTGAGACAGAGTCTCCTTCTATCCCCCAGGCTGGAGTGCAGTGGCATGATCTCGGCTCACTGCAACCTCCGCCTCCTGGGTTCAAGCGATTCTCCTGCCTCTGCCTCCCGAGTAGCTGGGACTATAGGCGCACACCACCACACCTGGCTAATTTTTGTATTTTTAGTAGAGACGGGGTTTCACCATGTTGGCCAGGCTGGTCTCGAACTCCTGACGCCAGGTGATCTGCCAGCCTCGGCCTCCCAAAGTGCTGGGATTACAGGCGTGAGCCACTTCGCCTGGCATATATTTGGTTTTAAGAGTTCAAGCTAGAATTTTAGAGTAGATGTTCACTCATTAGTAATATTGATATATGTTGTATAATGATTGCTTAATTGCTAATTTTCTTATGCTAATTGATGTTTTTCTATAAAACCAAATTCTTCAGCTCTTTACATTTATTGAATGCTATCTGGCTTATGAATTTTCATAAGAACTGCCAAAAAAAAAAAGAAAAAAAGGGGCAGGTCCCCTCCTTCCTTCTAAAAAGAGTGGTTCATGCCTGTAATCCCAGCATTTTGGGAGGCTGAGGTGGGCAGATCACTTGAGATCAGGAGTTAAAGACCAGCCTGAACAAAACAGTGAAACACCGTCTTTACTAAAAATACAAAAATTAGCCGGGCATGGTGGTGCATGCTTGTAATCCCAGCTACTTGGGAGGCTGAGGCACAAGAATTGCTTGAACCTGGGAGGCAGAGGTTGCAGTGAGCTGAGGTTGTGCTACTGCACTCCAGCCTGGGTGACAGAGTGAGACCTATCTCAAAAAACAAAAAACAAAAATTAAAGAAATAAAAATAAAAAGGTAGAGAGTATGTCTATAATGACTTTTTAATGTGTCAGGGAGTTTTTAATAGGAAAAAAAAATCATTCCACTAAAAATATGTCCTCTGTCTCCCAACTAGAATTTCTTCCCCATGTCACTGCCAGCCATTGCTGTGACAATATAGTCTCTTACTCTTTTATCAAATATTCTCCATATTATTGCTGTAAGTACTGGACAGATATCATAAGTAAAATATGTCCACCTGGTTGCTAAGAAAAATCCCACATTTATTTTATATATTTTGTAATAGCTTTACGTATTCGTTCAACCGTAACATTTTGGTTTAAAGACTTCATTAAGCTTTCATTGTCCAATAGCAAAGAAGTATGAAGTAGATACCCCTTACTTTGCAGTGTTTACTTTTTTTTTTTTTTTTTTTTTGAGACAGAGTCTCGCACTTTCGCCCAGGCTGGAGTGCAGTGGCGTGATCTCGGCTCACCGCAAGCTCTGGCTCCCGGGTTCACACCATTCTCCTGCCTCAGCCTCCCGAGTAGCTGGGACTACAGGCGCCTGCCACCACGCCCAGCTAATTTTTTGTATTTTTAGTAGAGACGGGGTTTCACCGTGTTAGCCAGGATATTCTTGATCTCCTGACCTCGTGATCTGCTTGCCTCAGCCTCCCAAAGAGCTGGGATTACAGGTGTGAGCCACCACACCCAGCCTGCAGTGTTTACTTTTTATTTATTTTTTATTTTTTGGTGATTTCCTTTTACCATTAGCTACCAGCTGTCAGGTATTTTCATATAGTTTTGGCATTATAGTTTCTTTGGTTAGATCACACACACACACACACACGTACGTATATGTATTGTAGGTATAAGCACTGGAATTTAGCAGAGCTTTTTAAATAAATGGGCTAGTCTACATGCCTTTCTATTCTTTTCCTTCTAATAATCTTATACTAATAAGATTATAGTTACAAGTCAGACAGCAATTTCATGGCACCTGTAGATTTTGAGTAAGAAATAAAACTAACTTCAGTTGATTATAGTTTTTTTTCCATCATTAATTTAATCCAAATTTCTTTAAGATGGCTAAGGTAAATGAAATTATATTCTCAATTGCTTGTCTGGTCTAATATGACCAAAAAAAACTGTTAGAGACTGCTTTAATTATTTGAAGTGTTTGAAGAAATTTGAGAGAGTATTGTAGAATTTATTCTTATATTAATGCAATTAATATATTAAGATTCAACCACATCAAATTATGTATTAGTCATCCAGAATTGAGAGACATGGTTGTAAAAATATCATTAAGGTGTGTGGTATTTACTTAAAATTTATTCCTTTAGAGATACCAGAATAATTATTTATATCTGTTTGCTAATTGCTTACTCTAAATGTTTGGTCAGTAAATCAGAAAAATATTAGAGCTATCCAAAGGAACAAACACACTGCAATGTGTTATAACATGCCTCCATTGCCCATAAATTATTAATACAATGTTACTCTGGAGGGGTAGCATAATGTTTTGGAAATAATGCACACTCCAGAATAAAAAGGCCTGAATGTGAATTCTAGGCCCATCTCTTCCTTTCTGTTTAATCCCAGGTTAACCTGAGCCTCCACTTACTTAACTCTAAATTAGTAATAATTATATCTGCCTCACAGGTTCTGAGAGGAACCTGTAGCTCAGTACAGCAAATAGTAGGCACTACCTCAAGGGCAGTAAATAGAATATTCAGTCAGGGATCCACGTTCTAGGCTCAGCTTACCACCCAATCCCTGGGTGTCTTGGTGGAGTTGTTCATCTCTCTATATTTTAGTTTCTTTGTAAAGGGGATACATTAAAATTTACTTTTCTCACTTTAAATATTTACGTGAGGATTAAATCATTTATGTACAATTATTAGAAAATTGTATAACAGTAGGCTGGGTGCAGTGGCTCACGCCTGTAATCCCAGAACTTTGGGAGGCTGAGGTGGGTAGATCACGAGGTCAGGAGTTCTAGACCAGCCTGGCCAACATGGTGAAACCCCTATCTCTACTAAAGATACAAAAAAAAATTAGCCGGGCATGGTGGCGTGCACCTGTAAGCCAAGCTAGTTGGGAGGCTGAGGCAGGAGAATCGCTTGAACCTGGGAGGTGGAGGTTGCAGTGAGCCAAGATCATGCCATTGCACTCCAGCCTGGGCAACAGAGTGAGACTCCATCTCAAAAAAAAAAAATAAATGAAAATAAAAATAAAATAGTGTAAGAGTAGACAAATGTGTACAACATTATTATCACAAAAATGAAAGCAGCTTAATGGTAATTGATCATCCTGTTTTTAAGCTACTAGATCAGAGAATGTGATGTGCCCACTTGTCCTTTACTGTCCTTATGATAGTTGTCTTTCCATGTTGGCACAATGGTAGAAGCTGCTGTCCAGGCTATTTTGGGCAATTTGAGTCAAAAATTAGCAGTTATTCAATATATACACCTTTTTTTTTTTTTTACCAGCAGCTCAATGAGGGTTTCTATTATATATCAAGGGGCTAATGTGGCATAAGTTGTTTTTTCTTTTTTTTTTGGGAAAAATCCTAACTAGAAAATTGGGTCTGTTCTTAAATTGTAAATGTGTGTACATCAAAGCCATTGTAAGGATAAATTTAAGTCTGATAGTGTACATGTGTACATAGTTTCAGTACACATTGGCGAAATATCCTGCTGATTGCTGATTGAAAACAGTTGTTAATTCTCTACTTCACTAAATTCAGAGTGGAAAACTTTCCTTAATGAAGAACAGATTGAGGAGATCCAAGACCTTACTGTGTGGGAATTAATGGCAGATGCATATACTGGTAGTTAAAATGTTTCATTAGATGTTAATGTCTTGCTGTGTTTTTAATTGTTCAGGAATTAGCCTCTAGAATATTAAAACCATCTGTTTGTTATGATGAAACAGAATGCTTAAATAGTTATTAATTTGTGTTTCTTGTCTTTTTTTGAGGGATAATCTGTAAAACTTTGATCTGTTTGGAGTTTAGGGAATTTGGAATGTGGAAGTGAAAAATAATTTTAAAGCACACCAGTGTCCTGAATAGCTGAAGTATGTCTTTTTTTTTCTCCTTACCCACTGCATATATTTTGTGTTCTTTCTCTCTTTTTTCTTAAAGGAGGGTGAGTTGACTTTTTTTATTCCATGGTGTGATGAGAATCTATTAAACAGAGCTGGTTTAATAGTTGATTTAAACTTTAAGATTATCTTCGTGCATGTGGATTATTTTACATTCAACATCAAAACAGAATTTAGACATTTAGAGGAATGAAGGACAGCTTACGTTTTTAACTCTAAGGATGTACTTTTACTACTATATTCCACTAGCTCTGCATAACTGTTGATGGCTATACAGACTACTGCTGGCATGGGTTCTAGTCTTGACTCTGCTGTTTCATGCCTTGTGATCTGGCACAGATTAGTCTTTCTCAGCTTTAGTTTATTTGTCTGTAAATTGGGAAGTACAATTTAATTTATAGCATTTTTTTTAATGCTTAGAAGTAATACATGAAGACTGCATATTTGTCTTTTGTTTTGTTTTTATAGAGATGGGGTCTTACTCTGTCACCCAGGCTGGAGTGCAGTGGCCAATCATAGCTCACTGCAGCCTCGAACTCCTGGGCTCGGGCAATCCTCGTGCCTCAGTCTCCTGAGTAACTGGGACTACAGGCATATGCCACAATGCCTGGCAGTATTTAAATTTTTTTTAGTGATTGAGTCTTGCTATGTTTCCCACGCTGATCTTGAACTTGTCCCTCAAGTGATCTTCCAGCTTCAGCGTCCCAAAGTGCTGAGATTACAGGCATAAGCACATACCCGGACCCACATTTGTTTTATGTAGTGGGCATATTAATTGCTGTCTTTCTTGATTACATGGAGCCAGTGAGATACTTTGGATGCCACTGAGAATATACATTAGCACTGTAGCTGCAAGAGCCAGAAATAAACTCTTCATTTACTGGCCTCTCCCCTGTGTTGATAGCCAAACAGTGGTGCATTTAAGTTCTTACCCCCAAAATGAAAATCTCAGCTAATGTCATCTTGGCTCTAGTTAATTGCCAGGTGTGTAGAGCTACAGTGGAGAGAACAAATCTACCTGTGCATGAGATCCCAATTTATGTCTCTGGGGGCCCTAGTATTTGTCTTTTTGTCTGTGAGTTTGGCTAAGAAAAATTTTCAGCTTCTCATAAATTTATATTAATCAGTAAAATCATGCCAAGAATTAGAAGTTTTATATAGTTGAATCTTTCTGCATCTTGGAGAAATTCCATGTGTTTAGACCAAAAATGAATGATAGTTGGGAAATTCATGGTTCTCTTTACGTTTCCTTTACCTCACTTGCCCCTCAATCAAAACTGAATTATCTCATTTCCTAAGTCTGTTTTGCGCAGGTTAAAAATGGGAGGGTCTTTATACATCTTCTGGAGCTGAGTGAAAGTCACTTGCTACATGAAAGTGAAGTTTGTTGTAAACCTTGAGTCTCTAATTCAGGTTCCTCAGAGGCCAGGCTCATAATGTGAATAAGTGACACAGGACAATGTAGGGTGTGGGGTCGTCCTTGTCATGGTGCTCCATTGACCCTTTATAACTATAGCATTAGTGCAGTTAGTGCTCTTGTTTCCAGGGGCACACCCCCTTGCTAACTGGACTATGCTGGCACTGGACGTCATATGAATGATTCATTCAGTATTAAAAGAAGAATCAGGCCAGGTGTGGTGGTGCAAGCCTGTAATCCCAGCATTTTGGGAGGCCCAGGTGGAAGGATCATTTGAGCCCAGGAATTCGAGACCAGCCTTGGTAACGTGGCAAAATCTTGTCTCTCAAAAAAATGTAGAAATTAGCCGGGCATGGTAGTATACACTTGTAGTCCCAGCTACTGGGGAGACTGAGGTGGGAGGATCACTTTAGCCCAGGAGTTCAAGGCTGCAGTGGGGTGTGATCGTACCACTGCACTCCAGGCTGAGCAATAAAGTAAGACCCTGTCTTATACCATCTCCATAGAAAGCACCATCTTAAAAATTTACCCAGGATTTCTTTTATAAAGGTTGTTGTTGTTATTTTTATTATTAAGAAATCAGTGATTGTTAGTACACATTTTAAAAGCTTTCTGTCATTGCAGGATATGTCAGAAAAAAGTTTTTGCTGTAGTGATCTTTAACAACATAAGAAAAGGAGTGGTTTTTTTTTTATACTTGTTAGGTAAAATAAATAGGATTTTTAAATGCTTCATATTATCCAAATTACATAAAAGTGGCAATCTCGTCAGTAAGTATGTATAATACTAAGAGAGCTATTAACTTTTCTTGGTAGTGGTTTTTGACCTTTTGCTGAACAAGTACTTTAAAAATTTTCAAATGCCAGGATGAAGACTTCTTAAACTAACTGTAATTATGCAACTTTTTCTTTATAATCCGATACCTCACTATCTAAAATATCTGAAATTACATATGATCACTGTTTCAAGAACAAAATCAGTGATAGCACATTTTGAAGACTATGGAATCTAAAGGCTGATTTTGTATGCTCACTAGCACACATGATACTTTTCATGTTACCATTCAGCTTTTGAGCTCTCCTTACTGGCCAATCCCAGATGAGAAGCTTTTTTTTTTTTTTTTTTTTTTTCTTTGAGACTGAGTCTAGCTCTTTCGCCAGGCTGGAGTTCAGTAGCGTGATCTCGGTTCACTGCAACCTCCGTCTCCCAGGTTCAGGCAATTCTCCTGCCTCAGCCTCCCGAGTAGCTGGGATTACAGGCACGCCCCACCATGCCCAGCTAATTTTTGTATTTTTAGTAGAGATGGGGTTTCACCTTATTGGCCAGGATGGTCTCAATCTCCTGACCTCGTGATCCGCCCATCTCGGCCTCCCAAAGTGCTGGGATTACAGGCGTGAGCCACCATGCCTGGCCTCACAATTAAGTTTATAACAGGGATATGTTATGAACTTAATATGCTTGGCTATTAATATTTGGATATGTTCTCAAATATTCTAGAACATAGGCCAGATGTGGTGGCTCATGCCTGTAATCCCAGCACTTTGGGAGGCCGAGGCAGGCAGATCACGAGGTCAGGAGATAGAGACCATCCTGGCCAACAAGGTGAAACCCCGTCTCTACTAAAAATACAAAAATTCGCTGGGCATGGTGGGCGTGCCTGTAATCCCAGCTACCCCGGAGGCTGAGGCAGGAGAATGGCGTGAACCCAGTAGGCGGAGCTTGCAGTGAGCTGAGATTATGCCACTGCACTCCAGCCTGGGCGACAGAGCGAGACTCTGTCTCAAAAAAAAAAAAAAAGTTTAACTCTAGTGTGTGGTATACCAGTTCAGTTCTGTCCTCATGGAAGTAATATGGCCTTTCATGGGATAGTCACTAATGATAAGTTTAGTGACATATAGTTTATTAAGATAGCTATGGACAGTGTAGGGGCTTAGTCTTGATGAGATTTTAATTTTTGGCTGCACTTGAAATGAACTGGGATCAAAATAGTGGCAAGTTGGATAGAGATTTGCTGTCAGAATTAATATTCAAGAAGTTCTGATAGCTTGCAACCAAAGTATTTTATATTATAACAAATTCTAGATGCTCATAATTATTCAATTAAAATGGATAAACAGTAAATATATGGGTTAGAGAAGAACAATGCTTTTTCCAGAAACAAAGTTTTAAAAACTTGTTAATATGGCAATTTTAAAACATACATGAAAGTAAAGATAACGGTATAATGAACCCAACATCATCTAACTTCAACAATTAAGACATGGCTAATCTTACTTCCTCTATATCCCTACACTTCCCCCTTCCCAATAGGTATTGCTCCCCCTATCCCCTGGATTATTTTATAAAATAAAACTCAGACTCAAGTTATCTCACCCATTAATGTTTTACTGTGTATCTGTAAAGGACTCTGCTTTTTTACTGTAACTACAACAAAATGTAAATAATAATTCCAGGCCGGGAGCTGTGGCTCATGCCTGTAATCACAGCACTTTGGGAGGCTGAGGTGGGTGGATCACTTGAGGTCAGGAGTTCCAGACCAGCCTGGCCAACATGGCAAAAAAAAAAAAAAAAAAAAAAAAAAAAAAATAGCCGAGGATGGTACTCAGGAGGCTGAGGCATGAAAATCACTTGAACCTGCCTCGGCTTCCGAAAGTGCTGGGATTGTGAGCCACCATGCCCGGCCCAAATTGTTCCATTTTTGGTCAGTGGGAACCCCTTCAGTTTGGCTCCCAAGCCCCTTTGTCAGGGTCTTGCTAGGATGACAAGGTGTTCCAGACTCATCTTACATATTTCCTTTCTCAGACCTTCAGTTGGACACTTTTAGTTTTTTCGTGTTAGAATGGGAAAAACAAAAGATAGAAGACATTTTCTATTTGAGAGTGGTGGCTATTTTAATGAATGACAGGCCATTTAAAAAGTTATTGAAACATGTTTTTTAAAAACAGAAAATCATAAAAAGTAAGTTTTGTGTGTTTATTTTTTATATTCATCCTTGAAAACCAAATAATATTGTCTCTAAATTACTTTTTAATAATCAAAATCTTATTTTAAGAAAGCTGAAAACTGTACTAAAGCAATCAAATATTCCTTCAACACATTATTTTTTACATTGTGTATGTGTATTGTGTGTGAATTTCTGAGCCTATTTGAAAACAGATTTATCATTTAGTCCATGGTTATACTCAAGGAATGCCAAATGCAATCTGTTCATTCTGGCCTTTCTCTTTAATTCTTGTACATCTTTTGTACATTTCTATTCTTGTACATCTTTTTTTCTCTATTGTTTAGACTTTTTGGTCAAAAATTTAAAAATTTTCTGATTGGCAGTTGGTTGAAAGAGATAATTTATTATCTAAAGATCTGGAATCAATAGACAGGAATGTCTGGCTTACTACGATAAAGGGTTATGGAGACCAACGTTTTATCATGCAGATAAAGCCTCCAGGTATCAGGCTTCAGAGAGAATAAATTGTAAATGTTTCTCATCAGACTTAGAGAGTCTGCTCTATTAGTAATTCTGAAAGGGAGGAGGTTATTATGGGGCATGTCCGGTCCCTGTCCCCCATCATGGCTTGAATCCGTCCCTCAGGTTAGCCTTAGAATGCCCTTGCTGAGAGGAAGAGTCCATTCAGATGGTGAGGGGGCCTTAGAATTACATTTTACAGCATAATTAAACCTAGGAATAGTATCCAAGTTGTAGATAGATATGTGAGTTATACATCAAACACTGCCTTTTACACTTCCATTTTCTTGCCTTCACATTATTAAATTATGAAGAAATAGTATCGTAATATCCTCTTGGCCTAATCATAGAGAGTAGAGTTAACAATTCTCTTGATAAGCAGTAGAACATTGTTAAGTTCTGCTGTCTGGATTGAGCGTGTCTATAGTAATGATGTCAAAGTCGGTCAGTTCGCTCTTGATTTTCTTAACTGCTTCTTATTTATGTTTGAGACTATATAGTTAGATTGATCTTGGCTTATTTTCCTTTTTAAATTTTATTAGGGCTGGGCGCAGTGGCTCACGCCAGTAATCCCAACACTTTGGGAGGCCGATGTGGCTGGATAATCTGAGATCAGGAGTTTGAGACCAGCCTGGCCAACATGGTGAAACCCTGTCTTTACTAAAAATACAGAAATCAGCCAGGCGTGGTGGTGGGCACCTGTAATCTCAGCTACTCGGGAGGCCAAGGCAGGAGAATCGCTTGAACCCGGGAGGCAGAGGTTGCAGTGAGCCGAGATCGCGCCATTGGACTCCAGCTTGGGCACCAAGAGTGAAACTCCATCTCAAAAAATAAATAAATAAACAAATAAATAAATAAATTATTAACTTAGTTTTTCTACTGCTATGAAGTCCACTGAACCCCTTTAAATAATGTGCATGTTTGGCAGCTGGAAGCACTTCAGTCGTTTTTATTTTCTAAGCTAATAGCACAATTTTAAGTCATTTCCTGTCTAATAATGCCTAAAGTGTTTATTGGGATCATCATTAACACAGGTAAATAACTTTCCAAAGTCCAAACATATCCAAAAATCCTGTTTCTTACTTTGCATTAATGAAACTTGTCTAATTGCATTAGAGTGACTTTACGATACATGAATTTCAAGGGAATACCTAACTTTCTTTCTTTCTTTTTTTTTTTTTTTTTTTTTTTTTGAGAGTCTCGCTCTGTCGCCCCAGTCGCCCAGGCTGGAGCGCAGTGGCGCGATCTCAGCTCACTGCAAGCTCCGCCTCCCGGGTTCAGGCCATTCTCCTGCCTCAGCCCCACCTCGAGTAGCTGGGACTACAGGTGCCCACCACCATGCCCAGCAATTTTTTTTTTTTGTATTTTTAGTAGAGACGGGGTTTCACCGTGTTAGCCAGGATGGTCTTGATCTCCTGACCTCATGATCCGCCCGCCTCGGCCTCCCAAAGTACTGGGATTATAGGCATGAGCCACCGCGCCCAGCCCTAACTTTCTTATTTAAAATCCACCATGGTAAGCAGAGTTCCAAGATGACCCTAAAAGTACTTGTCCCTTATTTACTCCCATGTTTTCTTATATAGCACAGTTGACTTTATGAAAGGAAGTTCTTCTGTAAGCCTGACCTAATCAAGTGAACTATTAACAGGATGCTGACTTTCTGGAGTAAGAAATTAAACTGATGGGATCTTTCCTTTCTATAATAAACTGCTTTTTTAGAATATAAGTTAGATACCATAAAATTCACTCATTGTAAGGGTACAAGCTAATTAATTTTAGTAAACTTAAAGAGTTATGCAATCATCACCATACAACATTGCCATCACCTCAGAAATTTCCCTTGTGACCATTTGCAAATTGGTAGAATCTTAAATTCTTGTGAAAAATCCTGTTAGAACTTGGTGGGCTATACTTTAATATATTATTAAATTTAATTTGCTGTGTTTCTTCAGATTTTTGCAGCTTTTTAAATTAGGAAGGTCATCCTGTAGTTTCATTTTTTGTTTTGTCACCAGATTTTGGCACAAGTTAGCTTTCCATATTTTTTCATGTTCTGGAACAAATGTTGTTAAATCTTCTTAAAAACTTTAGACTGCTTAATTATGGTTTTGAAAGTATCACTGTAGAATGTTTACTTCTGTATTTAGAAATTTATCTGTTTTTTATTTTGCTTGCCATCTCTTTTATACTTAAATGTGTTAGAGGTGTATCTCATATCTTTATGGGTTCCCCCCAGATTATACTATAGTTTACTAACTGTACAATATTTTAATTTCTAATGATGTTCTTCTCATTTTTAGAATTCTCTTCCTCTGATTTTACCTATACTTGCCTTTTTGTCTTATTTCTTTTTTGTTCATTTCAATCTTTATAATTAGGCCATTTATTTCTATTCTTTCACATTTAATAGAAAATACATTAAGTCCATGAGTTAACTTCTAGCAAAGATTTTACAACATAAGTTTTAAAATTTATATATTTATAATTTTCATTTTCTTAATTTTTAAATGTTGTATGTGTGATTTTGTCTTTTACCCAGTTGTTAATTGTAGACAGACTTTAAAAAAATTCTTTAGGTGATATGGATATTCAACATAAAATACTGTTATTACTTTTTATCATAGAGAAGTCTGTTCATATAATTTTTACATTTTGAAATTTATTCTTATATTCTTTGTTACCCTGGTACATTTTCAGTTGGTGGTAATGTCCCATAGATCCTCTAGGTGTGTCTCTTTAAGTTACCCAATTTACTGTATATTAACTAAGTCAAACTTCATTTTTTAACCTCTGCGTCCTTTTTCATTGTTTTGTTTTCTTGTTCCTTGATTAGTAGAATGCTAAAGGCTCCCACCTTCTTTTGCTTTCTTTTATTATTTAGAATATTTTTTACTTTGTATAGTTTTGTATAATGGTTTATAACTTAGAAGGGTATAAAAGGTAAAGACTGTACCTTTCATCACTATAAAATGACTTTGACAGGTGATTTTTTTACCTATTTATTTCTAACCTTTTGTCTTTTTCCCTCTCTCTTTTTTTAAATTTAGGAGTTCTTTGTAACTAATAAATAATGGGACATCAATCTGTTGATTGATCTGTATATCTATCCATCTCTCTGTCTTACCCAACACAAACCAGATTTTTATTTTTAAATGGGAGCTTAATGTATTTATATTATTATCAGAACACTTTGTTTTACACTTTGCTTTCTTGCCACTTTTCTTATTTTCTTTCCCTTTCTCTATTATGATTTGAGTCATTTTATATTTGGTAATTATTTGGAAGGCAAATATTTTTAACGTTTAAATTTTACTAATGGTTAGCTTCAAGATTATCAAATTGTTATTTAAAACACTTTCTCTAGCTGTTGTAGATGATAACAAAAGAACCTTTGATTCTGTGATCCCAGAAAAATTCCTTGCCCTGCCCTTGTGTCCAAAATTTGTTAAAATAATTTTAGCTTTTATTCACAACTTGGCACTGTACACTTAAAGATACAATATAGTTTTCTTTTTTAAAAAATAGTTTTTCTATCCAACTTTATAATTTTACTTATTGTAGTTATTTTGTGTTTGCTTATTTCGATTCATCAGCATTTTTCATTAAGTTTTTTAGTTTGGTTCATGTACCTGTCATCTGAAATACGCTTTAAAACTTAAAGAATAAAATAGTACAAATTCTATCCAATCCATGATACTTTCCCAATTTGGGGACAATTTTATCTTGAAAAATAAAAATAGTATTTTTCAAGATTAAATACTTGGCTGCTTTGATGGTAGTGTAGTCTATGGGTATATTAAAATTTTCTTGAAAAAGGAGAATCTTTTGAGCTTACTGAAACATTCCCCAAATTTTGCATAGAGTTCATTTACATTCCTACAGAAAAACTCAGCAGTCTGAAAAAGGATATGTGCTACTTTGAGGAATCAAATTTGTGGAAGGAGATTCCATTTGGACAGTCTTCTACATTGCCTGCATAATTCGCATCATTCCTCTCAAATTCCAGGCATAGATATATTCTCCACATAATTTATCCTTCTGTAAATTTTGTTTGATGGATTAATGACACCTACTGGGCAAGTAGCATCTTTTTGAAACTCTCCATATCCAAGCTGAAAAGAATGGGATAGCCCAGCTCACAAATGCCAAGCAGATGTGCACAGAATTGCTATACCTTCATGCAGTCTAGGGTGATGGGACTTCGTTACATGTTCATTAGCAGTGACATAACTGTGGATCGTTATTTTCCTAATTAGCCATTAATAACAGTTAACACTGTAATGGGATCACAATTTCAGAATTTGGAGCATATATTGTTGACAGTGAAATCTAATGAAAAACAAACTAGCTTCTTATATTTTATAAAAGATGTTAATCTCATTGATAGAATTACTGCCACTCATGCCAGATACCAGCTGGCTTTCATTTTGCATATTTTGTTCTCATTCTGGTGCCCAAACTATTGAATATATAATACTCTAATGGGAAGAAGCTTCTCACAACAGAGAGTGGGTTATAGTAATTTTTAAATAAACAAGGTCCTGAAGTATGTAAAGGCTGATGGTAAGAAATCTTACTGTATCAGTTATAGGAAAAGCTTTCTTGTAATAGCTGCCATGGATGCTCATACAAATCAATGCAAGCAGATCAATTTTTCTTAGCTCTTTAAATGTTTAAGCCAGCATCTGGCCTTTGTGATGTTTCTTGGTTGTAGGTAATAGCTGGGAATTTCAGGTGAAGGATTACAACTTCTGAGTTAGTTATGCTACCCCAAACGATCCATTGGATGTGGCTAAAATGCTAGTTTGAAACTATATTCAGCTGGGCGTGGTGACTCACACCTGTAATCCCAGCACTTTGGGAGGCCGAGGTGGGCAGATCACCTGAGGTTGGGGGTTTGAAACCAACCTGACCAACATGGAGAAACCCCATCTGTACTAAAAATACAAAATCAGCTGGGCGTGGTGGCACATGCCTGTCATGCCTGTAATCCCAGCTACTCAGGAGGCTGAGGCAGGAGAATCGCTTGAACCGGGGAGGCGGAGGTTGCGGTGAGCAGAGATGGCACCATTGCACTCCAGCCTGGGCAACAAGAGCAAAACTCCGTCTCAGAAAAAAAAAAAAGAAAGAAAATATATTCATGGGATTGGAAATGAATACTTCTTTGCCTGAAATCTTGTGGTTTAGCTTTAGTACTTACTGTAGTCAGTTCATTTCTTTGAAATATTGAGCTGTCTGACAGCTTAAAATCCTAAGTTTCCTTTAAACTTGAGCCTGGCTTTGGAGGAGAAGGGGGTGGTGTAGGGGTGGATTTTATGTAAGGCTCTCTGAAGAGAATTCACTGAAGTGTTTTTTGCTGGCAGGGCACTGGGAAGGCTAGCAGGCTGCTTCCTCTCAGTCCTTCTTGGGTTTTGCCCTTAGCCTAGATCAACATTTAGTCAGATAATTTACGTCAGGTCCACTGAAGTCTGTTTTTGTGCCTTGGTAAAGTCATCATTTTCCTTCCGTGAAGAAGCATGGAAAAGGCCCAGGTGCAATGTCCAGGTTTTGTTAAGCCAGTTGGATATTAGGAAAAGCCTTGACACTCTTTATAGTCTTAGTTCCCAGCTGGATATGTATCTCTCATCTAAGTTGGGAACTGAGTTTTTATTATTAGTTTTTTAAATAGAGACGGGGTCTTGTTATGTTTTCTGGGCTGGTCTCGAACTCCTGGGCTCAGGTGATCCCCCCGCTTCAGCCTCCCACAGTGCTGGGATTATAGGCATGAGCCACTGTGCTCAGCCATAAAGGTGTTGATCAAATATCACCTAACAAGATTATTTTCTTTGTGAACGTACTATAGTCAGGTACCACATACAAATTTAGAACATATTATGTGGAGAGTACTAATATGCTGCAGAATCATTACTTCATGTCAAATGTAAACATCTAACTGTGCACTGAGAATTAGTTTTTTCATCCATACCTTGGAGGTAGTTCTACCTGCCCTTACTTAACTCAGAATCAGTGGGATAAGAGTTTGATACTGCTTATGAATTGGAGGGCCCATGCCACATGCAAACTTTATTATCAGTATAACTATGTTATAACAATAGGCTTTTTGAGCTTGAAAAATGTGTCATAATTTAAAAAATAAATAATAGAAAGAAAGAGCTCTTCAAAGACCATAACAGAGGAGGTAAGATCTGAGCTTTAAAAAACATCTTGACATCAGAAGCACAGAGAAGGTAAGGGTGAACATTCCAGAGGGAATATGGTGTGAAAAAAATGCAGAGCAGGAATGGACAAGAAACGTTCAGGGAATGGAGACAAGGCGATGTTCATTGTAGATTAAATCTCTCCTTTATTATCAATATAAAAGTGAAAAATCGAAGAGAATGACAATATTCTGAGCTTTTATTCCATAGTAATAACAAAAGCCTCATACAACTTGCATCTGAATTAACTTAGAATGAGGAGCTTTAGCGTTGACTGAGGAGAAAACTAAGTACTTAAGAGCTCAGGAAGGATACAAAGTAAAATTAGCATCAATTTTCTGGGCTCCTTTGCAGAAGGCTTCCCGGAGAAAGGGATTTTAGAAGAAAGTGATAAAGGTGAATTTCTGGAAAGGATGATAGCAAAAAAGAATGCCTTGTTTTGGAGACTTGGGGAAAGCTGACTCTGTGAATGGTATAACCAAAAGTGAGGTCTGAACTGTAGTCTTTAAAGACTACAAGGAATGTTGATTCAGCCTCACTCTATTCATCTTGGTTTCATCTTCCCCTAGGCACCATAGCCACTTGAAATCCTGCAGGCAAAAATTTCCTACTTATTGCCTCTTCTATTCTTTGAAGTTTCCTCCTGTCTAGAAAAATGGAGCTTATGTTTAGTTTGAGATTTTCCACGTTTTCATTCATGCACCCAGCTCTAATGTTTCTTATTGTCTCCCCAAAGGAACTCTGTTTCAAATGAAACTGCTGATCATTTCCCAGCATGTTGCTTTTTCTGTCTTTGCTTTCTGCTTTTCTCCTCAATGGAGTATCTTTCACTGTCCTCTCAGCCATATGAGTTTAATCTACTTTTAAAATCCAAGGCTTCAGAAATCACTTCTCTGAACCTCCCTGGCTACTTTTTGGTTTCATTGAACATGTATTTCCTTGTGGTGTTGTATTTGCTTATCTTTTACTGCCTTTTTCTTGTTATATTGGAAACATTGTCAAGGGGCTGTGACTTGTAACCAGTACTACATTGCTTGGTGTTTCTGAAAATGTGTTTGGTGATGATATTGTAGACTAGTACTCCATATATTTATGACTTAGTCTTATGTAGACTGATGGTTTTCAATTTTATGTATTTGTTCATTTTTAATGGAAAACCAGAGCTTGTTAAATGTGTGGAAACCACTAGAACGTAAACTTCATGAGATGACTTTTGTTTTTTTTTTTTGTTTTTTTTTGTTTTTTTTTGTTTTTTTTTTTGGTGTAGTACCATATCTTCAGCACTTAGTTCTAGCCCATATGTGGCACTTAATACATTATTTGTTGAATAAGTGCTGATTTAATTTACTTAATCTGTAGGTCTTCATTGGTTCTTTTAAATATGTAGTAAGAAACCTCCAGGATGTTATCTCAATTAACAAGATCATTAGGTGCCATCCCAGTGTTTGAAGGATAACATCACAGCATCTCATCATTTTTTCCTAGGAGAAGAAAACTTTATTTTATTTTGCTCTGATTTGTTTCTTTTTTTGAGACAAGACAGAAGAAAAAAGGTAAGAAATCATAGTTGGTGTAATCTCACTTTAGTTTATTCAACATTTTTGGTCTTTTCATTATTGAAAAAAAATTGCAGTGGAACAGAAGAAAAAATTTGATGGAAAGACTGCTTTCTAATTTATGGACCTTGAGGTTTGGCTTTTTAGGTGTTTATTTAAGGCTTGCCCACTCTGTTCTCTACATTGACATTTCATGGTGAATATTTTGCTTATTCTACCCTCTGTATTTTTTCTATGGCAGCTTGCCTGGCAGTATTCAGAAACTGAGAAGAATATTAAAGATCAGAACCTTAAATTGTTCACTCTTTTTTTTTTTTTTGTGAGACGGAGTCTTAACGCTGTCGCCCAGTCTGGAGTGCACTGGTGCAATCTCAGCTCGCTGCAACCTCCGCCTCCCAGGTTCAAGCGATTCTCCTGCCTCAGCCTCCTGAGTAGCTGGGATTACAGGCACATGCCACCATGCCCAGCTAATTTTTGCATTTTTAGTAGAGACGGGGTTTCCACCTCGTTGGTCAGGCTGGTCTCAAACTCCTAACCTCGTGATCCTCCTACCTCTGCCTCCGAAAGTGCTGGGATTACAGGCGTGAGCCACCGTGCCTGGCTGTTCACTCTTGACAAGGATCAAAAACAGGAACTAAGAAGCAGACCACTAACTTTTTCCTTTTTTCTCTTTTCTTTTGCCTTTAGCTCAAGCCAGGACAGAACAGCTGCAGGGACAGTGACAGTGAAAGTGCCAGTGGAGAATCCAAGGGCTTCCACCGGAGCAGCTCTCGGGAAAGGCTCAGTGATGTAAGTTTAAGTAAAAAAAAAAAAAAAAAAAAAATTAACGAAAACCACTAGGCCACACACACACCATTGGTTCAAGTCTGAATTACATAACTTTCCCTCATCTTTAGAACTTTTTGTCTACCCAAGCATTGCGGTTCACATTATCTTTGTATACTTATTTGAGCATTGTAGTTATGGTGTCATTCTAAAATGTCGTTTGAGCAAAAATGTATTTTGACAAATCATTAGGTAGGAGGAACTATTTGTTACCTTAGAAACAACAAGGCCGGGCACGGTGGCTCACGCCTGTAATCCCAGCACTTTGGGAGGCTAAAGCAGGTGGATCACCTGAGGTTGGAAGTTTGAGACCAGCCTGACCAGCATGGAGAAACCCTATCTCTACTAAAAATACAAAATTAGCTGGGCGTGGCAGTGCATGCCTGTAATCCCAGCTACTCGGGAAGCTGAGACAGAAGAATCTCTGAACCCAGAAGGCAGAGGTTGTGGTGAGCCGATATTGTGCCACTGTACTCAGCCTGGGTGACAGAGCAAGACCCCATCTCAAAATAAATAAATAAATTCCCGTTGGATTTCTGGAAGGAAAACCTTGTGAGAATGCGTCATACCTCTTGAGATATCTGTTTGCCCTCTAGATGTGATTTTCATTGTTCTCTAGTCTGCCCACCAACAGGGCAGGTTCCCCCTCTATTACTTCTGAGAACCACCTACCCCTCTTTGGACTCTCTTACCTTCTTTACTCATATGTCATATATCAGCATTTTTTTTTTTTTTTTTTGAGATGGAGTCTCACTCTGTCGCCAGGCTGGAATGCAGTGGCACGATCTCGGCTCACTGCAACCTCTGCCTCCCAGGTTCAAGCTATTCTCCTGCCTCATCCTTCTGAGTAGGTGGGACTACGGGTGCACGCCACCATGCCCAGCTAATTTTTGTGTTTTTAGTAGAGACAGGGTTTCACCGTGTTGGCCAGGATTGTCTTGATCTCTTTACCTCGTGATCTGCCTTCTTCGGCCTTCCAAAGTGCTGGGATTGTAGGTGTGAGCCACCACGCCCAGCCATATATCAGCATTCTTAACTCATCTGTACCTCAAGAGCAACACTTGGAAATTCTTTTGTGAAATGGATCAAGTAAAGAGATTTTTTTTTTTTTTTTGAGACTGAGTCTTGCTCTGTCACCAGACTGGAGTGCAGTGGCCTGATCTCAGCTCACTGCAACCTTCGCCTCCCGAGTTCAAGCGATTCTCCTGCCTCAGCCTCCTGAGTAGCCTGGATTACAGGCGCGTGCCACCCCGCCCAGCTAATTTTTGTATTTTCAATAGAGATGGGGTTTCACCATATTGGCCAGGCTGGTCTTGAACTCCTGACTTCGTGATCTGCCACCTCAACCTCCCAAAGTGCTGGGATTAGAGCTGTGAGCCACCTCGCCTGGCTTAATTTTTGTATTTTTAGTAGAGATGGGGTTTCTCCATGTTGACCAGGATGGTCTAGCATTAACAGAATAAGTGAGAGAGTAGCACCATGAAAAAAAAGAGATAGCACTTCAGAGTGTCTGAGTATTAAGAATAAATAAAGGATATGTAATAAGAAGCAAAATCTTTTATTTTCTCCATTTTATTTTTAAAAAACACCATACTCTAAAGCAGTGTGCTGTTCATTATAGAGTGCAAGATGATTCATTGAGTTCCAGAAAGAAAATACTAGTACTTTTTTTCTTAAAAAAAGAAATTAAACTTTACTAGTATTCAGTTTAACGAGCGGGGAATAATTGATGTCTATAATTTTTAAATACGTGGATTTAAGGAGTGTATACTCAAAACTTTTTTTTACTGAGAGATGTCTACTAACATAAACGGTTGGAGACCACTCTAGCACACTGAGCAGTTCTCTATGATAATACCACATCCATCTCTCCATCAGCCAAGGTAGACAATTCCGAGATACAATCACATTTCTGCACCTCTCATGAAAGTTTGTGAGGTTTATGATGAGATGTTGTATGAGATACTGTATTCTTACAGGAATTAAATGGAATAAAGTATAATTATTTTTATGTTATTTTAATATATTAGTTATAGATAATAACCTCCCCTTCTTCTGTGATATAATATCAAAGTTATATAAATAAAGAGTACTAACAGTATTTTACTGTGTGTGTGTTTCTGTGTGTAAGAATATGTTTTATTGTGTGTCCATGTGTCTGATTAATTTTGTGATGGAGCTATACAACCATAAAACCATGACAACTTTTCTTATCTAAGTTGTTAGCAATAATAATTAATGTTTAAATAGCTGTTTTTCTGAGATTTTTGTTATACTTTTAATGTAAGATCTCATTGACTCTAGAAATTATTCCAGGGTTAGTAGGTCATATTTTTTTCATAGTGTAGAGAAATGAACGCCATGTTAGTTTAGGGGACTAGAGCTGCCATTGGATCTTTTGGCTTGTTTCCTCTAACTCACTTTCTGTTAGATAAAAAGAAATTGACAAAAGACATTCCATATTCATGAATAGAAAGACAGTATTATTAAGATGTCAGTACTACCCTAAGCTATTTATAGATTCAGTGCAATGTCTATCATAATTCCAACAATCTTTTTTTGCAAAAATGGAAAAGCAGATTCTCAAATACATATGAAATGGCATAAGGCCTTAATAACCAACACAGTCTGGAAAAAGAGCAAAGTTAGAGGACTCACACTTACCAACCTCAAAACTCACTGCAAAGCTACAGTTAATCAAAACAGTATGGTGCTGGCCTAATATTAGACATACAGACCAATGGAGTAGAATGGAGAGCCCAGAAGGGAGCCCATACTTATATGCCTAAATGAGTTTTAACAAGAGTGCCAAGACACTTCAATGGGGAAAGAATTTTCTCTTTAACAGATGGTGTTGAGAGAACTGGATTTCTATGTGCAAAAGAATGAAATTGGACTCCTACATCGCACTATGTACAAAAATAAACTCAAAATGAATCAATGACCAAAATATAAATGTGAACACCATAAAACTCTTAGAAGAAAATATACAGGTAAATCTTCATGACCTTCAATTTGGCAGTGGCTTATTAGATATGACACCAAAAGCATGTACAATGAAAGAGAAAATAAATTGGACTTCATCAAAATTAAAAACTTCTCACACCAAAGAGCATTATCAAGAAAGTAAAAAGACAGCCTACAAAATGGGGAAAAGATTTGCAAATCATATAAGTGGTGTTTACTCTACAGAATGTGTAAAGAACTACAACTCAATAATAAAAAGATAACCTAAAGCAAAAATGGGCAAAGAATTTGAGAAATATTTCTACAAAGAAGTACAAAGAAGAGGTACTTGAAAAATGCTGAAAATCATTAGGTATTAGAGAAATGCAAATTAAAACTGTAACGAGATTATCATTTTATACCTAGTAGGATGGTTATGCTTTTAAAAAGAGAATGAAAAATAAGAAGTGTTGGCAAGGATGTGGAAAAGTTGGAATATTCATACATTACTGGTGGGAATGTAAAATGACGCAGCCACTGTAGAAAACAGCTTGGCAGTCCTCAAAAAGCTGAAACATATAATTACCATATGACCCAGCAATTTCACTTTTAGGTATATACCCCAAAGAATGGAAAACATGAACTTAAACAGAGACTTGTAAGCCAGTGTTCACTGCAGCATTATTTATGGTAGTCAAAAAGTAGAAACAACCCATGTGTTTCTCAACAAATGAATTGATAAACAAAATGTGACAGCTTGGCTGATAGGCACACAATGGAATATACTCAGCCATAAAAAAGATTGGCATTGTAATATATACTACAATATGGATGAACTTTAAAAATATGCTAAATAAAAGCAAGACAAAGAAGGACAAATATTGTATGATTCCACTTATAAGAGGTATCTAGAATAGGCAAATTCATAGAGACATAAAGTAGAATAGAACTTACCAGGAATTTGGGGGATGGAGAGTGGGAGGGAGGAAAGCTATTGCTTGTTGGTTACAGAGTTTCTTTTTGGGGATGATAACAATGTTTTGGAAATAGATAGTCATGACAGTTGCTCAATGTTTTGAATGTAATTAATGCCACTGAATTACACAATTAAAAAATGATCTGTTAAAAAATGTAAAAATAATTAGGGCTGTAATAATGCTTATTCTGCTTTCACTTCATTGAAAATATGGAAAATAGTTATAACTTTTACCAGCCTTGTCTACTAATTGTGTCACCTGTGCCATTTCTGGTCCTGTTTCTATTGGTTGTTTTTTCTCTTCATTATGGGTCATATTTTCCTGCTTCTTTGTATGCCTGGCAGTTTTTCATTGGATGCCAGACATTATAAAATCCTGTCAGTCTTATGTCAAGCCAGTCAATGAAACACTTCCGATTCATATTGTTTATTATATTTTAAAATTATGAAAAAAATTTGTGGGCATATAGTAGGCGTATTGTTCATTAATTATTAAAATTCACACTTTTTGCAACATTACTGAAAAGGAAAGAAAGAAAAATGACCCAAAACGTGGACATTTACTGAAATGTTTTGAGATCCCTAGTCACATTTCCCTCACTCATGTGCAGGTCTGAGGTTGCAGAGTCCTGTGTCAAGCACTATGGCAATCTGAAATCTGCTGAGATGAAAGCTTTTTTTTTTTTTTTTTTTTTTTCCGTGACACGGAGTTTCGCTCTTGTTGCTCAGCCTGGAGTGCAGCAGCACAATCTTGGCTCACTGCAGCCTCCACCTCCTGGGTTCAAGCGATTCTCCTGCCTCAGCCTCCTGAGTAGCTGGGATTACAGGCGCTTGCCACCACGCCCAGCTAATTTTTCATATTTTTAGTAGAGATGGGCTTCACCATGTTGGCCAGGCTGGTCTCAAACTCCTGACCTCAGGTGATCCATCCACCTTGGCCTTCCAAAGCGCTGGGATTACAGGCGTGAGCCACCATGTTCGGCCGAGATGAAAGCTTTTAACAAACCAACCCACAGAATGGATCTTTTGGATACCAAAGCAACACCTACCTGCACAATATTTTAGAGAATAAAGATGCCCCATTTTTTCTTGAAAGAGAATTAACAATTAATTTATTTTTTTACTTTTATTTTAGTTTTGGGGGTACATGTGAAGGTTTGTAATATAGGTAAACTCATGTCACAGAGGTTTGTTGTGACATGAGTTTCATCACCCAGTAGTACCCAATAGTTATTATTTCATCACCCAGAATTATTTCATCACCCAGTAGTACCCAATAGTTATCTTTTCTACTCCTCTCCCTCTTACCACCTTTCACCCTCAAGCAGACCCTAGTGTCTGTTGTTTCCCTCTCTGTGTTCATAAGTTCTTATTATTTAGCTCCCACTTATAAGTAAAAACATGCAGTATTTGGTTTTCTGTTCCTACATTAGTTTGCTGAAGATAGTAGCCTCCAGCACTATCTATGTTCCTGCAAAAGACATGATCTTGTTGATTTTTATGGCAATGTAGTATTTCGTGGTTTACATATACCAAATTTTCTTTATCCAATCTGTCATTGATGGGCATTTAGGTGTAGCCCGTGTATTTGCTATTGTGAGTAGTGCTGCAGTGAACATTTGCATGCATGTGTTGTTATGGTAGAATGATTTATATTCTTCTGGGTTTATATCCAGTAATGGGATTGCTGGGTCAAATGGTAGTTATGCTTTTAGCTTTTGAGGAATCATCATATTGCTTTCCAGAATAGTTGAACTAATGTACACTCCCACCGATAGTTTATAATTGTTCCCTTTTCTCTGCCACCTTGCCAGCATCTGTTGTTTTTTGACATTTTAATATTAATAATAGCCATTTGACTGGTGAGATGATATCTCATTGTGGTTTTTGATTTGCATTTCTCTGATGATCAGTGATATTGAGCTTTTTTTGTATAGGCTTGTTGGCTGCATATATGTCTTCTTTTGAAAAGTATCTCTTCATGTTCTTTGCCCACTTTTTAATGGAGTTGTTTGGTTTTGTCTTGTAAATTTGTTTAGCTCCTTATAGATGCTCGATATTAGACCTTTGTCAGATGCATAGTTTGCAAATATTTTTCTCCCATTCTGTAGGTTGCCTGTTTACTCTGTTGATAGTTTCTTTTGCTGTGCAGAAGTGCTTAAGTTTAATTAGATCCCAGTTGTCCATTGTTCCCTTTGTTGTGATTGCTTTTGATGACTTTGTCATGAAATCTTTGCCCTTTCCTATGTGCAGCATAGTACTGCCTAGGTTGTCTTCCAGGGTTTTTATAGTTCTGGGTTTTACACTTGTCTTTAATCCATCTTGAGTTGGTTTTTGTATATGGTGTAAGGAAGGGGTCCAGCTTCAATCTTTTTTTTTTTTTCTTTTCTGAGATGGTGTCTCGCTCCGTCACCAGGTTGGAATGCAGTGGCATGATCTTGGCTCACTGCAACCTCCGACTCCCTGGTTCAAGTGATTCTTCTGCCTCAGTCCCCCGAGTAGCTGGGATTACAGGCATGTGCCACCATGCCCAGCTAATTTTCGTATTTTTAGTAGAGACGATGTTTTACCATGTTGGCCAGGATGGTCTCAAACTCCTGACCTCGTGATCCGCCCGCCTTGGCCTCCCAAAGTGCTAGGATTGCAGGCGTGAGCCACCGCGCCCAGCCCAGCTTCAGTCTTCTTTAATGCCTATCAGAGAGTGAAAAGGTAGAGTCAAAGATGACTACTGGTTTTTGTTTTTGTTTTTTCTTTAAAAATTCCATATTAGTTCTTATTATGCTTATTCTTCTTTCACTTCATTGAACATATGGAAAATAGTTATTACAGCTTTTACTGTCCTTGTGTACTAATTTTGTCACCTGTGCCATTTCTGGACCTGTTTCTATTGGTTGTTTTTTCTCCTCACTATGGGTCATATTTTCCTGCTTCTTTGTATGCCTGGCAATTTTTTATTGAATGCCAGACATTATAAAATTTTCCTTGTTGGGTACTGGGTATTTCTGGTTTCTATAAACATTACTCATTTTGGGATACAATTTTGTTATTTGGAGATGTGTGTGTGTGTGTGTGTGTGTGTGTGTGTGTGTGTGTGTTTTTAATGTTTGCTTTTGTACTTTCTTGGACAAGACCAGAACAACCTTTAGTCTAAAGATAATTTTTCCCCCATTCTGACTGAGTACTTTGCCTAATGCCTAACGTCTTACAAGGTTTTTCCACTGTAGATTGTGGGAAAACAAACTATTCCCTGCCTTGTGTGGGCTTTGTAAGTTCTTCCTCCTCCTTCCCAGTGGTGGTTTTCCTCGCCTTGGGTATTTTCTCTCACAGATGTGCTGACTAGTCATCAGGTAGAAACTAGAGGGGAACCTTCTGCAGCTTTCATGATTCTCGCTTTCTGTGATGCTGTCTCCTCCTTATCCTCTGCCTTGGAGTTCCAGCTGTCTTTGCCTCCCCTTATTCTCAACTGTGTCTTCAAGACTCAGGGATTCCACCTGGGTCACCTCCTACCCGGCAATCATGTGGCATGAAAACTCTCCAGGCAGTAAGGTGGGAAAATTTTAAGGGTCACCCTACTTTTTTCTCTTCTCTCAAATATTATTGTCCTTTACTCTGTCTTACCCAATTTCTAAAAACTCCTGTTTCATACCTTTTGTCCAGTTTTTTAGTTGCTTGAGGTGGGAGAATACATTCAGTCCCTATTAGTCCATCATGCCCCTGACTCGTTTTTCAGCTAAGATGAAAATTTCTGTCAGCCTTTCACCCATTTTAGTGATATTTTTAGGAGCTTTGGCAGTTGAGACTTACTCTCAAGTGAGGCTAATCAAAATAGTATATTATTCTAGCTTTGTTTTTTTGAATTGGTTAGGCCAAAAGAATAAGAATAAAGAATTCCAGTGTAGCTGTATAATTTGACTCATGCGTAAAGCTTAAAAACACCAAATATGTGGCCAGGCATGGTGGCTCACGCCTGCAATCCCAGCACTTTTGGAGGCCGAGGCAGGCAGATCACTTGAGGTCAGGAGTTGGAGATCAGCCTGGCCAACATGGTGAAACCCCGTCTCTACTAAAACTACAAATAAATTAGCTGGACGTGGTGGAGCACAGGTACTCGGGAGGCTGAGGCAGGAGAATAGCTTGAACTTGGGAGGCAGAGGTTGCAGTGAGCCGAGATTGTGCCACTGCACTCCAGCCTGGGTGACAGAGTGAGACTCTGTCTTAAAAAAAAGAAGAAAAACCCAAATATGCTTTGCTTTTCTAAATTATATATTCCCAGACCATGTTGCCTGGGGGGAATAATTGGCCACAAGGACTTTCAGATTGTCCACATCAAGGAGACATAGTAACTTGTTTAGATTAGTCACTAGGGAAGAGTTAAGGGGAATAATTGAATATATAGTTAATAAATGTTTATGATGAGTTATTCACAGGGAAAATATTGCTTCCAACTTAAACAGAATTTTGTAACTGAGGAAATTTGTCAAAAGTTAGGAGCAAAACTTACTTAAAAACTTTTAATAAACAAGCCTCAAATTATGAAATGTTAATGGGCATTTATTATAAACAGGCCAAGATTTAATAGAAGTTCTGCTATTTATTGTGTGTGACCTTAGGCAAAGAATGTGACCTTTCTTCCCCGCCAAGATGGAGTCTTGCTGTGTCGCCCAGGCTGGAGTGGAATGGAGTGGAGTGCAATGGTGCGATCTCGGCTCACTGCAACCTCCACCTCCTGGGTTCAAGCAATTCTCCTGCCTCAGCCTCCCAAGTAGCTGAGATTACAGGCATACACCACCACGCCTGGCTAATTTTTGAATTTTTAGTAGAGATGGGGTTTTACCATGTTGGCCAGGCTGCTCTCGAACTCCTGACCTCAGGCAATCCACCCTCCTCGGACTTCCAAAGTGCTGGATTACAGGCATAAGACACTGCGCCTGGCCTTGTTCGCACTTTCAAATCTTCCTACCTTTGCTTATTCTTTTTATTTATTTAAAATGAATTGCAGTGGCATGATCACAGCTCACTGCAACCTTGACCTCCTGGGTTCAAACTTTTCTTGTGCCCCGGCCTCCTGAGTAGCTGGGATTATACACAAGTGCTACCATGCTTGGCTAATTTTTGTATTTTTAGTAGAAATGGGGTTTCGCCATGTTGGCCAGGCTGGTCTCGAGCTCCTGGCCTCAGGTAATCCACCCTCCTCAGCCCCCTCCCAAAGCCCTGGGATTATACACATGAGCCTCCACGCTTGGCCTATTTTATTTCTGTTCTTTTTTCTTTCTTTGTTTTTCTTTTCCTTATGTCAGCTTCAACCTCACTTCTACCAAACACTTCCCAACACACTGTGGAAGTAAACTTCTTTAATGCTTTATTTAATGACTATATGAATATGACTCTTTTCACCTTTCTCTCTGAAAGAATTTTGGGTTGGGTTGTTAGTTATGAGAAGACAGAAAAATATTTAACACCTTTCAAGGGTTCAGATCGTTCAAGGAATTGAAACATCTCAGAAAATAATGAAAATGGATCAAAGTCTTATGAGTCTAATGCTACACAGTTGTCTACTCTTATTATTCTGGTAGCTATTTACAGTTGAGACATTTTTTCTGCTTCCTTTTGAGATACCCCTTCTCCTACTTCAAATCTTCCCTGGTCTTTGGGTTTTTATTGATTTGTCTATCCCACAGTGCCACTGTTCATCCACCCATGCCAGCATCTGTCCTATTCTTTCTTTCTTCCTCCCTTCCTTCTCTCCCTCCCTCCCTCCCTCTCTTGAAATCTTTATTGAGGTTTTATTCCATGCCAGGTTGTTTGACCAGCTACTGTTAAGGAGGAAACAGACTTGAGCCACTACCATGAATGAGCTTCCCACATTGTTATAATTAGATTAGGAAATCTAATCTCGACCTGACAAGGATTCTTGGTGTTTTATTCCTCTCTTTTTAAAAAAATCTGTGCCACATTTTCCTTTTCCTTAACAGTTTGCTTATGCCTTTTTCCATTCCTGTCCCATACATTTATGAATTCTCCTGGATATGTCAGTATTTCAGTTGCCAAGAAATGTCAATCAAATTTCTTTTATTCATCAGGTATAGTCTGGGCATTTGAGGTTGAGTGGAGAACAAGATGAAACCTCTGCCCTCATGAAGTTTCCATTCTAGTGGGAGAGACAAATCTATTAAGAAATAGCTACAATTTTTTCTAATAGAATGTTTTCTGACATAAACAATATGAAGGGCGGGAGTTTGTTGCTACTTTAACTAGTGTGATTAGATAAGGCCTTTCTGTGTAGGTGACATTAAAACTGAGGCCTAAGTAAAGAAAAGAAGGTAGACAGGTGAAGGTCTATGGGAAGAACATTCTGGGCAACAGGAACAACAAGCTTAGAGGCCCTATCAGAAGCATGTTGTGTTCGAGGGAAAGAAAAATGGCTTGTGTGGCTACAGTAGAGTGAAGTAGCACAGTGGCTGAACACGTAACTTCTAGCCCATGCTAAGGAGGCTGGGTGTTGTATTAATTTCCTGGGCTGCTTTAATGAATGACCACAAACTGTATGGCTGGAAACAACAGAAATCTATTATCTCACAGTTCTGGAGGCTAGAAATTTAACATCAGTGTGTCTTCAGGGCTATGTACCCTCTGCAGGCTCTAGGGAAGAATCCTTTTTTTCTCCTGGCCTCTGGTGCCTCCCAGTGATCCTTGGTGTTCCTGGCTTATAGATGCATCATTCCAGTCTCTTCTTTAGTTTTCACATGGTTTCTACAGCAGCCATTGGATTTACAGCCCATCCTAAATCTGTATGACCTTAATTAGGTACATCTAAAAAGACCGTATATCCAAATTATGTCATTGTATTAGACTTCTCCACAGAAACAGAACCACAGCAGAAGATAACAGAACCAGCAGAACATGATTTATTATGAGAAATTGGCTCAGTTTTGGAGGCTGACAAGTCCCAAGATCTACAATCAGCAAGCTAGAGACCCAAGAGAACCTATAGTATAACTCTAGTCTCAAGGCTGGCAGGTTTGAAACTCTTGAAGAGCTGATGTTTTTATTGTGTCTGAAAGCACAATAAAGAACTGATGTCCCAGGTCAAAGCCAGGCAAAAGGAATTCTCTCTTCTCTGGGAGAGAGTCAGCCTTTTGTTCTTTTCAGACCTTCAACTGATTGGATAAGTCTCACCCATTTTAGGGAGGACAATCCAGTTTACTCAGCATATCAATATAAATGTTCAACTCATCTAAAAACATCATCACAGAAACACCCAGAATCATGTTTGACCAAATATCTGGGCACCCCGTGGCCCAGTGAAGTTGCAACATAAAATTGACCACCACAATCACACTCTGGGGTTCCTGGTAGACATAAACAGGGGGACATTGCTCAATCCATGACAGGTTATTATCTTAAAAGCCACTGGACTATGTTAAAAGGATTGGAGTTGTAGTTCTTACTTTAAAATGTTTATTTTGCCTTTGATATGAGGAACTGTCCATGAAGACAAGAGCAAGAATGAAATCAGAGGTAGAAGCCAGAAGGCTGAGATGAGAGTTGGTGACAACCTGACGTGGGCATAACAGAAGGTTGAATAATTGGTGTTGGAAGTGACGTAGCATTTTTCCCACCTGATGCTTTTATCAAGTTGTTGCTCCATTTTTACTTGATTTCTTCCAACAACTATATGCTTATTTCTCAATCAAATATATATATATATATTGTGTGTGTGTGTGTGTGTGTGTGTGTGTTTGGTCGGCTATTAGTAATCTTATCTCCAAGGTACGTTTCTTTGGATTAAGATTTCAGGTTTTTAAAACACTACTGGAAGATCTGTGAATGAGCTTGTTTTGTGACCTTTGCAAGAAATTTACTTGTTCATGTGATTCCTGGCATGGTCCTTCTCCTTTTTACTCCCAAGAGAGAAAAGCATAACATGAAGGTGGGTAGCCAGGAATGTTGAACACAATTAGCGATTTGGAAGAATTTAAAAATATTCAATTTAAATTAGCCCTAGGGTCAGAACACACATTCTCACCTAGGGGTGGAGTACACATGTGTCCTGTCTGTACTCAGGGAGCTGTAACAGTAGCCATGGCCTCTCTGTGTGGATTTATAATGAATGGAGCACATCTATTTTAGATGGATAATCAATTTTGAAATCCCTTATTGTAAGTATGCTGTTAAAACAGAAATGTTAACTTCATGAGTTTAATGAGTAGCTTCGATGATAGCTTAGTGAAGAGATGGAAGGAAAGGCAAGTGGGGGGAAATGAGAAAAGGAGAACAAGTGTTTAATGAATATCTACTTGCAGACTTGAATGTCAGCAGCAACATTCTCCCTCCTGGAAAATGTCTTTCAACTGTGCATCCCATTATGTTCCTGCAGCCCGTGGTAGCATGAAGATTGAGACAAAGAGAGTGTTTCTAAGAAAGCTCTCCTTTACAATATAATGAGATGGAGGTGGGTAGTTTGCAGAGATTGCTGGAGCAGTGGTCAAATATGAAAAAAAAAAATCCAGCAGAATGAAAAGACCATGTTAACCAGGAGATGGCTTATAATGAGCCCAGAAATTGCATATCAGATAGCCAGCTGGCTAGCATTTCCTCATATCCCTGTGTTCTCATGCAAACTGCTAAAATGTTCTCCTACTCTATTTTCTCAGCCTCTTAATAGTTCTCATTTCTACCTACTGCATTGAAAATATGAATGAAATGGCAACTCTACCACTTGAAGAAATAAGAATGAAGCCCTTTTCAGCAAAAGTATTTGCCTAAACATGGATGGATATTATTTCAAATGCTTTTGAAACCAAGGAAACTTCTGTTTCTTTCCTTAAAAAAACATCTTAACTTTCAAGTCTCAGTTTGACTCACAGCCTTTTCAGTATTCTGTGGCCTCTTTTGCTATATAGTTTGGACAGACTTTGCTTGAAGTCTCCAAGCAAAAAAATGGAAGTCCTCCCTTCTTATTGGAAATTGATAGGGGAGGCTTGGCACGGCGCCTCATGCCTGTAATCCCAACACTTGGGAAGCCGACACAAGAGGATCACTTGAAGCCAGGAGTTTGAGACCAGCCTGGGCAACATAGTGAGATGCTATCTCTAGGAAAAAAAAAATAGCTGGGCACAGTATCGCATGCCTGTAGTCCAGCTACTCAGGAGGCTGAGGCAGGAGGATCACTTGAGCCCAGGAGCTTGAGGTTGCAGTGAGTCATGATCTTGATCATTAAGGAAGAGTCTTGTGAAATTGTTCAATAGTTAGGGTATTATCACCTGTCTACTTTCATGGTTCTTTACCTTTTGGTGACTGTCTCTTCTTTGGTGACTGTGTCTTCTAAAATGAGAAAGCAGTACCAATCCCTAAATATACATCTGTCAATAACTTACAGCACATTTGAAACAATATTACTGCTGTTTCTAAACATTCCTTTTTTTTGTTTTTAGCATGATCTGTTGTTGCCTGTGTTCATATAATTTCTGTCTTGGAAAATTATTGAAGCTACCAAATATTTGCAGCTGTATTTAGATATAGACTTTAGATTATAAATATATGACAGAGACTCTTTACTGGGCCTTTTGGATGCGAGACCTCAGGGATATATGATACGTGTTGTGAGCCTCAGCTAAAGTCTGACTTCCCTGTGGCTGGTAACTTCTGTTACCAATACTTTAATGGTGGGGTCCTGTTGGTGACCAGGCGTAATATCTCACTGAATACAAGGCCGTAGTCAGAATCTTGGGGTTGTAGGACTAGACAAGCAGAAGTCTCTTTATTTAATAGATGTCACTCCTGTTAAAATTCTCCAGCTATGACTGAAGGGAGTTGGCAAGTAGCCAAGAAAAATGTGGTGAAAAGGGTTTAAGAGGGGAGGAAATGTCAATGCCATGGACATTTGGCAAAGTCGATCACAAGAGGGTTTTTCTACACATGTGTTTTCTGCTGATCCTGAAATCAAAACTGAATACCATGCATCTTTTCCCTTAAAAAAAAAAAAAAAAAAAAAAAAGAGTACAGTAGGTTGGCACATGTGAATGGCTCCTGATACGAGACTCTGTATGCTTTCTAGCAAATGCTGAAACAAATTCCAGTGGACCTTTAATGTATATGGGGATCTTGTGTCTGTGTTCCCTCGTGTGTCTGTGTTTGTGTGTGCCCGTGTCTAGGGGAGGGGAGTTATAAGGCAGGGTGCTTAAATGCTTTGTTACATTATGTTAATTCCTCGGCAGTGCAATCAAATTCATGTCGTAATTAAAGCTGTCAGTTGGAAGGCAAGCCAATCGCCATGAAAACACAGCATAACAAATGAAGTGAAATGATTCTGCGTGTAGCTATACAATGCTTCGCCAGGCATGAAATTAAATAAGTAATTTGATGTTGACATCAGAAATTGAAATGATACCCACTGTTCCCTCATTCAGTCAGACCTGCATAAACAATAGCCAGAACAAATATGCACAACAAAGCCCTCTTCTCCACCCAGCTCCCTGAGTAATGTACAATATATATGCAAAACGAGCATAACAGAGCTTTCCGAGACCTGAAGGATGTAATTTTCTTTGGTATACGATAAGATGATATGTATGTGGGGGTAGGGAAGTGGGTTTGGTGGGAGTACTTCTCTTTCTGGGATAAAATACATTTGCAGGAAGGGAAAGAAATGAAATAAACAAATCCCATGGTCTCTCTGAGTAATTCATCCTAAAATGAGTTCACTTCCCAGGGGCATGACTCCAAGCTGGTGGAGACCTAACTTGGCTTTTGCTTTCTTCTGCTGCTGCATGGAGGGCTGTGGGTGCTGGAAACAGGTGATGCTGTCATATGGCTAGTCACTGGTATGAGAAGTTGTCTCCATGACTACTGTGGATCTCCCTCCATACCATTTATGGGATTAAGAATGCAGCAGGATTTTAAAAAACTGAGTGCAGTGAGCAGGATCACACATCTATGGTGCTTCATTCCCCTGAGCTTGTGTGAAACGCTGAGATGAGGAAAGTTTTGCTTTGGGAGCTGCATTTAGGAATGCCTTGAAGCATACTGTTCTTGTTTGATGTAGATATAGTTACAGTACCATGTTTCCTCCTCAAAGAGCTTAGCATCAAGAAGAGTCACCATCTGCTGTATTTTTATAGATGTCAAATTCTCCTGAGCCATTTTTCTTACACATAATCCATCCATTCATTTATTTATACATTCATTCAATAAGTCCTTATTAAATGCATCCTGTGTGCAAGTCATTGTGTGAAGCTCTAAGAAGCAATGATGAAAAAGCCAGCTGGTTACTGCTGTCTGAAGTTTCCAGAGTAGGGGGCAGGACATGTAGGCAGAAGAGCTAGCAGTGAACAGAGTAACTGTTGCATCAGGGCAGAGGTCATTTTGCTTCTGGGAAAGTATAATACCCAACCCAAGCTCATCAGGGAAGAAGCCTGGCTGGTGCAGGGATGCTTAGCTGAGACCTGCAGACCTATTCAGCATTTGCTTCACCTTCATTTCAAGCTTAATCACAAAGAGGAAGAGGATGCTAAAAATTAAATAATTTATAAAGAGAGGTTTTAGGAGAAAAAAAGAAACAAAAATCAGAATCTCAGGCAAGTTTAAAATACATTTTTTGGGGGGGCTTCTTTTCCCAAACAAGTGATGCCCTGCATTCCTTTCAGAATTAACATTTTTAAATTCCCTGTGTGTCAGAACTATGACAGCCTAAACTGGTAATTCTTGTGACTTAAACCCTTCAGAAAAATGGTGCTTTTCACTGCTCCTCTTGGCCCACACATTCTCTGCATTTTAGTCTACTAATTACGTTTACAAAATGTCTCATTTTTGAAAAGCCCTGTGTGTGTACTAACTGATGCCTTTAGGGAATAAACTGGCAAGTAGGTCATACACTGGAAAAGTCATCCAAACCCACTGGGCTTTTTATTTTCAAGTCAATCTGGGCTTTTTCCTCTTGCCTGCCCCTTTGCGGCCACAAAACTGAGTAGCTTGAGACCAGGGCATTGAATGTCAGCAAGTCAGGGAGGCAAGCTGATGCGTGTCTGTTTAGTCTCAGTGCAGGGCGAAATGCCATCATTAATTCATTACCCAGCTGCCTGTCAAATAAATTGGCAATTACATCCACCGCAGAAGCTTGGAATTCAGTAAATAGCACGTTAGCATCTCTGAGTTGTTGAGAGATGTAAAGGGGAAAATTAAGCAACACGGTGTTTGTATCAGTAGCAGATGACAAGGGGCAGCATACACTGGTGATGTGATGTGGTGATGAAAAGCCTGCAAAGGGCTGGTAATGAGCTGTGTGGATTGGAACGTGTTAAAAACCATTGCTGATTTTCCACTTTTGTCTTTATGCTTTATTGCAGAGTTCAGCTCCTTCCAGCTTGGGAACAGGCTACTTCGTAAGTCTATCTCAACTTCCACATATGTGCCTTGCATTGGCATTGATTTCCTTCTATAATGAATGCTCATTGGGATATGAAAAAAAATCTGAGAATTTCTCTCTCAGTCCTAAAGAGCAGACTGATTTCCATTCTTTATTAGGAATTGTTTTATTTTTAGAAGACATAGCCTGCTGGGCCCTAGGGATCTTAAGTAAGTCCGAGGTATATACCTGGTTCCTAACGCCCAGGACATTAAGCTCCTTACCTGGCCATGTAAGGAGATACAGGGAACCCTGATTAGCTCATGCCACCATTTCTCCACAATTACTTTTTTAGTAAGAAGTGTCATGTGGGGGATGGAATTCAGATTATGCATTGAGATAACTGATTTCTTGAATAACATCTCTTCATATACAATGAGTTGCCTTTTTTGGTGGGGAGGACGGGGAATGGAGATGGTATTTTTTAATGAATGTTTTCCCTCACAGTCTGGGTAGTTTGCCTTTAGGTTTTTCTTTCAGCAATAATTAATATACTTATTTTTGCTAAAATGCAAAGTTTATTTCTGAACCTTATTCTCTGTCCTTTGGGAAAGATGGCAGTGAGGTGACCCTTCAGGGATTATCACAATATTGTGATAATCATGAATATAAAATTCATTCTCAAACAGCAGTTGTCACTTCATTATATTTATTTATAGTGAAATTCTCCTTTCTGGATTTAGTGACCCTTTTCAAGATACAAATGAAAAAGAGTGACAAATAAGCATTATTTGTACAATAGGATAACATGTCAATGTAAAAGTCTGTTGTGATGCTTAAAGGAATCTGATTGGTGTTCTGAGTGATGAACACTGATACAGTCATGCCTCAGTATTTTCTGAGAAAATAGTGAAATCATGAAAATCAAATAAAGTGGAAAATAATTACTAATTCACTTTAGTTGCTTTTAACTTTTCTCTCCAATGCTAATTACTCTGGTTTTCTTCTGCCCACGTATTTCTCTCGATACATTTACATTAAATTTATGGAAACCAGCATCATTTCATTAATAAATGAGTATTTTCCAAGCTTAGCAAAAGTGGCATTTTCTAGATGTTGACTTTTTTTTGGTCTTAATCTGTAATAGGAGAAAAAGTATAAGGATGATTTGGACCTGCTTAATACAGTTAGCACACTTACCCTTGCTCCTACTTATTGTGGCTGAATATTCATGCTAACAGAAACAAGCAGGATACATTCAGTATCCTGCTTCAGCAGTCGAAATAACAGACGTAGCCCCATCTGGCATCTCTTCACACCAGGCTGGATGTAGGTTGAGATGCTGGAAGTAAAATCTGGAGACTGCGATATCTATTCTCCATCCAAAAGCTAAAGCCTCCCCCTTTGCTTTCTTCAGCAGAAAGAAGGCCAAAGCCACTACCTTAGTCCTTGATCACTTCTGTACTGAACATTCTAGTATTTTTTTTTTATTGTCAGTAGGATCACCCTGAAAGAAGAAAGTCATTTCTAGAAACATTGAGATTTTCATTATGCTTTTTGCAGTTATTTTTCTCTCTAGTTCCAAGAATGGTTATTTTTATTCTCTAATAATATATTCTTATGATTTAAAGAGTCTTTAATTACATGTCTATTAATAAAATGGCTTTTACAGAACATTGGATGAGTATAAAAGTTTTCTCTTATTTTGGTAAAATTGCTGGTAGACTTACTTTGCTTACATAAAAGTCTGTCGTATTATTAGCTTACATGGAGAAGATACATACCAGATGTGTATTCAGCTTTCAACTGTGACAAAAATGCCCTGCTAGGATGTGTTTCCAATAATGTGATTGTTATGTTATCAGAGTGCAAAATCCATTGATATTGTTGCCCAGTCCTCATGAAAAGTATCTTCTATTTCAACTTTCTTTCCAATAGTATCACATGTAATAATTTCAGATACTAACTTCCACACTGGTGAGTTTCATACTTCTAAGTGGAAATGATATGGGCACAACTTACATTAGTTCTTTGCCAACATATTATTTACACTGTGCTTTGTGATTTGTGCTGTCATAATAGCTTTTTACTTAAGCCTGTAAAGAAGGCTCAGCTTCAGGTAAGTGAAATGGTAATTTTTCAAGTCTATCCTTACTCCTCTTCAGCATGTCTTTGAAATGTGGATGGAGGGAAATCACCTGCAGAGTCCATGAGCTATTAGCGCAATTGAACCATAACATGAATTCTGGTGTAAGAAAGCTGAAGGCACTTTTAACAATCTAGAACCGTTTTCTTGAACACTGTCCCAAGCCCCAACTTCACAGACTTCCTTTGTTTCTATTTAGAGCTTTTGTCAACAGAGGTAAGATGCTGTTCATTGTGTTTGTTAATAAAATAGACACCTGAGTATATACATGTGCAGGTGTGTGTGCATGCACACACACGCATACACACCCTTAGCCAAAACCAGTATATTTTACTTTCAGTTCTTTTATCTGTAGTGATACATTCAAGGGTTTAAAGGAGAAGCCTTTGTTTTTGATCTGGTTGTATTTGTTTATATCTCCTTGGTTTTGTGTTCCAAAGATGTCTGCTTAGGTCTGTCACTTTTCCAATCCGTTTAGAAGCAGAAGATTTGAGAAATGAGAACAG
The DNA here is from genome assembly GCF_000001405.40 of Homo sapiens. Classification (NCBI taxonomy): domain Eukaryota; kingdom Metazoa; phylum Chordata; class Mammalia; order Primates; family Hominidae; genus Homo; species Homo sapiens. Next base: position 70,137,187 of record NC_000007.14, read on the forward strand.
CAGCTCAAATCAGTATTTACATAAGCATATTGCAAAGAATTCTTAAAGTAGACAAAATAGAGAAGGATTGGAACAAACTTTCTACATTTTTGGGAGCTTTTGAATAATGTGGGTGTTATACACACAGAGAGACACACATATATATTCATTACATACTCATGCCCAGCTCATATTCTAAATATAAATGAAAGTATAGACTAGTTGGAATCGATTTGCTTTTTTTTTTTCTTTTTTGGCAAGAGGACTAAAACTTGTTAGAGTGTGTGTAGGATTTTCTTTTTTTTTTTTGTTTTGAACGTCAATGCAATGAACACATTTTCTTTTCAATTTAAACGTTTTAGGCTGTATTTTCTCCTTAAACATGTATTTGAGGTTTCAATTTGCATAGTGTATAATTAAGAACTTAGAGGCAGAATGATCTTTTAAGACTACCTGTATGACCTTGGTCCGGTTATTTTATGTCTCTGAGTCTATTTCCTTATCAATACCTACCTATTAGTGTTGCAAATATTAAATGAGATAAGATATTTTAATGAACACAGAATATCACTCTATACTACCAAATAATAAGTACTGCCTTCTGTTATTCACACAATCGTGTGTGATGGAGCAAAGTTGGTCTCATCAGGTGGCTGTGCAATGTTGTGCAAAGTAGGTTTTATAATTTGTACCTGTAGGATAGTAGTATTTTATTCTTATTATATTCTTCTTGTAGCTTTCTCAGGAGCACAGCTTTTGTATTTGATCAGTTATTTACATTTTTTCTGTATGTGAACATAAAACAGGGTATTCATCCTCTGTGATTCTATATGAACATGACGATGTTGGAATGAACTGTTCTATTAGCTGTCCACATATTATGGTTGTTCTCTGTAATTTGTCAGTTAAAGTTACTTGTGTATTTTCTTCCTCAGAAGCATTTGAAGTACTTGGAGCTTTTAAAGACTGCTTAGCAGCTTTTAGGATTGGGCTGAGAGGGAAGGTACACCTGTTCAATATATTCCACTTTTATGAACTTGTATCACATTTGCTCCTTTCTGACAAGAAAAAGAAAAATTGATGCCCTAGCATATATGAACACAGTAACTGAAATCAGTAGAATGAAAAGACCAGTGAGAACATTTCGTGTTGGCCAGTGGTCTGGTATGTCATCACAGGAAAGATCTGGACTCATTCTTTATAGCACTTGACTCCATGTGGAGTTGGGAGCTACTTTTGGGGCAACTAACCAGCCAGGCAGAACTTGATTCCTGCTGTAAGGGAAGTACAGCCTTACTTTTTTCCAAGTGACATGTTCTGCCTTCTCTGGATAATTTTCAGCCCTCTTCCAGGTTTGAATCTAACTGTCTTAGAACCACAGCCTCAAATAGCTTGTATCCTGCTTTTGTAAACTCCATAATTTCTCTTAAGGATTCTCAACTAATAATTTTCATCTTCCTCAATTGGGTCACATCTAGTAATTGACATACTTTAAAGTTATCAGGGAAAACAACTCACTTCTACTCAGTGATTAAAACTGCCGCATTATATAGTAAAGGGGAATTGTGTAGTGGTATACATCTTCAGACGGGATTTGTATAATTATTGTTTTCCTGTGCAGTTGAATTACTTAAGTTGTGTAGGTAGTGCTGGTAACAGGCAGTAGGTGCAAAATATTGACCTGTAGCTTTCCATCCAGGGTTATAAAGGTCATAGTGGGAATATTCTTTGCCCCTTTCTAAGTTTTTGACTATAAACCCTTGAAATATCTCCTGTTTTCCTTTGCTATAATTTTGTATAACTTCTTCTTTTTTCTTTTTGACAGGGTCTCACTGTGTCACCCAGGCCATAGTGCAGTGGTGTAGTCACAGCTCACTGCAGCCTCAGCCTTTCTGGGCTCGGGTGATCCTCCCACCTCAGCCTTCCCAGTATCTGGGAGTAAATGTGCATGCCACCACACCTGCCTAATTTTTGTATTTTTTGTAGAGATGGGGCTCTACCGTGTTGCCAAGGCTGGTCTTGAACTCCTGGGCTCAAGCTATCTACCCACCTTGGCCTCCCAAAGTGCTAAGATTACAGGCGTGAGCCACCATGCCTGGCTGTATAACTTCTAAAACTGATTTGGTATTCTGTCTAACCATAGTTGCTTTTTAACCATTTTCCCATTTCCCCAGATAATACTCACCAGTGGTGCTTGCGGCTGCAACATTTATCTTGATGTAACTGCCAGAAAATATCTTGCTTTTATTATTTTCCCATTGCTCTAGTATATTGACTTTGGAAACAAAAGACGTCATTCTACTCATAGCATTCTATTTTCAGTAGTGGTATTTCCATTTATAAAATATAGTAATTTTTATAAATGCCACCATGCCCAGCCACTTTTAAATATTTCTGACACATTGTATTCATTTATTTTCTGGGGGTGAATTCTTTTATTAGAACATTCAAATTAATAATTTTGTTTGGTTTGCAAGAAAACTGATGCCATCAAGGAAGATGAAAAGTTACTACACAAATTTCAACAAAGATTTCTATAATTTATAAATGAGGGCTGGGCACGGTGGCTCATGCCTATAATCCAGCATTTTGGGAGACTGAGGCGGGTGGATCACTTGAGGTCAGGAGTTCGAGACCAGCCTGGCCAACATGGTGAAACCCCGTCTCTCTACCAAAAATGCCAAAATTAACTGGGCGTGGTGGCATGCACCTGTAATCCCAGCTGCTCGGGAGGCTGAGGCAGGAGAATCACTTGAACCTGGGAGGCAGAGGTTGCAGTGAGACAGGATGGCGCCATTGCACTCCAGCCTGGGTGACAAGAGCGAGATCTCAAAAAAAATTTATAAATGAGGTTGAAAATTCATTTTTTAATTTAATAATCCCAGTCTCAGATGCCCTTTCATTCTTTGAATTTGCATATCTCTATAATATTTCTCTTTCAAAATTTTCTGGTTGTCTTATATATAATACCTTGTATAAGCTGATCTAGCAGTGGCTAGATAGGATCAGATTCAGGTTTGGATTTTGGCAAGGATGCCTCATAGATCATGTTGTGTGCTTCAATTAGGAGCCACATATTTAGTTCTTTATTTTTATTAATGTTAACAGCCATTGATTAGACCCAGTGTTCGTTAGGAGCTGCAAAATGGTGATATTGCAGTTCCATCATTCTGTAAAGAGAAACATCTACATTAACTACAGGTATTTGGTTATCCTGAGGTACAGTTAACACACTGTATTTGAATAAGAGGGTTTGAGCTCTCCAGAGAACCTATCACTATTTATAAGATTTCTTAGGGGTTTTAGTTTCAGAAGTACAGATACATCAACTTGGTGCTGACGGCAGCTCCATCCAAAGCAGAAGAAACTGTCTTCTTCCCCACTTGGCAGTACTTGCTGTGATGCTAGGAAAGGATTTTGTAATTCAAGTGTTCATTCATCACCTGTTAAGTACTTATATTTAAGATAAATAACATTAAGTATTTTAACACTTCCCCCCAAATAAAGACCCTAATCTTTGTATTTATTAGTAATTAACACTAGGTAAATTAATTTTTGGCCATTATATATTGACAAAAATCTATTATAATGGAAATATTTTTGAAAATCTAAATTTTATCTAGAAATCCATGAAGGATATCCAGTTATTATTAGGGCATTTGGACTAATTGATAAGGAGTTGAGTTGGAAAACTACTCTCCAGATGGAGATTTCAATTCATTTTAACTCACAAGTATGACTTAAATATCTACTCTTAGTTCTTAAGTTGCATAACGTGTAAGCATGGCTCTCAAGTCAAAGATATGTAGCTGAATTTGAAGCAAAGCAAACTGATTGGTCTATGAGAAGTGTAAGTAGAGCACTTGGAAGTATAAAGGAGGGTCAGTTAAATGTAGCAGGCTTAAATTGTGCAGAGCTTGATGGATGTTTAGATAGTCAACAGGAAAGAAAGGGTGGAACAAGTTTGAGGCAGGGGGAGCAACAAAGACAAGAATACAGAGAAATTGCATAATAGTGTGGATTGAATTGACTGTATGATGTCTCTGGAGAAAGACGGGACTTAGATTGTCAGGGAATGTTGGTTGATTACAGGGAATGTGGGATAAAGCCAGGGAGGTAGTCGGGTGAGTGGGGAAGAGATGGTTTGTAGAGAAGGACGTCAAGTAAAGGATCAATGACTACAATACTCTTACTTGGAGTTAGTCCCCAGAAGAGGAGATTTGAATGTAGGAAAATGGTGAGTTTGGAAGTTAGAATACGTAGTTAGAAATTTAAGTGTGTATTTAAGTGTAACTTAAAATCTAGGACATTACCAATGCCTTTGAAGCTACCTGTGTACTGTGCAGAAACATCTGGGCAAACGAAAGTTGTTGCTCTCCCTTATGGTGAAACATTGTCACATTTTTTAAATGTAACCTTCAAAATACTACCCTTAACTGTGTTTTTTCCTCCTAGTAACAAAACCAGAATCTAAGGTGCATTCTGACAGACTCCTCCACGTGGCGCAGATAAACTCTCTAATTTCAAGGGCCTTAGACAGAAAATATAATTGTATTTCCCATGTCTAATTCTTACCCTTTTTTGGTCATGTTTTTGATCTGTTAACATTTTAATTGAGGGAATAGGATCAGTGAGCCAGGAGCAGACACACCTTGACTAAATGAACAGTACAAGTTAAACTGTGGTGAGAGACATTTAAACATTTGTAGAATCTCTACAACAGGATGACTTTTCCAGCACACTCTGTAGAAATTATCTTCTGCCTACACACTATGTTTAACTTCAGCTTCCTCATTCAGTACAAGGGAACTGAGAAATTTGACAAAAAATAATCAGGTGAGAAAAGATCAATTGGTGTTTCCAGTTGCAACCAATAATTTTAACCCTTTCATTTTCTCAACATTTAAATGAGGGAATAGGCTGGGTATTTTTAAACATTTGCTGTCTACAGGAATCTTTGACATTGCTGTTGCAAACTCTTTAAGGAGATAAGCGGAAAACTTAGGTGCTACTGATGGATGTGGGGAAATAGCCCTCAGCCGTTATCTCTCTGTCCTCCTAACCCCCATCTCTGGCCCCTCAGATTTAGAGGGAAAAAATGATTTTGGAGAACAAAGATTTAATGAGCCACTAGGCAAGAGAGTGGCTAAAGGACCTTAATTTCTAATATTTCAAAATTTATGATTCCAGCTGCCTTACAACTAGATGTCTGCCATGTGCAACCATTGCTTGTTGCTGGCCTCACTGCCTTTCTTTGCTGTCCTTTGAGCCACAGGAATGCAAGGCCATAGTGCTGCTTAGTGAACACTGTTCTTCACTGTCAACATTGAAAGGAGTCCTGATTTCAACGGAGTGGCCGAGTCTGCTTTTGTTTGAAAGTAATGTATTTTAAAATTCATTATGAACAATAATGCAATTATTCATAATGAATAATGTTTTATATTTGCATCATTCATTTAGGGCTAGTACATAGAGATACTGAAGCTGTTGGCTTAGCCTGTTCCATAGCTAGTAGATTGATCATAGAGATGAAGCGGTAAAGGCTTTAGCACAGTGCATTGACAGTCCCAGAGGGAATGGACAGGTCATTGCCATGGAATTCTGAAAATAATTTTATCTTCATTTTCATCTTTTTTTCTGACATTGGCTTTAAGGAAGGTTGTCTTATCCTTGTTGGAGATTTCCACATTACAGAAATTTGTTGCATTTGTTGATACAAGCTATGTAAAATGACCCACAGGCAATGTCAATTCCGGAGGTTTACTCTGATTACCCACACAACCCTTATTTTGATAGATTTAACTAGCCTGGAGTTTTATTGACTATCACTCAGAATCTTTCAGATCAGAGAACTCACTCCTTTGCTTAACTACTTAAAAAATATTTTTGCTGAAATTGTAAATTAGATGCCTCCCAATCCATTGCATAAGAAACTTATAGCTTGGTGAAACACCAAGAGTATCATTTGAAAAAGAGGTTAAAAAACACAACTGGGGCTTGTTAAAGAGGAAAAGTGGTATTTTAACTCCAAGTGTCACATTTTCCTATAGTCAGCTCTAGCAGTAAACAAGAGTTATTGGAGGCTTAGATAGTTTGAGACACTTCACTTATCTCCCAGTACTTGACTTCAGAAGCCAAACATTTAAAATGTGTTTTGCTCAGGTAAAAATGTTTATCCATTTAAAATACAATGTCATTTTAACAAAAGCACCCTGGTGACAAGCTGTTTAGATATAGCACAGTTGATAAACTGTCAGATCCTGTACACATACACTTGAAAGGACCAGCGCAGTAACACAAGGATTGGCATTATAAATCACTGTTAACAAACCTTAATTTGCTTAGTAGGCTAATGAATGATCTCCAATTTTTCTTCAGTAATTAGCTTCGCTAACAGCCATGTCAAAGGGACCTTCCTTATACTGTATTTAATCTCTGCTCTGAAATCTTTGGTGTCTAGTTTGCAGGATGAATAAAAACAAACAAAAAACATTTCGGTCTCCATTGGCGACTCCCTGGTAATAAATCCAGATGTAGGGATTGTGGCTGTTTTCAAGTAGAAACATTGCCAAAGGTGATGACTGTCTATTAGGGCTTGTAAACTGTAATATAATCACAGATTTGGAATGGAGTGGTGAAGCCAGATAATTGCAGTGTTTCCTGTCTAAATGTGCTGCTGTGCGTAGTGGCCTCTGATTTTAAGGAGCTGTTAAAAATGCAGCAAGGCATAACAGCTGTGGTTCCTAGAATACTCCTAATATTTCATATGTTCATCACATCTCATAAAATCTTGCCCAGACCAACAAATGACTACTTATCTGTACAGCTGGACTGTCTTAGAAGGAAATTAGAGAAAGTGTGAATCATGTAGGTTAGCATTACAGAGACCCACCAAGAGCTCATCCAAGCCCGTGCTGTGCCATATTTCTCTTACTGCTCCTCAGAGTTCTCCCTTTCCATTTTTAGTCCCCAAAGAGAACATTTGCCTCTTACCATTTGTGAGCAGATCTTATCAATAACTTACTTTTTCCTACCTTTGTGGAAAATAGACTCAACTTTGCCAAGAGAACTTAGGGTTCTGGGGCAGAGAAATTCAGGCGAAGTTAATATCTCAACCCAAAATCAAAAAGAGACAACAAATTTAGTTCTCTTAGAATTTTTTAAAATTAATTTTTAAAATAACTTTGCAATAGAACTAGCTCTGTGATATGAAAACCTGGTTTTTCTGGGAGGAACATTAGTACTAGGACATTCTGGGAAGCAAAGGAAGCTAGTGAACCCAAAATGTTCTTTTAATCAGATATTAAACAGCTAAGCATCATGACCAAATGGAAGCCTTAAACTGCATTTGTACAGAGGCATAATAGAGTCACAAGTTGTTTTCGCCTAATTGTTTCTAAATTGCCCACTTTACTAATTTGATAATTACAGTAGACCTATTATTTTGGTTTTACATAGGTCCAGAGTTACAGAACCTCTAGGTCAGAAGGGACTTCAGAAATCACCTTACCCAATCACCAATCTGAGACATGACTCAAAAAGTTATGTATTATTAGAGTAGGCTGACAATTTGGACTGTGACCTTGCTCATCCTGGATCCTGTCCTTCAGTTGTTATAGTTGAAAGTCACATTAATTTTTCTGCCATGCCACAGTGTTTTCTTGATGTCAGTGACTGTTTTCATATGTGATACTGTTACATCTTTTTTATCAAAAAGTCTAATGGATTCTGTCTTAAGAACGAGCCTTTATTGAAAAATCTCTGTTGAAGTTTGTCATGGTATACTTAGTATACTTGGCTTATTACTTTAACTTATGTAGATTCTGTCATGTCATATATTGTTGTTGCTTTTAGTTCCACACTGGTGAAGATCATCAAGTGCTACAACTGTCTTTGTGGCAGTTAAATTTCAGTGCTACTAGATTTTACTCATTGCTCTTCTTGTAATGCCCCACGATTTGATTTACGCTGGCTGAGTATTACAAGTCCTATGTATTTCTTTCCATTGGTGATTCTTATCTGGAGCTTTAACAGAAATCAGACATTGTTCCTCTGTTTTGGTTATTTATAGATACATCTGGAAAGAGTTTTGAGACAACCTGTGGGCATACTTAACATACTGTACCTTTTTTCTTTGTAGCCATCGTGTACAACTGCTTTAAAAAAATTAGCTGGACATGGAGAAGTGTGGAAACCATTGTTCTGTTACACAATGGCAAAATAATTGACCATTAAAATATACCTGTGATAGACTTAGTTGTGATGTGGATGCATTCATGGTAAGCCTCTCTGAGTTATTCTAATGTATGTGAACAAGCAGTATTATGTAAAAATAGAGGAAAGGATATGCTATAAAAGAAATACAGTTTGATACAGTATTTATGTTTTAACAGATATGCTTGAGTACTTTAAATAGATAAATGAAAAAACTTTCTATTATTTGTAGTAGGTCTATGTTATACACAGTAGTGTCCTGAGAAATTCTTGAGTTGTGACATACATATAAATTTTGAATACAGAAGGGATAAGTTCATTTTAGAAATTACTGCAAATTTTGAATTGGTAGAGCCATCAAATTTGTAAAGCTTGGGTCACATTTACTTCTGTGCATTGAGTGTCATTACATTCTGTTTTCTTTAATTTTCAAACAAAGGGTTGTACCACGCTTCTCTTTGAAGAGGCCTTTTGGTTTCAGCACATCTATGGGTACGTTGTTAACACTGTCATACCTCCAGTTAAGGAATGGTACACGTTTAGAGACTGCTTTTTCAAGTCAAGGTGCCAATTATTTCCTGCCTAAGCACTATTTTAGTGAACTCACTTTAGTCTAAAATCACTTGTTATTTATCTCAGAATGTTATTAAACAAGGATAAAATCAATGCAAAGCCAGCGATTTATGTAAATCTTATAAAAGTTTGATTTTCTTTAGATTTTTGTGACTAACAGCCTCTCAGTCTTCCTTGGACAGGGGAGTGGTTAGAGTTTGGGTTCCCTAATTCTCTCATCTTACAGCCTAAGCTAAGCCTCAATGGTTGATACTGAAGTTTTGTGACCCTCGTTCAATGTTCAGAATCTATTATTTTAGTACTTTTAGTGGGGAAAAAAAATTCTGCTTTACTTCTTTTCCTGCTGTGATGTGTACATTGTGTTATTTTTCTACTGGGTGTGATTTTTGTTATCTTTTTCAGCTTCATTGACCATAATTTTACTTATTTTAATTAACATGGATCTTATTAACAGTTTTCTCTCCTGTACGTTTGTGTTTGTGACATACTCTTCACTACATACTTGAATTAAGTAATTTTATTATTTTTCATCTTTCAGCAGTATGCTTATTCTTGGTTCATTTACTGTTTTGAAGCAATGGAATTACTTACATATTTTTATTTTTCCTTTTCTCTCATCTTCTGTTTTCCAACCTCTACCTCCATTTGGTCCTATAACATGATAAAAGTGCAAACATGAGCCTGAATAATAAAGGATTGCTTCACTGATTGCTAAACATATATTATAGTGCTTTAAAACTCATTTCAGGTCATCGTGGTGGCAATTAGTTTGATTACAAGCATTTAAGCTGTCACATAGAAAGCCTTCCACTTCCTAGGGCTTAGTTTCAAATCATGAAAACTGAATGCTCTATACTTATCTATGTACACAGCTCAATTTTATTATTTTGGAAGAAAGCTATGCCTGTTACAAAGATCACTCATAATTTCAGAACCTGGTTAAAGCCAGTGTGCAATTTTGGAGCAGAGACACAATTTTATTAAAAAATTTAAAATATGCATGTGTACATATATGTAGGTAGGGACTATCAAAAGAGATGTCAAAACCATCTATTTATTCTCATTTTTGGATACAGTACACATTACCAAGTTGTTACAATGTGGTTATTTAAATATCATTTGGGCCAGGCACAGTGGTGCATGCTTATAGTCCCAGCTGCTTGGGAGGCTGAGTTGGGAAGATCATTTGAGCCCAGGAGATCAGTGTTGGAGTGTGCTATAATCATGCCTGTAAACAGCCACTGTACTCCCATCTAGGCAATATCTCTTAAAAAAAAAAAAAGTAAAATCATGACTCTCATACATTATACAATCTACATGTTTAAACATTTTATTTAATAATGACGGAAGTAGGCAGATGTTATAACTTTTTCAAAGGTAAACCAAAAGAAAATCCACAGTTATAGATGAGGAATATTGAAATGAGTGTGTAGATGGAGGCAGAACTGGCTTCAAGGAAGTCAGCTGAGTCTCTACCTCACATGACAGAGTTTACATGATGTTAGAGAATGTTTATTTTGCATTGTTATCACTTACCTACAACTTCCAGACTTGTAAAATAGTTTCCATGGAATCAGAAATTAATTATGCTGGAGAGTGTGCTATAGACGATGCCTAGTGTTTCCTTGAAGCACATGTTTTCCTATTTGATGAAAAATAGTCTTAAAGGAAGGTTTGTTTATTTAAATTTGGCCTGATCATTTACACGGGTGTACCAAGAATGTTAATTTAGCATATAAGCCTTTTAAACTTTGCTTTCTCTGATGTTTTTACAAAATAAATCTCCTATTGCACTTTTAAAAGTATTATTTGCTGTCCTAAGGGTGGAAAGCCAAACCCAAGAATCACGGAAAGGATCACTGAAAGGAGTGATCAAGCATGATCACTGAATGGCACTCTAGAAGTCTTCACTCAGCCCACTGGTCTTTCTGTCACCGGCAGTACCTGTAAATTTGGGTGAATTTCTTTCTTCTTGATGTTCCCAAAATATCCCAAAGTACCCTACCAAGAAGTGATCTCTCTTTCCATCTATGTGGCTGGATTCTGTAAACCAGCTACCAGGCTAGTTTTTCTGGGAGGATTGGTACTTTATAGAGATAAAGTCACCTTTAATTCCCTGTAAGTGTTTAATCATATCTGATTAAATGAGCATTACTCACAAATAGGACATTCCAGACAAGATCTTCAAGATTTTTCATACTCATCTTGGTAAATAGGAAGGCCAATTTTTACTGAACCCATGTAAATAACTGTGTTGCTATGAAAAGTAAGAAGACTTAGAGTTTTTGGATTCTGGGGTGTCAGAATAAGATTCCATTTTAAAACACTTCATTTCAGTTTATAAAATCAGAATTGTTATGAGTTATAAATAGCTTAAGAAAAAAGAGAGCTTCCTTATATTCTCAGATAATAGAACACTGACATAAGACCAACAATACTCAAAACAATCATCCTTCATCATTTCATTGAGTCCTGTTTAATTAATTCTTGCTGTACTGAATCTTGACTTATTAATCTCATCAACTCATCTCATGAATTTCTTGACTGAAAGAAGTTCTGGAAATCTTGACTCAGCCCACTGGTCTGGTCAAAGTTATTTAAGCAATGACATCAGAAACCTGTACCCAAGAGTCTATTCTTTGAAGTCTTAATTATTTTAAGTACCTGGTGCAGTTTTTTTTTTTTATTGTGGGTGCTCTGAGGTTGTCTTTCTTATTTGAAAACCAGAACTCTGTTCTACTGTGTTACTGAATGCATAACTTTCAAGGAAACATAAAAGTAAAACAAAAAACGGTGTAAGTGACAGACTTTACATGGCTGTGGTTAATTTTCACTTACAACTTTTAAAAGTGAAAAATATGATGAGAATTTATAACAAAAATAATGTAACGTATTTGATTATTTCTGTGGCATGTAAAACAAAGCTAGTAAAGAATGTTTTACACAAAACTATTTAAGCAAATGAGCTCATAGAAACTATGAAGATTTTAACATATTTCATTACTTTTCAGACTCAGGTATTACAAAGCAAGGTAAATAAAATTCACTTTCCATGTTCTGTTCTCATTATGTTCTTTCATATTTTGGAACAAAATAATACTTTACTTCAAGACTATTCATAGGGTGTTCCATGAGGTCAGAACTACTTCCATAGTATTTCTAAGATGTTATTACCATGCAGTATGCTCATTATTGCTAGTTTGAAATGAATCAGCAAGTCAGCATTTTAAATTTTTTTAAGTTCCAATTTTTAATGTTGTAAATATCAATAGTTAAAACCCACACACACTCTCATAGACACAAAATAAGCTCATTGAGGTCCTCAATAAGTTTTAGGAGATAACTGTAAGCGGTTTGGAGACCAAAAATCTTCAGAAACATTGCATTAGGACACAGGTGTTCTTTTCCTTGAAAAATGGCAGCATACACATAATTATATTTCTTAGAAACTGTTGCTTCTAGATATGATGTCAACTTCTTGCATTAGTTTTAATTTTTAACCAAATTAACTAACTTCTATTTCACATAAAAAAACTGGGGGATAGTTACGATCTTCCTTTTCCATATCAGCATTTTAGAGGAGATCATGAATAAACATAACCAACTTTCTATAGCCACACACATCTCTTATGCACCTTCATAAATTGACAACAATGAACACATTCATTAACTTGACCCAAAGATAGTCTTCTCTGTAGATTATAAAAATAAAAAGCAAAACGATGAAATTTTAAATTATGATTAGTGCTCAGTGTTTTAGTATTCTATCTTAATTAGAAATGGTGTAACTATCCAATGAATATCTGTTAATTAATTTAATATCAGTCTGAGGTTTCAAATTACTTAAAAATCTTGGAAATTATGCTCAAGCCAACATAGTAAGAAGCATAATTACTATTGAAGAAAAGTTTTTGAGAATATTGATGCAGTTTGGTCAAAGAAAAATAAAGACAAACATAAACATAAAATAGAAATAATGCTAGCTTATTTGGCCAGGAAACCAGTATATTTTTAGGTAAATTATCTAGTGTAGAGTTAAAATGTTTACTCATGTACTTAAAACTGATAAAGAAGACTTACTGTTTTTATTAAGCCAAGATTTATTAAACTAATCTTATTTGGCAAAGTTACACGTAAATTAAGTGAACTTGAGTTCATAAAATGTTTCCGAGGTAATGTATGCAAGAATTTATTGTTTAATTTAGTACATTTAAATGGTTAGAGATTCAATTCTTTTCTGTGAATTTTAGGAATATTTAGTATATGTAAGCACTTACACTGAATAAGGCTATTAGAACAAAACTCCTTTAGTCTTAGAGACTTTATAATCTCATTATTAATACCATCTGAGGTAGGAAAATATTGTGCACACAATGAAAGGTAAAGGTACTTTTGAATTGTAGACCCTCAGATGTGTAGAAAGCATACAGTTCCAATTCTAGAATTTCAGCCATAGGTCAAGAGTAAATACAGAAACACAAAAAGTTTCACTAGTCCAAATTGCAAAGAGCTATTCCTCTTCCCAGTAGACATGCTGTTCTTAATTATTTGAGCTCAAAACAGACACATAGACCATCAGAAAATACTAACAGACTAGAACTTTTTTTTCTCAAGTGTTTTAAGTGATAGAAATCTAAGCTTACTGTGTGGCACATTTCTTAAAGAAGCTTTTCTGTGTTTAACTGTACATTTTGTAGTTAGCATTTTCATTCTCATTGATAAATTCAACAGACAGCAGGCCAGTCAGCCTGTTTTAGGTTCTGTGGATATAGCAGCAGTAAATAAGACAAAGTTTCTCTTTTCATGACACTCATAGTTAATCAAATTAATCCCTAATATGCCAGGTGATAATAGGAATCTAAAGAAAAATATTCATGAAAAGAGTTGGGCTTTCAGTAAAGAATAACAGGGACTGAATTTATTGTTCTATTAGAAACAACCAAAACAAAAGATAAAATACATGACACAATGGTTTGCATGACACTGGACATAAGGCAGTAAGGACAGTGATCCCTGAAAGAAAGTAAACAAATGTAGTCATCTCTTTGAGTGTCCCAGCTTCCTGCCTTGAGAGAATTCCAGGCCTCCATGCAGGGCAGAGGGAATTCAGAAGTACCAAGTGGAACTCAGTAGACTTTCTGCATTAGGAGAAGATACTGAGAGTCCAGGAAGAACAAGGTAGCAAAAATTCAAAGGACAGAGTATTAGGGGGGAGGGGTGATGCACGGAGAAAGGATCCCAGAGATCTTCAGAGGATTGCTTTCCGTTATTCATTAGAGAGTTAATTAGCTCATGCATTTCAACAAACTTCCTGATGCCTGGGAAAGAACCATCCAGAAGGATTAGAGGCAACAGTGCCTTACATTAACCCATAGCCAGGAACAGTGCTGATTCTCACCAGCAGGATTGGAAAAACCACTAGACTCATGGGGCATAGAGTCAAGTACATAGTAGGGTCTTGTCTCAGTATTGAGAAATAATCAGTCATTGACTGAGCAGTGCTACAGTTTGCCGTGACACTTTTTATTTTTTATCTTTTTGAGACAGTTTCATTCTTGTTGCCCAAGCTGGAGTGCAATGGTACTATTGTGGCCCACTGCAACCTCTGCCTCCTGGGTTCAAGCGATTCTCCTGCCTCAGCCTCCTGAGTAGCTGAGAGCTAATTTTTGTCATTTTTTTAGTTGAGATGGGGTTTCACCATGTTGGCCCGGCTGGTCTTGAACTCCTGACCTCAGATGATCTACCCACCTTGGCTTCCCAAAGAGCTGGGATTACAGGTGTGAGCCACCACACCCTGCCCTCCCAGCACGTTTAAAATGTGAGTTCTGATAGGGTCAAACTATTTCAAGTGACTTAACTGAATTCTAAAACCATTTTATGGCATTCAATTACGAATTACCAGACATTCAAGGAACCAGGAGAATAAGACCCATAATGAAGAGGAAATCAGTCAATCAGAACTGAATCAGATGTTAGAATTAACAGAGAATGATATTTTAAAAATTATAGTGGTATTCCGTATGTTCAGACAGTTAAGTAGTATAAGAGCAAAATTGAACTTCTAATGTAAATACTACAAGGTATGAAATAAAAAATATATTATATGGGATTAACAGCAGATTAGACATTGCAGGAGAAAAGATTAGTTAACTTGAATTCATAGCAACAGAAACTAGCCAAAATGAAACATGAAAAGATTAGAGAATTTGCAGATTGAACAGAGCATCCGTGAGCTGTGTGAAAACTTCATACAGTCTAATGCATGTAAATTGGAGTCTCCAGAGAGAGGAGGGTGAGAGGACAAAAGTAATTTCCAAATTTGATGAAAATAGTGCAGAACATCAGAAACATAAAGAAAATTACACCAACACATATTATAATCAGATTTCTCAAAACCAATAAGAAAGGGAAAATCTTATAAATAGCCAGGAAATAGTAAAAAGACATAAATGCAGAGGAACAAAGACTGACAGCAGATTTTTTTTTTTCTGGAAAAAAAAAATGCACTGGAGCAACATCCTTAAAAGTACTAGAAGAAAAAATTGCCAACCTAGAATTGTATACCCAGTGAATATAACTTTCAAAAGACATGGATAAGAGAATGAGATGATAATCCACAGGCTAGGAGAACAGTTTTGCAAAGTTTGTATCTGATAAAGGACTTTTATGCACAATATATAAAGAGATCTTAATATTCAGCATTAAGAAATCAAAAAGCCTAGTTGAAAAACGAGCAAAAGATTTGAACTGATGTGTCACTAAAGGCAATATACAAATGGCAAATAAGCACATGAAAAGATGCTTTACATCTTTAATTATTACATAAAAGCAAATTAAAACCATAATAGGTATATAGTAATATATTATTACACACCTATTAAAATGGCTAAAATGAAAATGACTGACTACAGCAAGTGTTGGTGAGGATATTGAGGAATTGCAACTCTTTTACACACTAGTGGGAATATAAAATGTACAACCATAAACTCTAGTTTCTCTTTAGATCATGTAAATCTTTCCCCTTTTTAAAGATACAACCAATTGAGAGAACAGTTTGATAATTTATTAAAATGTTATATATGTATGTACAATATATTCTAGCCATTCCAATCCTGGGTTTTTACCCAAGAGAAAAGAAAGCACATGTCCATACAAATATTTTACATGAATGTTCATAGTAGCTTTATTTGTAATAGCCCCAAATTGGAAATTGGCCATATGTTCATTATCAACTTAATGAATGAAAATTTGGTATATTCATACAACAGAATACTACTTAGCATTAAAAAGGAACAATGTATTGATACATGCAACAACATGGATTCATCTCAAAATAATTATCCTGAGTAAAAAAAGAAGCCACACAAAAAAGGTACATATTGTATGGTTCCAATTTATATAAAATGCTAGAAAAAGCTGTTTAATCTACAGTGACATAAAGTAGATCAGTGGTTGCTTGGAGAGGCAGGCACAGAATTGGGAGGGAGGCATTACCAAGGGGCAGGAGTAAACTTTTGTAGGTGATGGGTATGTTCATTATCATGACTGTCAGGATGGCTCCACAGATATATTTATAGGTCAAAATTTATCAAATTTTATCCTTTAAATATGTGCAGTTTATTATATTTCATTTATACTTCAGTAAAGCTGTTTTAAAATGATTATAAAAACTATTTCCCTGCTGTTGTTAACACCCTGAGATGTCTGCCTCTTTTCCTATCTTTCTGTGTTTTAAATACACCAGCCTACTGCACTTTAATACCTCTCTAGCTCAGACAGCTACACACAAAACTTACTCTGAAGAATGTCAAAATGCATGTTTTCATCAGAGAAATATCTCATGGTCCTTTGTTAAATGTTCAAAAATTCATGATTGGGCTTTATAAGGCAAATATGTCCTGTTTTATAGAATTACGGGAGAGAAAATGCATACAAAAGAGCCCAATCCTTTTTTTGGCTGGCTTTTATGTCAGAGCTCAAAATTGCTCTCTGATAAAATGTAGGCCACCAGATTGAATTACTTCATTGAACCACTGCTGTCCTCTGTTAATGGTAATTGCACAGATATAGCAGTCTTTCTCGGCAACATCTCAGATATTTACCTCCCACTGTTTTTCAATTCAAACCTTTGATGAAAATATTCCCAGTACTTCTTTAAAGCAGACATCCAACTGTCTTTCTTGACAAAAGCAAGGTCTCTAAATCAGATCCTGACAATTTGTGACACAGCAGTCTATCCAAATCACCTTTTACCTATGTCACTATGTCATTTCCTGAAGAAAAAAGTGTCCATCAGACAAGCAATTTCTGTAGGTTTTGGGGGCTGGAAGGTTGGTATGCCAGCAAAAATGAGAGAGGAAAAGGGAAAAATAATTTTTTCCTTTGACTTGTGTGGAAGGAATTCAGTGAGGGGTTGACCAGATCTAATAAGCAAAAGAGGGGTTTTGTATATTTAAAAGATACATTTTTATAAAGAGAGATCTATAGATATTTGTTATTTTCAAGATGGTAACAATTGAAACTTGAATCTAGTGATTTCTGAAAGCTGCTCCCTTTAAGGAGACAGGGAAACAAGGTTAGTTTTTTTTTAATTCTTAACTTTTTCTGTTAGACTACTTTAATATGACAATATTTAGCAGTTTATTTTCTCGTCAGGGATTCAGCTCAGTTTCTGGTCTACCTCCTGTCCTGAACTGAGCAGACTACATTTCCTCACATGAAGGTTGTAGGTTGTACAAACAATGCCACTGGCATGAACCATGATCAGCGCTCTCCACTTGACTCATGGTGACTTTGGAGGCTGGAGTGCAGCACATGGTAACCAGGAGATCAGCTGGATCAGCCTCAGAGTGAAACTCGCTGCTATTATCTCTTTGGCTATGGTTGGTTGGGTGCTTTTTTTTTCCCTTTTAGTATTGGAAGGATATAATTGATACTTGCTTTCTTGGATCAAATTGTAGCATCATATGTTTGACTGATGGGTTAGTTGTAGGAGCTGTCAGAGCCCCCCTGGGACCTGCTTTACAGGTTTGGTGAATGAGCAGCTGACAGCACAGCAAGCACACTTTCTGCTGCCAGCCTGGTTTTGTTCTTCCCAGGTGGATGTTTCATTATAGGAATGGGCCTCAAAATAACATTTGCCCAGGAATATTTCTAGAGAGTGGTCATCTTTGGTGGCACTGTTATGGTGGTATGTTGCTCATTTAGAGTGGTCTCATTCAAGCAAGACCCATACATCATTTGGGGAGAACAGTGAGGAAAACCGTGGGCTGAGCTCTGGGGAGGGTTCGATCTGGGAATAAGGCATGTCCTAGAATCTCAGTCAGGATTCTACTTTCAAGAGACAGTGCAAGGCTCCTAGGAAGTTGGGGCCAGGAGGTAATTAAAGAGGTAGAAAGAGAAAATCTTTTAAAATCAAGTTTCTGACTGCATGGGCTCTTGAATGTGGTCTTTACTTTGATTGTGGCCTCAACATACAGGTGGTAGCAGAGTCCTTGAAGGGCCCTTGACTTTTTTTTTTTTTTCAGAGATCAGGGAATTTGTAATTTAGAAGGAGAAAACTGGCACTCTTGTGCCAGTAAAGCCTCTGCTGATAGCTGTGTGCCGTTTGTTTTTAATCCTTTCTCGGTATCCGTCTCTGGCCATCCTTATCTTTACTAGAAATCAAAGGCTGTGAAGGGACCACCAGAAAAATAAATAATTCATAGCTTTTCAAAGCCTGAGCCCCAAATACTCAACTTTCAAAGCATGAGCCCCAAATATCCCTTCCCTTGGGCTTGAATTTGCTAAACTGGAGCCTGTGTTTACTCTACTAGGGTAACCAAGTATTCAAGAGCTCAGAGAAAAAAGGACTGGCCACTATACCTCTTTGGAGGTAAGAGAGGAGCCCGTGTGAGTTCATGTGTAGAAGAATCACTTTCACCTGGAATAGAATGTCAATCCCAGAATCTCACTATCTGGCAGGCAGGAAGTGATACCAGTTTCTGGCTTGGAAAGGACATCTGAAGGATCCTGTTGGTTTTGTTTTGTTTTGTTTTGTTTTTTTCTCCTGTTGGTTTTGTCTGCTGACACGTGGGTAGTGCTGACCCAGTGTCTGACCGGATTGTCTCCATCCATAACTTCATCTAGCCCTGTTTACAAAAGAATGAACACAAGTGACAGCCTCAGTGAACCTGCACCATGAGGATGCCCTTACTTCTCCCACACTCTCACTTTCTTCTCTTCTTGGCTCCTCTTCCCCTGTACTTCTCTCTGTTGACATAGAATATGCAAAGTCCAAGAGATGTGGCAATGCCAGTAAGAGCTAAGTTACTTGCAGCTGGCGGTGCCACCTGTGCCTATCAAATTTCAGCCAAAGCAATTGCTTTCCCAGAATGCCCTGTTTTGGGGAATTGGAAAGTGAATCTGTAGGGGCGGCAATGGCTGTATAGAAGAGAGCTTTTCTCTGGGCTCAAATATGAGGACAAAATTGTGAAGTAGGACTGTAGATAATCCCAAATCCCCACTTTTGCATCTTCCTGAGCTCAGAGGCAACCCAAGAGATTTCCGAGTTAATCCTTTGGACTTTAGGTGAACTCTCAGCTAGAACCATCGTTTGCAAGCAGATCTCCTGTGGAGGTGACAGTTCCATAACCTATCCTGGTGGTTGTATAGTTGAGAATGTTTGTGATTCCTTCTCTCTCCACAAGACCTCACCACTTCCAGTTATGTTCATTTTATTTTTGTTTAGTCATTTTTGTGCTTAGGGAACAATTTTTCAGCTTTGTACTCTCACCTCATAAAAGTCCTTTGTATCATTGTGAAAAAGCAAGTCAAGGCCTGGCGTGGTGGCTCATGCCTATAATCCCAGCACTTTGGGAAGCCGAGGCAGGTGGATCACGAGGTCAGGAGTATGAGACCAGCCTGGCCAACATAGTGAAACCCCATCTCTACTAAAAGTAAAAAAAAAAAAAAAAAAAAAAAAAAAAAAAAAAAATTAGCTGGGCGTGGTGGCAGGCACCTGTAGTCCCAGCTACTTGGGAGGCTGAGGCAGGAGAATCGCTTGAACCTGGGAGGCAGAGGTTGCAGTGAGCCAAGATTGTGCCATTTCACTCCAGCCCGGGTGACACAGTGCAAGACTCCGTCTTACCAAAAAAAAAAGCAAGTGAAATTGACATTTTAATTTAGTCTGACTGCATTTTTCTATAATTTTCTAAGAATTTGTCACTTTTTAGTATTTTCTCTTTTCTGATAAACTGTTCCAGCTTTTCATCACTTTTTAATCAGCTTTCATCAGTTTTATCATACTCAACCTCTGGTATTTTTCTTTGTATGCTCTCTTTTTCTCCTTTTTTTGTTTTGTTCATGAGACAGGTCTTGCTCTGTTGCCCAGGCTGGAATGCAGTGGTGTAATCTTGGCTCATTGCAGCCTCAACCACCTGGGCTTAAGCGATCCTCCTATCTCAGCCTCCCAAAGTAGTTGGGACCACAGGCACATGCCACCATGCCTGGCTAATTTTTTATTGTTTTATTATTTATTTATTTGTTTATTTATTTATTTTTTCTTTAAGAGATGGGGGTCTCTCCCTATGTTGCCCAGACTGGTGTTGAACTCCTAGGCTCAAGCAATCCTCCCACCTTGGCCTCCCAAAGTGCTAGGAGGCATGAGCCACCACACCTGGCTCTTTTCTGTTGTTCATTCTCTTCACCCTTGTTTAGATCCTAAAGTGACCCAGGCACTTCAGGATCTGAAGATAGCTGGATGATGATGAGTCTTCTTAAAAGGTAGCATTTTATAGCAAACATGATGTAGAGCCACTGAAGGGTTTTATAGTTGCTGTCCTCAGGGGCTGGATTTTTAAACTGGAATATCCATGGGGACTTTGAAAATTCCACCTGCTGGGGCTCTACCTCATTTGAGAACCACTACCTTAATAAGTTCATGGCCTTACAATGGGAGTGGGAGGAGAGGTGACTTTGGAGCAGACAATTACAATGTGAGTGACAGTTATCTCTTTCATGAGTACTGCTGTACAAACTGGGAATGCCTGATCTGGTTCTTGGAGAGGGAGTGGAGGTTAACCTGATTTATGTAAAGTTGTAGTGGTCATGGCGGGGGAGGAGGTTGCATTCCATGAAGCACCATTTGGAAAGACCCAAAGTGTGGGGCCTGGTTATTTGGAGGACCTGGAGATGTTGTTGGAATGCTTAGAAATTACAGGAATGAGGATAGGAAGGAGCCAGATCCCAAGTGGTCTTGACAAGTCTTGTTAAAGAGTTTTCATTTCATAGTGCAAGTGATGTAGAGCCACTGAAGGGTTTCATGTTGTAGAATTTATTAGATGTGTGTGAGAGATAGCTCACTCAGTTAGTTTTGTGGAAGATGGCTGTGTAAGCATGAGATTGGAGGCAAGAACTTCAGGAAAAATTATGATGATGACTGGGAGAGAAGGTGGACAATTCTAGAGATGTTTAGAACACAAAATTGACAGGACAAAGTCAACGAGTCAATGTGGCAGTGATTTATAGAGAGGCCTCAAGGATAACCAAGTATCTGCTTTATTCAACCAAGTGAGTGCTGGTACAATTCACTAAGAGAGGCAGTATAGGGGAGTGAATAAGAGCACATATTTGAATCCTAGACCTGCCACTCGCCTATGAGTTACATTTTGGGTGTATTCATTTTTAAGACGTCCATGGGATGAGCAAAGAAAGAGATCCTGTGGGAGTTTGAGTCTGGAGCTCAGAGAAGCAGCCTGGACCTCTGGTGCACGTGATCCATGCAGTCCATGGATCAGAACTCTTTCAGGAAAAAAAAAATGCGGTTATTAGGACAAGTGTTGAGTATGTGTGATTTTTATTTCTTTGTGATTTAGCTGGAGGACTATAGAGCTGACCAGAATAAAGGCAATAAATATATAAATAATCATCTACCTATGATATACTCAAGGCAATAAATATATAAATAATCATCTACATATGATATGAGTATATCATTATCTGCTGTCATTATTATTAGTGAAGGCATGTTACATATTTGTTTGGACCACAGCATACTTTCAGGAAACTCTTGATAAACAGCTTTCTTTTTTATTTATTGCCCTGCTTTCTTTTGATTGCTTTTGCCGTAGCATCAACCTGCATCTTATTTTAATCATCTCCTCTCTGAACATTGATGATTCCGCAGCTTTGTTAGAATACATCTTGGGAGATTCCATTTTTTAAAGGCTCTTTCAAGGGCATATGGCATTAGATGATTATGATATGGCGCATTTAGAATATGCCATGATTTCTCTCCTGCTGAATCCCTCACACGTGTTTGAAGTAATTATTATCCTCTCTGCTAGCTCATGAGACTTGTTAGATCACTATTTGTGGGTGTCATAAAATGTTGGCAAGACCCCAGTGTGAAACGCAGTGTGAAATACATGTGGTTAAACTTCTCTGATTTTGTATGTCAATCAAAACAAAATGGCTTAAAACAGTAGATGAATTTCAAAAGAAACTTCAGGATTCTAGAGCAAAAATGACACATGGAACTCTTTAGGTCTGTGTTTTGATATTTAATTCAGGGAGTCATACACAGGAGGACGTATGCAATATAGTAGAATTTAGATGTGTTATGATTATATCTGATAATGTTACAAATACTGAGCAGCTTTTTGTTACATCATATTTGGTCCCAAAATGTCATGCCATGCAATGCTGGGGGTGTTTAAATACCAAATTTATGCATATTTTCAAGGAAGAAGCAGATAATCTTCTAACTATACAGACTGTGTTACTTATCAGAAATAATAGTTTATGAATTGTCAAACAGTGAAAATTTTAAACCATGTATCCCTGATAATACTTTTATGTCTTCATTAAGCATCACTAATACTGAATATGAGTATCTATCTGATGAGGACCTTAGAATCTTATTATAGTTAGATATAACAAGATTTTATTTATTGTTTTTATCATGGTGAAGGGTATATAATGTCAGCATGATCTCTCCTTTAGTTTTACCTCTTCTGGTGTTTTGCAGTCTTAAATGGGTGTCTTTAGGAATATCCCTTATTTCTAGTTTTAGAGCTCTTACTTCTAGTTTTAGAGCTTCTACCTAATAAAGGTATAATTAGATTGGTCTTTTCTGCATTTATTAATCAAAGACTATTCTTTTACATGTGACTTTTTAGCAACATCCATAATTTAAGTGATATTTGCCCAAATATTATCTGTACTCCCACCTTTACAAGAGGATTTAATAACTTAATAGAGTATGTTATAGTAATGAGTTGGATGACCAAATATATTTCAACTAATAGAAAGACCATGATGTAGCTGCTGAAATACCTGAGAAAGGTAGCTTACCATATAAAGAAAGACAGCTAGGATTTTGATCACCTTCTTGCTTTAGTGAATGATGCTAGATCTTCCTCCAACGTAAATCTTTCTGCTCACTTTAATTCTAGATGTGTGAATTCTTGACTTGAGGACTTTGATGTCAGATTTCACCTACTTGAAGGCCCATTGGAAGAATAACTTCTAACTCATTAAACAATTCCCCATTTAGCCAAAGTTAGTCTCATAGATGTCTGTGATGGCTTGTTAGGTGGCACAGTGACTAAATTTGATGCTCAGAAAAGATGGTCTTAACAAAGAGTTCTTTCTTTTCACACAAGTGTAAGCTTTCTGACAGTTATCACCCAAAATGCATCTTGTTATTGTTGTCTTTTCTACTCATGGCTGTGAGTGTCAGACACTGTGCTTCCATTCACTAACATGAAGACATTTGTGAAAGGGCCTTCATCAATATCTGACACTGGTGAATTGAAGAATAATATACTAGCTACATAAAACTGTGTTTATTCTTCCTAAACCAATCATTGCTTTTTGCAGCATTTCCAATGAAATTGTGATTTTTTAGCAGATTCTTCTTTGATGGAGCTGTGATTTGCAATAATCTTGTCATGCCAGGCTCAAAATACTACTAAATGAAGACATTTGTGGAAGGGAATGATTGTAAATTGCATGCAAATTTCAACTCGGCTGGAATTAATCAATATGGAAACAGAACTTGTGCGTTCCTGATATAATGATGCTGAAACTAATCCCATGGAGTTCTATTTCCGTGGGAATTAGGCAGTTATTTTGCTTTAAATCTATCTCTCTCTCTCCTTTTTTTACCCTTGAAGACAAAGTCCTGTTTTTGAGTTTTTTAAAAGTAACTTCTTTGGGGATTTAGAGAGGTTATAAAGGAAACAGGAGTAAAATCAAGCATCTGACTTCCCCTGTGGGGACATCTGACATTTCCTATTTAATTTGCTGTGCTTGTTTAATGAATCTTTCCCCCAATTTTTCTTGCTAGTTTTTTTTTTTCACTGAAAATTCTAAGGCTTATGAGATAGTAGGTGATGCAATCTTTATTCTATGTTAAATATGCGACACTGGTCTCTAAATGGGATGTTCTTTCTTTTACACCAGTTTCTTAGGGTGATCCCAGCTTATCCTTGATGAAAGCTTTTTGTTTTTGTTTTTTAAGTCGCTTTTGGAGGAACAGGTCACCAACCTTGACTTTTTAATGCCTGCTTACATTCAAATTTCTCATTTTCTTTGATTGGCAAGATTAGGTTTATGGCCTTTTATTCTTACACTTGGCAACTAGATCGGTTAACCTTAGATTATTTGTTCCCCACCTTTTCTTCAGCTGTTTAGGTCACAAATTTGTAGAAAGGTCTTATCATTGGCATATTTTGTACCACCAGTGCATCAGTGCTATACTCATATATCCTTAGAGGCTGACAACTTACTTCCCAGCCCCTTTGGAGTACTTTAAGAATCCCTTTATTTATAGCCCAGCTTAAGCCCCAGTGGGTAACACTCCATAAACCTGCAGTGACATCCAGTGGCCTCGTGGTGTAATTTTTTACAAACTTTTCTAAAAGGAATTACAGGGGCAGTATTTCCTGTCAAAGAAAAATACTGTTGGAGTTATTGAAGGGGGTTTCCTAAATACATTTATGTACAATAGTTACTGGCATACTCCTTGATAGGATTACTAGGAGAATGATTATTCATTTTTTGGTTTTTGAGTGAAGGATTAACGGCCTCTGATGAAATCAGCTTTATTCCAAGATCAGATAAAAAATATAAAATTGAGGACAATATTTTTAAGAGGACAATTTTTAATTAAAAAAAATCAACAGTGTAGAATTTCCTATTCTGGATAGATTTAAGAAATAAAGGAGAGGCCGGGCGCGGTGGCTCACGCCTGTAATCCCAGCACTTTGGGAGGCCGAGGCGGGCGGATCACGAGGTCAGGAGATCGAGACCATCCCGGCTAAAACGGTGAAACCCCGTCTCTACTAAAAATACAAAAAATTAGCCGGGCGTAGTGGCGGGCGCCTGTAGTCCCAGCTACTTGGGAGGCTG
Organism: Homo sapiens; assembly: GCF_000001405.40. Classification (NCBI taxonomy): domain Eukaryota; kingdom Metazoa; phylum Chordata; class Mammalia; order Primates; family Hominidae; genus Homo; species Homo sapiens. The sequence goes on from NC_000007.14 coordinate 70,162,348, forward strand.
AGGCAGGAGAATGGCATGAACCCGGGAGGCGGAGCTTGCAGTGAGCCGAGATCCCGCCACTGCACTCCAGCCTGGGCGACAGAGCGAGACTCCGTCTCAAAAAAAAAAAAAAAAAAAAAAAAAAAAAAAAAAAGAAGTAAAGGAGAACCTTTAGTTTGTGCAACTGATCATGAAGTTTAAAATTCTATGTTGTTCCCCTTCTTGGTTCTTGTGCAGTCAATGTCTTTGAGAGTCTTCTTCCACTGTGTTAACTCTTTAATTTTCTCAAACCACCTAAGACTGCTACTATAAATCAGAGCCAAGAGATTCCCAATCTGATTACTGTCTTTAATTGTATTATTAAACGAAAACATATTTTTATAAAAATGATGCCCCATTATTATAAAATATTTACGTGGTAGAAAAATGTACGAAGAAAATGTGAGCACATCAGTGCAAATCTTACCCTTTTCACAGAAATAACCAGCGTTAACATTTGGTAAACCTCTTTGAAAATGCTCTCTATATGCTCTTTTATATTCTTTCCATGCATATATATTGATAGAACGATAAATAAATTGGAAGCTAAGAAATAATTTCATGATACTGAATTGAACGACTTATAACGGCTGTGTTTATTTGGTTTGTAATTACCGCAAAATGTTATACTAGGTGGGGAGAGGACCAGGAAGAGGTTTGCTTTTTTTAAAAGAGATGACTTTGCCTTTCTTGTGACAGGGAGGGCTGGCTAGGCAGGATCAGGTTTGGGAGAGGGTCAATAGAGAGGAGTGGTGTGCAGCCACCTCATGGCTGCCAGCTATGAGGTTTGGTTTAGATAAGTTAACTGAGGCTGGAATGGGACAGCATAGTTCATATGTTTAAACACCCAGGACGAGATGTTCCCAGAGCTCAGAGAGTTCATACGAGTAAGTCTAGCATGTAGAAACTAAGCCAGTAGAATGTTCCAAACTGATGCTAGGCACATTCATACCAAAGATGAGTGTTAGGTTGTGGTGGTGGGGGGGGGGGGGGCAGAGGGGGAGGGAGAAGGAGAGGGAGAGATCTTTAGATATCTTTAGCAATTGATACTGAACCAGAAATTTGAAATTTAGATTTCGCTCTGTCATGCCCATTCCCCAGACACTTCTCAGATACAATGCAAAAGCCATATGCTACTGGGAGAGAGGCAAGAAACCTGTTTGCCATTCTAGTCCTAACAAAGATTAGCTGCTGTGGGGGAAGGACTATGAATCTCCCCCTGCTTTGCAAAGAAATGGGGCAAACGTCGTTTGCAGTTGAGAGAGATCATTTTGCCCATGATTCTGCACTAATGCACTGATCCTCTACCTCTGGTAGAGGAACAGGAAACTTTCTCATGCCCAAGATATTCCACCAATACAAGGCAAAACTTGGCTTCCCCGTGGGAGGGATGTGGGGAAGAAAACTGATTGTATTTCATACCCTGAACTGAGTAGGAAGCAGAGATTACATGTCATTGGGGTGGAGGAAGAAATGCTAAGAAAGTCATGTACTTGAGTCCCAGATGTGCAGGGCTAGGCTAAGACTGTGCTTGGAGCAGGAGAACTGAGAAATTCTCCTTCCCCCCTCCAAGAGCCTTCAACCATAACAAAGAAACAGTAACAGGCTTGCAGTCTACTGCTAGAGGAGTGGCAAGAGCATGGGAAGAAACGCAGACACCCTGCAATGCTTATGTGCAGGTCCTACTTAGGTCCTACTGTAAGTTTAGGGTGGATCCTGAACACTGAGAAAACCTTTTTGACAGCAAAAAATAAAATAAACTTTCATTTCTATATAGATTTAGATTACAAAGTTATGCAGGTAGAATTCTCGTATAAAATCAATCTAGTTTTCCCTGTTGTTACATCTTACACTTGTAAGATGTAGTTGTTATAAGTAGATGTAATTGTTATAAGATGTAATTGTTATAAGTAGTAAACCAATATTGCTACATTATTATTAAATGAAGTACATACTTTATTCAAATTTTCTTAGTTTATACTTTACTGATCTTTTTCTGTTGTAGTATCCTATCTAAAGTAGGATACTATGTTGTATGTTTAGTCATTATATCTCCTCAGGTGCCTGTAAGACTGTGACAGTTTCTCAGATAGTTTTTCTTTTTGATGATAGTTTTAAGGAGTACTGGTCAGGTATTTTAGAGAATGTTCTTCGATTGGTTGGATTAAAAAATTTTTTTGATGTTTTTCTCATGATTAGACCCTCAGTTGGCCTCTGTTTTGAATCTTCTAGACTCACAAAAGACTATGTCACAGCAGTCTATCAGAGGAGGAATTTTTATCCTGTGGTGCATCAACACTAGTTATAGCAACAGTAAAATACAGACACAATTCAACTACTGAGTAGATTTATTCAGTCCCCCCATGCTAACAGCTTGAAAGAAGTAGTTACCCATTTCCAGGTAGAAATATTATTTACCTGAGTTTCTTTTATACATAAAGTTTGGGTTCAATTAAAAAAATTATGACATAGACACACTCACGTAAGATAAAAAAAAAAGGTGACTGTTCAAGATGTAAAATAGTCAACAAAATCTGACATGCAAACTTCAGACAGGGACCTTGAAATAACTATGATTACTGTATTAAAAGGTTTAATGGAAAAGGTGGACAATATACATAAATCGTGATGTGGAATTTTAGTAGAGTGATGGAATCTGTAAGAGTCAGAAAAAAATGCTAGAAATGAAAAACACAATATCATATATGAAAAAATTTTCTGTGGGTTTATCAACAGACTTGATACGATAGAGGAAAGAATAAGTGACCTTGAGGATAGGCTAATAAAGCCTTTCAACTGAAATAGAGCAAAAAGAGTGGAAATAAAAAATGGAGCATTGCCATAGAAAATTTCCTGACCGCCTAACATACTTCAAGAGAGAGAAAATAGGCTAGAAGAAACGCTAGAAGAGATAATGGCTGAGAATTTTCCAAAATGAAAGATAGCCAACCACAGACTCAGAATAAATATGAAGAAAAGCATACCTACGTACACTGAAGTCAGACTGCTGAAAATCAAAGATAAAGAAGTCTTGAAGACAGAGAAAAAAATAAATATTCATGCAGAGGTATAATAGATAAAAGCTCAGTACATTTTATGTCAGAAATTATGTTAGTGAAAAGAGTTGGAGTGACATCTTTAAAAAACTGAAAGAACAAATACCCTCAACCTAGAATTCTGTATCCAGGAAAAATATATTGCAAAACGGAAAGTAAATTAAGTCTTCGTCAGATGAAGCAAGAGAAGTTTTGCTAGCAGAACAGGTCTATCTGAAGAGCTTACAGGAAGCTCTTCAGACAGTAGGAAAACTCTTCAGATAGCAGGAGTACGCTGCTCTATAGAAAGAACATTTTGTTCTACACAAAGGAATGATGGACACCAGAAATATAAAAATATGAATAAACAGACAAGACATTTTTTCTTCTAATCTTTTGAAATGAGATTAGAGTATGGGTTGACAATGAGCCTGGTATGGTTTGACTCTGTGTCTCCACCCAAATCTCATTTCAAATTGTAATCCCCACGTGTTGGAGGAAGGGCCTGGTGGGAGGTGATTGGATCATGGGGGCAGTTCCCCACTGCTGTTCTCATGATAGCGAGTGAGTTCTCATGAGATCTGGTGGTTTAAAAGTGTGTGACAATTCCTGCTTGCTTGCTCTCTCCTGCTCCCCTATGGTAAGACGTGCTTGTTTCCCCTTCACCTTCTGCCATGATTATAAGTTTCCTGAGGCCTCTCAGTCATAATTTCTGTTAAGGCTGTGGAACCATGAGTCGATTAAACCTCTTTTCTTTGTAAATTACCCAGTCTCAGGTAGTTTTTTATAGCAGTGTGAGAATGGACCAATATGAGTCAAATCTAACATCAGGCTTGTTTTGTGCAGCCCATGAGCAAATAATTTATTTTAAGGGTTGTAAAAAATTTTTTTAAATATAGAATAATTAATGCATATGCAACAAAGAGCATATATGGCTTGCAAAGTCTAAATTATTTACTATCTGGTGCTGGTTTAAAGCAAAAATAATAATTCTATATTATGGGGTTTATAACATGTTAAAATAAAATTTTGGCAATAATACCTTAAAGGATGGGAGGGAGGAAATGGAAATATACTGTTGTAAGGTTTAAATGGAAATATACTGTTGTAAGGTTTCTGTACAATACATGAAATAGTATAATAACATTTCAAAGTAGACTATGATAAGTTAAGAACGTATATTGTGAATTTTAGAGCAGCCATTGGGGAAAAAGATAAAGTACAAGATATAATTAACAAGCCAATAAAATGAAATCATAAAAATGCTCAGCTAATACAAAAGAAGGCAAAAAAATTAAGAAAAAAAGGGAACAAAAGAACAGATGACTTTTTTTAAAGTATAATAGTACATAGATACCATATCATCCTTAGCAATAATTACACTAAATATAATTGGTCAGTTAAAAAGCAGAGATTATAAAATTGGATAGAAAGTAAAACCCAATTTTGTGCTGCCTGCAAAAAACCCATTTTAAATACAGAGCCATGACTATTTTAAAGCAAAGAGGATGGAAAACAGTATGTCATGCAAACCCTAATCAAAAGAAAACTGGAGTGGTCTGGGCTTATGCTTATAATCTGAGCACTTTAGAAGTCGGCTGGATCACTTGAGTTCAGGTGTTTGAGACCAGCCTGGCCAACATGGTGAAACCCTGTCTCTGCTGAAAGTATAAAAATTAGCCAGGTGTGGTGGCTCATGCCTGTAATCCCAGCTACTCTGGAGGCTGAGGCAGGGGAATCACTTGAACCTGGGAGGTAGAGGTTGCAGTGAGCCATGATTGCACCACTGCACTCCAGCCTGGATGACAGAGGGAGACTCTCAACAAAAACAAACAAACAAAACAAAACAAAAACAGAAGTGGTTTTGTTAATATCAATACAGTAGACTTCACAATATTACCAAGTATAAAGCATGGTATCACACACAATATAGTGATAAAGGGATCAGTCCATCAAGAAAACAAGAATTCATCAAGAAAAAGGCCTATGTACACAATAACAGAGCTTCAGAATACATAAAGCAAAAACTAATAGAATTATAGGAAGAATAGACAAATCTACTAATAAAGTTTGAGATTTCATTGCTCATCCCTCACATTGATAGAACAAGTTAACACAGATTAGGAAGGACACCAAAAACTTGAGCAACACTACCGGTCACCTTGACTCAATCAACATTTATAGAATGTGCCCTTCAACAGCAAAATACAGTTTTTTGTCCAAATGCACATGCCATACTCATTGTAGACATATTTTGAGCTATTAAGTAAATTTCAATAAGTGTAAAAGCATTGAAATGATGCAAATTATGTTCACTGACCACAACAGACTTAAACTAGAACTCAGTAACAGAAGGATACCCGGAATGTCCTCAAATTTTTGGAAATTCGATAACATACTTTTAAATAACCCATATCAAAGAGTAAGTCTCAAATCTAATTTGATTTTTACAGTTTACATGCCTCTTTTTTCTAGGCATTTAAAAAATATACAGAAGTACAGTCTAGACTGCACATGTGTATATAATTGATGACAGTGACATTCTCTCGGAATTTATATTAATGTAGTGCACAATATATTTGAAGTACATTTGGCATAAGGACGTACTAAGTCACAAGACTTGTTTGGGGAATGTGATTTCTTTGGATAAAATTAAATTCCTTGAACTTGACAACTAATCAGGCTGAAAAAATACACTTGAAGCTTTCTGATACATTATTAAGGAAGTTACAGAATATCCATGAATTTAGTTAGCTTTACACTCCAGTGGTACTCCTGAGTATTTTGTAATTGAACTCGTTGATCTTCAGATGTGAATTGGTTCTTCAGATCTGTGACCATCAGTCTGTCTACAAACATTTATGCAGGCTCTCTGAGCAAGATGCCTTTCCTCACGGTGGTTTCTAAACTCTCCCAATATTTTCAGCTGCCTGGGTAGGAAGCATTAGGGCAGACGCCCAGGCTGGAATGCAGTGGCGTGATCTTGGCTCACTGCAATCTCTGCCTCCCAGGTTCAAGAGATTCTCCTGCCTCAGCCTCCCGAGTAGCTGGGACTACAGGCGCTGCCACCACACCTGGCTAATTTTTGTATTTTTAGTAGAGACAGGGTTTCACCATGTTGACTGGGTTGGTCTTGTACTCCTGAACCTGAGGTGACCTGCCCGCCTTGGCTTCCCTAAGTGCTGGAATTACAGGTGTGAGCCAGTGCACCTGGCCTGCTCTGCTTTTAAAGAAGCAGAATTTGTCTAGATGTTTTTGAAGAACATTATGTAATAAAATAGCAGTAAGAGTATGAATTCTCGATATGTATTGAAAATTAGAGTCTTTAAAAGTCTTGGTGTTTAGAAATTAATATTAGTTTTAATATGACTCTTTAATAATGAAGAATATAAAGTTCTCTGTGTGCTGGTGAGAGGACTTTTTATTTTTACTCCTGGAAATACATGATTTGTACCAGTCACTTGTGTGGCCATAATATTTTTGCCCTAAATATTAGGTCATCATTTCCTCTTTATTGTTAGGTAACCCAGAATGCTAGGTATTCTCTAACAGAAGAAAAAAAAATTGGTTTGCAGTCCTGGTAAGCTGTTGGAGATTTTAATAATCCCAATAAAATATTTCCATTTTTCAAATGTGTTTAGATGTCCTTGGCAGATTTAGATTAGTTACATGAGATGGATAGAAAACAGGCTCAGGGCTTAGGGTTTATTTTGATGATTTTTAAAATTTGTTGAAATAAGAGTTGTTTTATTTAAGGAAAAAATAATATTTCTGGATTAAGTATTTCAAATGCGTTATTTTTGGAGAGATGCTACAGAGCTTATGTCAAATGATTATTAATATATATATATTTTTTTTGAGACGGCATCTCACTGTGTCACCCAGGCTGAAGTGCAGTGTCGCGATCTTGGCTCACTGCAAGCTCTGCTTCCTGAGTTCACGCCATTCTCTTGCCTCAGCCTCCCGAGTAGCTGCGGCTACAGACACGTGTCACCACACCTAGCTAATTTTTTTGTATTTTTAGTAGAGACGGGGTTTCACTGTGTTAGCCAGGACGCTTTTGATCTCCCGACCTCATGATCTGCCTGCGTCTACCTCCCAAAGTGCTGGGATTACAGGCATGAGCCACCGCATACGGCCTATTAATTCTTAAAAACAATTGTGACCATGATATTAGCACCTAAAGCACTATTCCTTTTCTTAGCCTTGGGAAGACTTCATGGTCATGAATACTATTAATTTGATTTTTTAAAATTATGAGTGCCATATGGCTGTAGAATGCAGAGGTTTCATGAAATATATTCAGTGAGAACCAGAAGTGATTTACTAATGCCTCAAACTCATTTAAATATCTACCAATTCAACATATAAAATTGTCTTCACGAGAAACATTACGGGGTATGATTTTGTATTTGATCATAATGCTTGCTAATTATTTCCTGTTAGTATTACTGGTAAAATGGGGGTTGGCAAATTCTAGATAGTGATGCCACATATGTGTGGTGTGGGTTCCTTACAAAACTTTATTTGCTGCTTAATTTTGTAACATTGCATCATTCCCTAAATAGCCTCAAGATCCAAATACAATTGCAGTAATACTTGCTGAAAATTGGAAACTATTAAAAACATTCATTTGCTGGGAATCAGGAGAGGGGAGGGAATTTCAAATAATAGAGGTTTTTTTTTATTAAAAAAAAAAACTCACAAAATCTTTGATCCACTGTCTCTCAAAAGGCAATTTGATAGCTAAATGCAAGTATTTTTTTTTTTTTTTTTTGAGACAGGGTCTTACTTCTTCGCCCAGGCTGGAGTGCAGTGGCATGATCTCAGCTCACTGCAATCTCTACCTCCTGGGCTCAAGCGATCCTCCCACCTCAGCCTCCCAAGTAGCTGGGTCTACAGGCATATACCACCGCTAATTTTTGTATTTTTGTAGTGTTGGGGCTTCACCGTGTTGTCAAGGCTGGTCTTGAACTCCTGAGCTCAAGCAATCCGCCTGCCTTGGCCTTCCTGGTGGGATTACAGGGATTACAGCCACTGCGCCTAGCCTAAATATATTAATAAGTTTTAAAGTTTTATATTATTTCCATTTCTATTTTGGTAGTAAAGGTAAATGAACAAGCATTATAGATCACAGACATTTAGGTTAAAAGGTCCAAGCTCTTTGAGATGGGATATACTAGGGACACGTTATCTTTTTTTTTTTTTTTTTTGAGATGAAGTCTTGCTCTTGTCCCCCAGGCTGGAGTGCGGTGGTGCGATCTCAGCTCACTGCAACCTCACTGCAACCTCCACCTCCCGGGTTCAAGCGATTCTCCTACCTCACCTTGCCGAGTAGCTGAGATTACAGGTGCCTGCCACCACGCGTGGCTAATTTTTGTATTTTTAGTAGAGACAGGGTTTCACCATTTTGGCCAGGCTGGTCTTGAACTCCTGACCTCGTGATCCACCTTCCTCGGCCTCCTAGAGTGCTGGGATTACAGGTGTGAGCCACCGCCCCCGGCCGGGGCACATTGCCTTTATAACTCTATTTAATTCCCTTGCTTGCACGTTGAATAGATCTAAATGACTGGGGGAAAAGTAAAAACATAGTCTTTAGTCCCTTTCATTGTGGTAAATTCACTGAATGATAGACGGAAATTTCAGCCTTCTTGGGTCTACTGCCAGGTTCTGTAGTTATTTGTATGTCTCATGGAGAAATCCTCATTGATTACACTGTATGGCTAAACTGACTTAAAACAGATAACTGAGCCTATTTCAAAATTGAAAATTCTTTAAAATGGAAAGTTAGTACTCTATTGTTCCCAAACTGTTGGATTGCATGCCATTTTCCCAAACTCACAGACGTTGATAAGATTTCAGGCAAGGGGAACAAGGAAGGGGTCACAGTGGAAGCGAATTCTTCCCCTTTTTCTGACTGTGTTTGCCCACCTGTCCTTTACCCTTCGCAGTTCTATTCTGAGAGGTATGTGAGGAAGATGGGAGCCACTGCTGCTAGATTGTTGCCATTAACCAGCTTTCATGGCTTTTGTGGGAGCCTCCTTTTCATTAGTATTTGCAACATGTTCACCAGCAAAATGATTATGTTAGGCAGAGACATCACATCACTTACATTTCATAGCTCAGTGCAATTTTCATAAACTGCGAGGCAACATCCAAAAAAAACATGACTCAGAATTAGAGTTTCAGAAGATTATTATATAGACATTATTTCCCTCAGGTCACGGGCTTTAGTCAAATTTGGAGGAGAATGAAATTGCCAACAGTGAAAAGCAGACAGAAAGGTATGAGTTCATGAGCAGAGAAATAACATTTTCATTTGTTCCTTCCCCATGGGAAAGATTCAGCATTCCGGTAAATGGAGACGGTTATAAGAAATGAATTTTTGTCAGCAGGGATGTGATTTTAAGGCTCACTTATCCATTGGCAATCTAGATTTCTAACCCCAGGAATCTGGGAAATTGCTACAGAATGTAGTCTTTATTATAAACAAGTTTTTTTTTTTGGGGGGGGGTAGTTTTTCCCTCCTTCTTTTCTTGGTCAGAGCTTTTTAAGACGAAGGACTACATTTCTTTCTGCATTTCTGGGGTCAGATGATTGCAGATTTCCCATCTGCCCTGAGTTTCTCTCCATTGCTGTTGCTTTGTGATGGAAACCCTTTCTTTCCTCCTCACCAAGCTTCCCTCACTCTGTCGTTGCTTTTCCTAACCCCCCTGTGTTTATCCAGCACGACACTGACAATATTGAAAGCTGCAAACTTCCTATATGGCCATGGAGTGGTGGATCTATGGCCTGATCTCTCTGTTCCCCAGCATTTACAGGATGTCTTGTGCTGCTGCTGATTCTATATCCTCAGTTCTTTTGTGTCTGTGGACCTGAAAGAGCAAGGCAGGAAATACAGCTTTCCAGGTAGCTCTCATTTTACCAGGTATAAAGAGCGAGGATTTGCAAGGTTTCTGTAAGGTAATCCCAGACAACCTTCTTCGTAATTAAAGAACGTTCTTTCATGGGAAATTTTATTTTCCTTCTTCGATTTCATCAGATGCTTCTCAGCCCATCACTCATTCAGATTCTATGCAATGGTTCTTTTTCTAGCTAGAGTACATCCTTGAGAGTAGAAAATATTTCATATAATCTAAACCCTTCATTTCTAGAGATGCAGATAGATTCTGTAACATTAATCTCACCTTTATATTTTTTCAATTTTTAATAACTTGAAAATATGTATATCTAATGCCTTCTTTCCCTATGCACTTTTGCTTATTTTAATATTTCTCAACACCATAAGCTATTTGCCCAGCTGCATCCTTATTAGACAGTGCTATTGCCTGCCAAAGCTTTTTGAGAGCAAATTGCATTGCCTTCATTATTATTATGTCTACAATATAATGATTATGAAACATCATTATTATAGTTGATTAATAAATGATAATTGATGACTCTCAGTTCATAGGATTTGGCCCATGAAATTCATCACAATTTGTAAACTTTTCTCCAAACCTTCAAGGATTCTAAAAGGATTGATTTTGCTGCAAAGTATATGCGATTACATTTTTTGATACCTAGTAAGTAGTAGTGGTTGAGGATTCACTGGCCTGGCCAGAGTGAGGGTGTATACTAAATGTCTGTGGGGTTTCAATTTCTTCCTATTGAATTCTTTTAAAATGTAGAGTCTCTTACCACTGGGAGTTTGGGGAACTTCGCACAGTGGCTCATGCCTGTAATCCCAGTACTTTGGGAGGCCGAGGTAGGTGGATCACGAGGTCAGGAGATCGAGACCATCCTGGCTAACACAGTGAAACCCTGTCTCTACTAAAAATGCAAAAAATTAGCCAGGTATGGTGGTGGGTGCCTGTAGTCTGAGGCAGGAGAATGGCGTGAACCCGGGAGGCGGAGCTTGCAGTGAGCCGAGGTCGTGCCACTGTACTCCAGCCTGGGCAACAGAGCGGGACCCCGTCTCAAAAAAAAAAAAAAAGAAAGAGAGAAAGAAAATGTTGACGGAAGGCATTCTATCTCAGTCTCTGCAATGAGCCATTCGCATTTTGTGGAATCCTTTCTGGCATTAATTGGGGGACAGAAACAGCATCTGGCATATTTACATGACAGTAGCATGTACTTCTCTTTTATATGTCATTCATTCGTACTTCCAATAAGTTCTTTTCTAATATGAGCATACATTGCTTTATTGTGCTTGGCAGATACTGTATTTTTTACAAATTAAAGTTTTGTGTAAACCTTACATCAAGCAAGTCTGTCAGCACCGTTTTTCCAACAGCATATGCTCACTTCATGTCTCTGTGTGACATTTTGGTAATTCTTGCACTATTTCAAACTTTTTTATTATAATTATAACTGTTGTGGTGATCTGTGATCAGTGATCTTTGATGTTACTATTTTAGTTATTTTGGAGTGACATAAACCTCGCTATATAAGAACAGTGTGTGTTCTGTTTCACCAACCTGCCTTTCCTCTCTCTCTCTCTCCTTCCCTGGCCTTCCTATTCCCTGAGACACAACAATATTGAAATTAGGTCAGTTAATAACACTACACTGGACTCTAAGTGTTTGAGTGAAAAAAGAGTCTCATGTCACTCACTTGAATAAATCAAACTCTAGAAATGATTTAGCTTAGTAAGGAAGGCATGTTGAAAGCCAAGATGGGCTGAAAGCTAAGTCTCTTGCACCTGTTGGCCAAGTTGTGAATGCAAAGGAAAAGTGATTAAAGGAAATAATAGGTGCTACTCCAGTGAACACATGAGTGATAAGAAAGTGAAACAGCCCTTTTGCTGATATGGAGAAATTTTAGGAGTCTTGATGGGAGATGAAACCAGTTACAACATTCCCTTAAGCCAAAACCTAATCCATACAAGGCTCTCTGTTCAATTCTGTGGAGAGTGAGAGAGGCAAGGAAGCTGCAGAAGAAAAGCTGGAAGCTATCAGAGTGTGGTTTAAGAGGTTTAAGGAAAGGAACTATCTCTAGAACAGAAAACTGCAGGGTGAAACACAAGTGCTGATGGAGTAGCTGTGGCATGTTACCCAGAAGATCTAGCTAAGATCATTGATAAAGGTGGCCACGTTGAATAACAGAGTTTTACTGTAGACAAAACAGCCTTCTATTAGAAGAAGATGCCACCTATGACTTTCAAAGCTAGAAAGGAGAAGTCCCATGCCTAGCTTCAAAGGACAGGCTGACTCTTCGTAGGAGGCTAATGTAGCTGGTGACTTTAAGTTGAAACCATTGCTTATTTTATCATTCCAAAAATTGTAGGGCACTTAAAAATTATGCCAAATCTGCCCTGTGCTCTAGAAATAAAACAACAAAGCTGGGATGACAGCACATCTGTTTACGACATGGTTTACTAAATATTTTAAGCCCGCTATTGAGACCTACTGCTTGGAAAAAAAGATTCCTTTTAAAGTATTACTATTCATTGATAATGTACATGATCACCCAAGGGCTCTGATGGAGTTGTACAAGGAGATAAATGTTGTTTTCATGCCTGGTGACAGAACATTTATTTTACCATTCATGGATCAAGAAGTAATTTCAACTTTCAAGTCTCATTATTTAAGAAATGCATTTCATAAGGCTTTAGCCACCGTAATTAGTGATTTCCTCTGATGGATCTGGGCAAAGTCAATTGAAACCTTTAGCAAAGGATTCCCCATTCTAGATGCCATTAAGAACATTCATGACATATAGGAGGAAATCAAAATACCAACATGAACAGGAATTTGGAAGAAGTTTATTCCAAACTTAATGGATGTCTTTGAGGTGTTCAAGGCTTCAGTAGAGGAAATTGCTGCAGATGCATGGAAATATCAAGAGAACTAGCATTAGAATTGGGGCCTTGAAGGTGTTACTGAATTTCTGCAATCTCATCACCAAAATTGAACAGATGAGGAGTTGCTTCTTTATGGATGAACAAAGAAAGTGTTTTCTTGAGATGGAGTCTACTCCTGGTGAAGATGCTGTGAATGTTGTTGAAACTACAGCAAAGAATTTAGAATATTCCATAAACTCAGTTGATAAATCAGTGGCGGTATTTGAGGATTGACTTCACTTTTTAAAGAAGTTCTATGTGGGTAATATGCTATCAAACAGCTTCCCATGCTACAGAGAAATCTTTCATGAAAGGAAGAGTCAGTTGATGGAGCAAACTTCATTGGTGTCTTACTGCAAGAAATTGCCACAGCCACCCAACCTTCAGCAACCACCAGTCTGATCAGTCAGCAACCATCAACATGTATGCAAGACCCTCCACCAGCAAAAAGATTATGACTTGCCAAAGGATACCTGCAAAAATCCATCCACCAGACTCAGGTGTTTGTTAGCATATTTTTAGCAATAAAGCATTTTTAAAATTAAGGTAACTACATTGAATTTTTAGACATAATGCTATTATACACATATAGCCTAATATGTCTATTAGTTTTAGACATAATGCTATCAATTATGTTAATAACTTAACATAATTTTTGTGTTCACTGGGAAACCAAAAGTTCATGGGACTTGCTTTATTGCAATATTCATTTTATTGTGGTGGTTTGGAACCAAATCTACAATGTCTTAGGTATTCCTGTATTTTCATTAAGAAGTAGTATGACTATCTCACATAAAGGCTGATAACCTGGAAGACACTTAGATTTCAATATAGTTTGGAACCTGTCTGGATTCCATGTATTACTTCAACAGGAGTGAAGAATCCCATAGTCTGATGAATTTTTGCAGGTATTCTCTTCACCATAATGAGGTTTCATTAGGGTTACTGCTAGAATAGGATTGTTTGTTATTAGTTTCCAATGAAGGATGGAATATTCTCAATGTAGGAATTCATAGTACGTACAAGAAAGCTATAGATATTGTTAGTATAATAATTATACAATAGTAGTAGTATAATAAAATATTCAAGCAATCACTTAATAATTACTTCAAGTCTCACTGTCTGCCCTCCAGAATCAGGAGCAGGATGTCTGAACTCCTCATTCTTTACACTTTTACTCAAAAGCTCTTAACTCTAGAGACAGTCTTTAACTTTTTGGTATTTGGTTTCTTCTTTTGTGCAATGGCAATGATTCTGCCTGTGCAAACAACTGTCAACTGTTTTTCTCAGCAGTGCTAGTGTAAATGAAGTTGAATATTAGGAATAATTAACCTTCCTTGCTTACATATGCCATTTGATAATGCTCAATCTTCTTTGTTAAGAAAACAATGCAGTAAAATCTTTGTTAATTGAGATGAAGTGTTGTTTATTTAAATTTGGATCATTCTGAAAAATATATTTGTTCCAACAGGCTTATTCCTGAAAATCTTTCTAAAATATGTTCAGTGTCTGTCTGCCTTAGAATGGTCCCCAAATATAATTGAATCTCTCTCTGGTGATGGGTTGTCTTGCACAGCCTAGGACCCATCATACTGGAGTGCTTTTCTCTCTGAATCAAGCAGCAGATAACGGAATTTGGACTGCTTTGATCTCAGATCATACCCTGGAAGTTGTGTTTTAATAAGTAAATTTCTTATATGAATTGTTTTCTTAGTGTTGTACCTCATTCTTCATAAAAGTAAAAAGTATATTAGCAAGTTACAGAACAAGAAGTATCATGTTGCCTAATCAATGCAAAATATCATCATTTCCTAGACAACTTCACAGGAGACATAGCATGATTAGAAGGTCAGACTTGATTAAATCCCGTGCTTTGCCCTTAGTTTTTTGAAATTTCAAAGGAGGCAATCTCTCTGTCAATAAATTTTCAAATTTTATAAATAATAGTAATCCTGATGCCAGCAAGCAGTTATTGAGCTTTGTGTGCCAAGTACTGTTCTAAGCATGTTTCAAGTAATAACTCACTTCTTCACAATGAGCCTTTCAAGGAGGTACTGTTATTGACATCATTTTTCTAGTGAGGAGCCTGAGGCTTAGATTCAGAAACCTGTGAGTCGCCATATAGCTAGTAGCTGGCCGAGCCATGATTTGAACTTAGCTGTGCTCAAAACCACCACACCATGATACCTCAGAGATGAATGTGTGCGTGGTGGTTATGGGAGAAGAGAACCACATTTACTTATTTTTTGTCTGGGTCTTGCATGGTGTTTTAGATCATTTCATTTCTGTTATTTCATTTTGAAACATTTCTACTATAATTATTATCCATATTTTACATATAGGGAATCTAGTCTCAGAAAAACTGAAGCTTATAACCAATATTTTACAGCTAGTGATAATGAGGGAGCAGACATTTGAACTTGACAACCTAAATTCAGGTTCTGGCTAGGGGTTTCGTTAAGGAAAGGAAAAATTCCCTCCAACAAAGGTCATTTTTATGATGTGTAAGTGATTTAAGCTTTCTGTATACCACCCCACCCCTTACAAAGATTTGTGTTTTCATTTTTAATTAAATCTGTCTGTTCTGCATTCTCATTGTTTGGACTTTTTTCAAATCATTGCTAATACACTGGTTCTTCTTCCTGTTAGTGGTTTGTGGTTGACTGGTTCATCTTCTACCGTTAACATAATTCTGTTTTTTTTTTTTTTTTGAGGTGGAGTCTTGCGCTGTCACCAGGCTGGAGTGCAGTGGCATGATCTTGGCTCACTGCAACCTCTGCCTCCCGGGTTCAAGCGATTCTCCTGCCTCAGCCTCCCGAGTAGCTGGGGCTACAGGTGTGTGCCACCACACCCAGCTAATTTTTGTATTTTTTGTAGAGACAGGGTTTCATCATTGTTCTTATTTTTATTTGTCATTCCTGGAAATTAATTTTGCTTTGAGTTTGGGACCCCTAACATGATGTCCTTTAGCCCCGTGAAGAGTGAATGTCCCTGTGGTGCCATTAGCCACTTGTACAGTGTCCTGAGAATATTTTAAGAGAAATATGAATGGCAGTACCACTTGGATACCAATTAAAAATACTTTTTTTTTTCAGTGAAATACGTCTTTAAACCTGCAAGACACAGAGGGTTGGTTCTCTTGGTTTCCTTAGTCATTATTGACATCATCTATAACTTTCTGTTGAAATAACAAGGATTTTTATGGAAAGCTGTTTTTGTTCCTGTTCCTGTTGCCAGTTTTCACATCCTTATATATTATTAAAGATACAGAATGGGCTTTTAATAGATCCTACAGGCCAGGCACAGTGGCTCATGCCTGTAATCCCAGCCCTTTGGGAGGCTGAGGCGGGTGGATCCCATGAGGTCAGGAGTTTGAGACCAGCCTGGCCAACATGACGAATCCCCGTCTCTACTAAAAATACAAAAATTAGCTGGGCGTGGTGGCAGGTGCCTGTAGTTTCAGCTGTTCAGGAGGCTGAGGCATGAGAATCGCTTGAACCCAGTAGATGGAGGTTGCAGTGAGCTGAGATGGTGCTGCTCACTCCAACCTGGGCGACAGAGGGAGACTGTCTAAAAAAAAAAATGTAGGTCTTATGGAGTCACAGAGTCTTAATGAATCTCCATTGTTATATGACAGGGTCTTATGGATGTCTTTTGGAATGCCCAGCAGCAAGTGGGCAGCTTCTTAACAACCCACTGTGACTCATGAGGAAGTGTGTCTTTGTGTTGTTTATGACTGTGTTTTTATGGGTAGGACTTCCCACTGTCTCACTTTCCTGGCTTGCCTTCTCTTCTGTTTACCCTGGCCCCACCTTTGGCTCAGCTGGGCACTACGGGTTTTACCAGAGTCAGTTGGAATGCAAGTGCATCACACCAGCTCTCCATCTCCCTGTGGCATTTTATGGCTCAGAGAGGATTGGAACTAAACCTTGGGTGGCTCATGATCGGTTGTACCCAGCCAAGTCTGGAGAAATGGAGAAAATGCCTGGGTTTGTTAGTCTACATGTCCTTCACATTCTTACAGACACGTCTTTTGAGTCCAGAGAAATGTAAATCTTTTCCTTTTTGTTTTTAGTGGTTTATTTCTCAGGCCCTGAAGCATGAGTTTTGGTCACCCCTACAGCAGGGGAGATTTCTTCAAAAACAGCTGTGATTATCCGAAGGTGTTACATTGTGCTTTTCTTTTCATGCATTTTTAGCACCTGCACATCATAGTTTTCCCGGGAACCTCCAGCAGTGTCACCTGCTAACTTGGCAGACTGGAGAGACTCTCAAAGCCATGTCTGACTTCTGTGTCCATCTGGATTATTTCTGTCACATGATGATTTGGCAGATGTTTTCTGCAGATCTCTAGCTCTGGTAAACAATGGTGAACTGGGCCCATATACTCAACTTGTAAAGAGTGATTTCCCCAAAAACAGGAGACAGACATTTAGCAAGATAGGGGCTCCTTCATGTGAAAGTTGATCTCTAAGGTTAGTATAAATTTTCTGATCTAGAGGGAATTATAGGACTCTGAGGCCCACCCTTACTAGCTTGCCACCAGGCTTGGTATAACCTTCATTGCAAATGCTAGGATTCATGCTTTGGTTGTACATGAAGGGGATTATTTCTGGGTGGTATTTTATCTCCTACTCTCAGACTCTTTCAGATCTAGCTGGATGTTCAACATAAGCCTTTTGTGTAATTCCCATGGGCTGTAGCTCTGTGGCTTGAGTAGTGGTCACAGGAGCTCTAATGCCAGAATAAATGATGCTGCTAACAGAAAAAAGTAGGGCTCATTTCTCTGCAAAATGCTGCACAAAGAAGACTTTCTTTGCTTCTTCTGGTACATGTGGTAAGCGTAGAAATAGTTTATTATGGAAGTCTTTCAGCCACAGGTCTTTCTAAGGCAAAATTGTATCCTCCAGGGAAACTAAAATAAATACCAGCCTAATAAACTTCAGATTTTAAAAAATAAGTTATCATATTGCATTTCTGTAAGAAGAAAAATATGAAAGGTTGATGTGTGTTTTTATTCCACTTTGATTTACTTCCCAAGCTGTCCTGTCCCAATTCAATCTTAAAATGGAAGAAAATACTTTATCATTTGAAGAAGGATGAATGTAGTACAGAATTCAATTTTTAAGAATTCAAGGTAGGGGAAGTAAATTTTGATGCCAACTTTCAAGTTTTTAAAGAATAAAATAAAATAAACACATACACACACAGTTGGCTTTGTGTTGGAAGTTAATGATAGATGTCTTCTCGGTATTCTTTGCAAAGGAAGTCTTCCATCCAGGCTTTCCCTCATTTGTTTTTAATTACAGTCATGGTCTACCTGGCCTTCTCACTAGCACTAGCTCCCTATGCCTTTTGCTTTGCTCTTAGGCCGGGCTTTTGGTCCCTCCCTCCTCATCTCTGGTTCTCTCGCTATTCCTTGGCTCCTCTTGTCTTGCTGCCCAGTTTGGCTCAGGTACATGAACTGCAACCTACATTCTGCCATCCCTGCAGCTGCACAAGCCTGTCGTTTTCCATACTATTGTATTTTCAGGTCTAACATGTCCCCTTTTTACTGCCCTTTCTCAGTCTACTTTAGTGGTTATTATCTTGTCATCAATCTCTTTAAATATGGCTAGGCTCCGAAGATTCCTCTATTGACTATTGTGTTTGCTTTATTTTATAAAATTTATTATTAAATAAAGCTAGGAAATGTAATATAATAGGCTTCCATTTACCCACCACCCAGCTTGAAAAGCAATTCTGAATTTGCTATTTATGTTACTAATTTCTTTATATATTTTTCACATATGCAAATCAACAAATATATAGTATGCTTATATTTTGGAAAATTGTATCTTATTCTTTATGTGCTTTTTTAACTTTTTAAATGGAAGATGATGCTTGTGAGATTAATTCAGGTTGCTATGTTTTGCTCTTCCACTACTGCATAGTATTCTATTTTAAGCCTATGCCACCATTTATTCTATTTATGAGCATTCAGATTGTTTTCATTTTTGTTATTACGAACAATGTTTCTGTGAACATGCTTGTACAGATCTCCTTGCACTTCTGTCAATTTATTATTTCAGCATATTTTATTGAGCACCTATTAGTGCTTGGCGTGATTGATACAAGACTGCTAAAACAAGTCGTATCTTGAAGCCATATGCTTTAGAGAGACAAACAGGCAAATTCTGTTGTAGGAGTCTTCTCACCTATCTTCTTATTTTTATTTCACTCCTCCTTTGTCATATTTCACAGTTCTGCTAAAGTTAACTTTTTTTTTTCTTTTTTTTTTTGAGATGGAGTTTTGCTCTTGTTGCCCAGGCTGGAGTGCAGTGGCGCCATCTCGGCTCACTGTAACCTCTGCTTCCTGGGTTCAAGGATTCTCCTGCCTCAGCCTCCTGAGTAGCTGAGATTGCAGGCACTCGCCACCACACCCAGCTAATTTTTTTGTATTTTTAATAGAGACGGGGTTTCACCATGTTGGCCAAGCTGGTCTGGAACTCCTGACCTCAGGTGATCCGCCCCCCTCGGCCTCCCAAAGTGCTGGGATTACAGGCGTGAGCCACCAAGCCCAGCTGAGCTAACTTTTTTTTTTTTTTTTTTTGAGATGGAGTCTCTCTCTGTCACCCAGGCTGGAGTGCAGTGGAATGATCTTGGCTCACTGCAAGCTCCACCTCCCAGGTTCACGCCATTCTCCTGCCTCAGCCTCCCGAGTAGCTGGGATTACAGGCACCCGCCACCACGCCTGGCTAATTTTTTTGTATTTTTAGTAGAGACGGTATTTCATCGTGTTAGCCAGGATGGTCTCGATCGATCTCCTGACCTCATGATCCGCCCATCTCGGCCTCCCAAAGTGCTGGGATTACAGGCGTGAGCCACCACGCCCAGCTGAGCTAACTTTTTAAACATAGTTTTAATCATTACTGTTATTGTCAAAAACATTCAAAGTCTCCCTGTTGCTTATGTGATAAAGTTGATACTCCTCAGCTTGCCATTCAAGAACCATCCTAGCTTAACCTTTTCTCCTGTTTACATCTCACCCATACACCTTTCAGATGCCAGTGTCATTTCCCTTTCATGCCTCTCAGTGATATTTCTTTACCCTTAGCTATCTTGCCTGTTTTGAACTTTATCCAGGATGTTGAGGCTTTACTCAGTTTTCAAGATCCAAATGAAATAGTTTATTATTCCTCTTATACCCTTCGTCTAAGTGTTTATTGCAGATAGTGGGATATGCATTTGTTTAGCTGACTAGGAGCAGGAACCATATGGTAATTGCCTCCAACATAGTAGGACCTCATTAATTAAAATAATAATTTATAATCAAATCGAACTGAATGGATCATTTGGTTCTCAGCTTTGCTGTTAAAACTCTTTAATGGTCCTAATGGGAGGAGGGAGTAGAAATAGAGTGAATGTTTTAGTTTTCTGTTGCTTTTCAAATGTTTCTGACTCTCAATAAGTGCTTGTAGCTTACTAACCGAGCAACCATTCTAAGCGGGATCCTTACCACATCAAAGTGGGATAGGTTGAGAAGAAAACTGGCTTTAGTAAGAGAGACAGATTCTTCATAAAAAAAAAAAAAAGACCATATTCTCACCTTAGTAGGATTGAACTAAAGCATACTTAAACCAGCTTCCATTCTCATCTCTTGGTCACCTCCTTTCTGCCTTTTGGGTGGCAATACACGTTGATGGCCTGTCACCTATCATGCCCTTCTACTTATCTCCAGTCCCCAGGGTAGAAGGCAGATGTGGCTGCATGTGAATAAGGGGAAGCCCGAGTCCACTGTGTCCGCGTTTCCATTTTGAAGGAAAATGGGAGAAATGAGGCCAGTGGTTTGATAAATTATATCAAAAATAGTCCCTTCATGCTAATGGAGTGCGAAGAAGCTGATGTACTGGAGATGATCTATAATATTTCATATTTCTCTGAGGAGAAAAATGATAAACTTGATGATGTGCAATTTATTCATGTTTCTTCAGATGAGAAAAAAAAATCCTCAAGTCAACTAACTGCCTGTTTCTCACTCCTGGAAGCTGGCATGTGGATTTTACACTGGGATTGGAGGCTGGGCTTGTTTAGAGAAATGCCTAGAGAGACTTTGATTAATCACCAGACCTTTGGCAGTTGGTTGGGAGAGGGTAATTACGCTAGCATTGCCACTATTTTATCATCGCTATTTTATGGCTCTACACCGCCAGGTGACAAATGTGTTAATTATTGCATTTCTTATCCTGGACTTCTCTTGCCTGCCCCCTCCCCTCATGGTTTTGGCCCTTAGTCCTTCTCTGCAGCTCAGCCCTGGACGGCAGTAACTTGTGCAATCAAAGAGCTGTTCTTTGGGAGCCATGCTGAGAGGGACAGGGCTATCAGCCCTGCTGTGTGCAGACGCTAACCACGGGGAGCTGGTTAATTCCCTTTCCTCTTCCTTCTGCCCATCACCCTTTGGGTCAAGTGCTGCTCAGAGCCAGAAGCTCCACTGGCTTCTTTAATAACTGAAAATAGCACCCCTGGACTGGGCCATTTCACTCTAAATAGCCCCCTGGAGGAGGTTAGAAACAGAGGTTGTCTTAGGCAAAGAGATTTAGGAGGTAAAATTGTCCTTTTTCTGTCTTTTTCTTTTTTTTTTTTTTTTGTTGCCCCTTCTGTCTTTCTGTTACCCAGAGAAAGCTTCACAAGCATGCCTGTAATTTAGTTGCACCATTTTATTACAGCTGAAAGAATTGAATGTAAAGAAGGAAGTTTAATAGAACATATAATTCAGCAGATTTATTGATGGGGAGGTATCTATTGTAGTTTGGCCAGTGAAGGCAGGTCATAGAGGAAAATTTAGGTAAGTCGGATTTTCTTTAAAAAGAGGCCCAAGAGTTAGTACCTCAGGATTTTGTTTTCTTCTGTTCCTTGGGCATGCTGGAAATTTGTTAGCTCTTAAATCAACAACTTGTTATTGACAGTCATCTTTTTGCTGGAGAACGTATTAAAATAAGTATAATTATGGTGCCTGACCTCAAAAAGAAAACCAGTTGGTTATATAACTCTAAAAAGATGAGTAGCCACAGAGTGTAGAAAGCCACAGAGAAGAGCAAATGCCATTGTTGGGAAGCAGAGCCTATGCTGGGTAAAGTTTCCTGGGAGTTTCATCCTCCAAGAACAAGAATTTCTTCTTCTGACCCTCCACCTTCTCTGGAAATGGGGTGCCACATCTTTTGCCTTCTGGCTAAATTTTTGTTTATTATATGCCTCTTTCACTAGAATGCAAGAACATGACTACTTGGTTATGTTCTTGCTTGTAATCCTTGTTTTTAGAACAAGACCTGACAACTCGATTATGGTCAGTATATATATTTTTTGGATGTATGAATGAATAAATGAAATGAGATCTTAACATGTAACTATCTTCTTTTAGACTACACAGGGTTTTGACTATAATTGAAATTTTTAGGCTTCTTCAGCTCTCTCTTTTTTGGGTCCAAAGGATGTCTCAAACCAAATAAGAAATTCCTTCTTATTGATCTAGTGGTTACAGACAAGAGACGCCAGCCTTCTTTGTCTTTTGGAAGTTAGGAGTGTGTCCCTGAGGAAACTATGCCCTGGGAAGGTTCTTTATTTATAATACAAAATTTCTTTTTTGTGGTTGAGCTAGATACAGATATTTTTCAATTTTTCCTTTCTTCGAAGGCTATATTTTGGCTTAATCTGTACTTACAGCATAACTATTCATGCTAATTATAATTCATATATGAAAATGCACCAAATATGACTATTAGAAGCTTTTGAAATACTGTTTGATACTTTGCAATATAGTTATTTATGCATATCTGCATTTGATTTTAAACTTCTTGAAGTAATGTTTTATTTATTTTTGTATCTCCATTGCTCAGCAAAGGGTGGCACATAGTAGGTCCTTCATGAACTAATATTCACTAGAGCACTGTGGGAACTTATTTGCAACACCCTTGGCATCTCTCTTATCCATTGGGGATAGCAAGTAATTTGAACTGTCAAAACCAGTGGTGTTGCTTTGGGCCTAAATGACATTAAACTTTTTTTTTTTTTTTTTTTTTTTTTTTAAGAAACGAGGATCTTCCTATGTTGCGCTCGCTAGTGGTCTTCAACCTCTGGCCTCAAGTGATCCTCCTACCTTGGCCTCCCAAAGTGCTGGGATTACAGTTGTGAGCCACCGCACCTGGCCCCAACATTCAACTGTTTTTTCTGACAGTAACTAAGAATGGGATAAATGCCTCTCTGAGGCCTTTCCCAGTTTGTGAGGCCACTTGTCTTATTATTTGTGATTGCAGGAGGACATGCATCATATTCATCTAAAGGTTGAATACATTTATTTAATTGTGGCTTGTGAAGAAAGAAGAGCTAATATGTGGTCACGTTTTATGCTATTTAGGATCGAAAATCAGTCAGTCATGAAGCCATTTCTTTTCATTCTACTTTTGGAGATCATATTATGATAAGCTTTTCAGAAGCATTAATAACCTAGACTCAAGCCTATGTAGTTTGGACCTTCATGTCTTTACATGTGTAGAATCAAAGAGCAATAGGAGTTGGTGTATATGTGACTTGAGAAGCCTCACATCATTCTTGGAATATGTTGTCACTAGTGTCATCAGTGGGGCCTACGTGCCCTGCCTGCCAACTCAGGAAAGGCGTGAGATTGAGGGATCTAGATTTAGCATTTATTGAGGAAAAAGTGTTGTATAAACTATTGAAATTTTACATAAAAAACAAATAGATCTGTTTTGGGAAATGAAGATTTTCAAAAGAAATATGGTCCATTTTGAAAGAGATAATTGCAGGATATATTTTAGTGTGGCCTGGAGCTTACCAATCAGAATGATATTTTGACATTCATGGTGTCAAAAGGTAATTTCTTTTTGCCTTGAATCTTATGCTTGAAGTATGTTATTCATGTAGCTATATATAATGGGATTACATTTTAGGGGAACTTCGGGATGATATGTAAAAATCCTGAAGAAGTTGTCTTTGTGTTTTAAAACAAGAAAAACTTGACACAAACTGGCTTACAGGAATGTGTTTCTTGCAGGTTTCCCTTAGAAGCCACACAGGAGGCAGTTTTCATTGGCTGATGATGTTTATGGGTATAAAAAAGAAACTTTGGGAGGATTTGATAAAGTCTCTTTTCAGCTTAAGATAACATCATTTTACTCACGTTAGAGCGTTTGTGTGTGATTGGAGTTTTGATGGTGGTTATATTTTTGGCTTTTTTTAATGTTTGTTGCTTACTGCCATTCCTGAACCAAAAGATAAGTTGTTCAGATAATTGCAAAGACAGATTATGGTAATAGTGATACTAATATCTAACATACTACATTAAATATGTGGAATTTAATTTAATTTTTTGAGATGGAGTCTCACTCTGTCACCCGGGCTGGAGTGCAGTGGCGTGATGTCAGCTCACTGCAACCTCCGCCTCCTGGGTTGAAGGATTCTCCTGCCTCAGCCTTCTGAGTAGCTGGAATTACAGGCGCCCGCCACCATGTCCCAGTTAATTTTTGCATTTTTAGTAGAGATGAGGTTTCACCTGTTGGCCAGGCTGGTCCTGAACTCCTGACCTCAGGTGATCCACCTGCCTCAGCCTCCCAAAGTGCTGGCATTATAGGCATGAGCCACCGTGCCCAGCCAATATGTGTAATTTTAATTATTTAGCACTTATAGCAATTTTATAAGATGGGTACTTTGTTTATCCCTATTTTTTAGATAAGGAAACTGAGGCAGCAGAGGTTAAAGAAACTTGCCCAAAGTTAGGTAGCTAATAAGTAGTAGAAGCAGGATTCAAACTGAGGTATTCTGGCTCTGTAATCCATGCTCTTCTATGCACTGCCTTTGCAAATCTAATTTCAACTTGAAATGAGTTCAGTGGATTGATAGTAGATTAGTAGGGGAGCCATTCCAAAGAGTTTCTTATAATTAAGTGAACTTGAGAATGTAACTGGCAACAGTGAAGAGATTCCCACTCTATTTCATCTGTAACTTTCTGATCTTACCGTGGTGGTCACATTTGTTGTAAGAATATTTATGGTGGTGTTTAGGATAAGTTTAAGGAAATGTTGATCACTTTTTGTTTGATCTGAGATATTGATAGATATTTATATACTTTATAAATAGGTAATTAGGTATATATGTAAATATGTAAGATATATACCTATTAATTACCTATTAAATCATTCATGCTGGCCTCTGGGTATTTACATGAATTTTTTTCAGTAAGTCTTGCCTTTCAGATATATATAAACTAGATTATGCTTAAATATTTATTTGGACAAGTGTTTTCCTCTTTAGTTAAGAGGCCATCTTCTGAAAAATTAGACTGCAGTAAAGCAGTAATTCCGCCTCAGTTTTCCATGAGGGAAGATTTGTCATGGCTACTCCTACTTTTGGCATTATAATCACGTGAACTTATTATTCAAATTAATGGCTTCTTGGCATAATTTTCAGAGGTCTCTACTGCAAATCTCAGACATCTACAAATCAGTACATGTCATAATAAAAGGAAGAATACAGACTGTCAGACATACTCAACTAGTCTTCTTTTTTTTTTTTTTTTTTTTTGAGACGGAGTCACTAGTCTTCTTTTGGAATCACATCAGGAAAGGGAAGTTGTTAGTGCTTATGCCAGGTAGCTGGAAGACATCTTTGTGATATTTATGAAGATCAGCCCTGTTGGGCAATCGTTGCCTCTGCCAGAATGACTTACCCATTTATCTAATAAAGGGAAACATCTAAATTCTTGAACATGTAATAATTCACTTGATAAAATTCAGGTTTTTATAAACAAATCATATTAAAACCCCAAAAGTTAATTAACAGGTGATAAACCTTGCTTTTACTTCCTTGTCCCATCACATTCATTCATAGTCATAATACACTGACAATTATTGAGTGCCTTTGATGTGCCAAAAGCACTTGCTAAATGCTTTGTTTGGAAAGGGATGTTTGTTAATTGGGGTGGTACCTCCCAAATAATGAAACATACACACTTTTGTTTTATTGAGGATAGGGTTTTATCATTCCACAGCTGTTCCTTGAGTAAGATCCGGGCTTGAAAGGCCAAGTTCTTCTACAGGGGCGGATCTTTGAGGAGGAAGAGGCAGGTAGCTAGGAAGGGCTAGGAGGCTACAGAGGTTAAAAGTGGTCTGAGATTAGGGAGAATGGCTAAAAGTGAGTGAGATTTTCTCTCGTGTGTGAATAATTGTAGGAAGAGATTCTGGACAACATATGCAGAGGAACAAATGGAGGGATGGTCTTTAGTCAGTGGAAGTGGAAATCCATTGGATCATCCATGAGCCCATCTGAAATCAGCAGCCCGTTAGGTAGAAGCTTGAAAAAAAGAACTGTTGTGTTTGGTGAATATATCACGATTTTGGAGAATGATGAGGGCAGAATCCTGCATCCTTTCTAGCTTTCTTGAGAACTTTGTACGAGAGTCACTCTTACCATCATCTAAATATAAGTGATGTGTCCTGCTGTTAAGGAATTCCACCATTTGCTAGCTAGTGGACATAAATGGGCATCTTGTTTTCTTTTCTTTCTTTCTTTCTTTTTTTTTTTTTTGAGACGGAGTTGCGCTCTGTCGCCCAGGCTGGAGTGCAGTGGCCTCCCAAAGTGCTGAGATTGCAGGTGTGAGCCACCGCAACCGGCTGCATCTTTTTTTCTTTATTAATTATTTATATGTCTGGAAGTCTAGATATATATTTGTCTTCGGGAATGGAAAGGTACCAATAGGAAATTTTGAGTAAGCCAGAGTATTCTAGCAAATATAGGAATTACGCCAAGAACAGCCAGAATTGCCCAGCACTAGTGATAACCTGGTGAAAAGAAAGACCATCAATTTATGTGTTCCAAAAATGATGTCAGCATTGCAAGAGGAGAGCTGACTGCGTAGGCTCATCCTCATTTCTCAGGAGAGTGTGCCTGTAAATGACCAACCAATTACAAGCAGATGATAATGAAGCAAAATGATGTAAATCAAGATCTGAGGAGTGACATTTATGGCCAAGACTTGATAAATATGGAATTGGAGAAAGAAGATAGGAAACACCAGAGGAGGACAGCAAGGACTGTAGTTTTTTTTACTGTGGATAAGCCCAACTCCCTACTGTGGCATTGAATCTTGGCCAGGCAATAGTTTGATTGCTGATTTCCTTAGAAGGGAAGGATTCTTGTGTAGGATTAAAGTAAAAGTAATTCCATGACAACTTGTTACTGAGGAAGACAGCCAAATACATATTTCATGAGTAAGCAACAGTCATTTTGGTGGAATATGGTGTGTTACGTAAAGCTTGGTGCTAGATTAATGCCCAGGTGACCACTTGGAGGACAATCAGTGTAGCCCTGTGAAAGATACAAAGTATTGCCTGCCTAAGTCTCAGTTTCTTTGTCTGTAAAATGTGTGTTTAAGTGGAGCTGTGAGACAATGAGAATATATGTAAGGTGCCTGGCACTTAACAGTTGTTCAGTTTCTCTCTCTTGAGCATCCTCAAAGCTCCTTTTATTGATTTCTTTGATGCTGAAAGAAAGAGAATAAATTTTGACTGCACGATGAGCTTCATTTTTTGAAGGTGCTGATTCTCACCCCCATTTCCAGCTACATTGACTATCGTTAGCCACTTGTTACCCATCTAGTGAAGCCATCTTCTATAGTGCAGTGTGTGTTAGTAGGAAAGGCTTATTTGGCCTTGAAGGGCTCGTTTGGCCTTGATCCGGTACTGATTGTGGTTTGAGGTTGAGCATGTTAAGGATGAATAGTAGCTGGAATGGTCCATGATGTGTGCTTAGTATCCTTCAGAATGTTTACATAGTCATATTTAGATTGCTTCTGAGAACAAGAGAATACAGAACAAAATGTTATGTTCCAAATAAAGATCACAATAAGAAGAAATATTGCCCTTCTAGCTTGGCATCCTTTTTCTGCCATGATTTCCCTTTGCATTTTCTTCCCATACCTTAGCTTTAGCCAAGGATACAGCAGTAAGTGTTGCTTGGTATTTAATCAAATTAAAACCTGTGCTAGGTAATGCCTCATAGATTTTATTTTGCCAAGATAGATGTTTGAACGGAAAAAGAAATAGTGTATATTAAGGACTAAAGGGGGTACTCTTGTTTTCTTTCAAATATGATAATTAGTATAAAACTGTCTTTTTCCTGCCAGTTGGCTCATCTCATCTCCTAGCAGCTGTTTTAAATTCCTTAATTGTCTATTGCTTACTCAGCTATCATTTCACAAATTTCCTCACTGCCGCATTTTCGTTGAAGCAAATTCTGACAGTGGGGGATGCTCACCTCACAGGCTGGGTTGAGCTGAGTTCTAGTTATCCTCTTTGAGTAACAGGATTAACTATCATTAGACAGTGCATTCGGGTAAGGTGATGGTTCCCTAGGTCTCTTTGGAGTTGATTACTATAGAAATGGGCATCTGGTGGAGCCTCAGGTTGCCAATTGCATTACTCTTCATTTTACTGATGTTTCAATTCTGTTTAACCCAACGTAGACTTTTTTTTATGCTTATAAAGTAATAGGAGTTTCCTAGAGGATTTGCAGCGTACACTATTGTATAATCTCATTGCTTATAATTTTTTTTCAGAATGAAGGAAGTGGGTATTTTAACCATAGCATTTTCATTCCAGTATCATTAACCATTTAAATACACTTTGTTAAATCTATCACATTTTCTGTTAAAATAATGTAAAATTCTAGTAGAAATTTTAACAGTATCTTACTGTAAAAATACTGTAGGTAATAGACCCTGAGATAAGACAGTCTGCTGCTTTCAGAAGCATCAACACAGAGCATTCCTCAAGCATTTGATTTAAGTAAATATTATTGAAGCCTTACTAAATTCAATTTCAGATATTGTGCTCTTTGATAGCACAATGACAGCTTACATATGATGCTTTCAAATGTCATCCACTTATTTCTTTTTTTTTTTTTTTTTTTTTTTTTGAGACAGAGTCTCCTCTGTTGCCCAGGCTGGAGTGCAGTGGCGCAATCTCGGCTCACTGCAAGCTCTGCCTCCCGGGTTTACACCATTCTCCCACCTCAGCCTCCCTAGTAGCTGGGACTACAGGTGCTCGCCACCATGCCTGGCTAATTTTGTTTTTGTATTTTTAGTAGAGACGGGGTTTAACCATATTAGCCAGGATGGTCTCGGTCTCCTGACCTCATGATCCTCCCACCTTGGCCTCCCAAAGTGCTGGGATTATAGGCGTGAGCCACCACACCCAGCCCACTTATTTCTTAATGATGGGAAAACTGGTAATACAAGACCAAATTTTTGTTTATACATCAAATTATCAACTTTCATGTCTTATTTCATAGTCATGCATTGCAGGAATGTGCGTACTGCATAAAGTGACTTGCTTTATCAGGTTTGAAATTCATAATACAGTCAGAAGATGATTAACAGATTTGTTCAAATTTTTATGCTACGATATGTTCTTGTCCCCATGTGAATAAATGCAACAGATTGTTTGTAACCATTTTAATTGCTCTGATTTTACATGGACAATAGTTTTGTATAAGAAAAGACAAAAAAGGCCAGGCCCGGTGGCTCACAACTGTAATCCTAGCACTTTGGGAGGCCGAGGTGGGTGGATCACTTGGGGTTAGGAGTTTAAAACCAGCCTGGCTAACATGGTAAAATCCTGTCTCTACTAAAAATACAAAAAAAAAAATTAGCTAGGCGTGGTGGTGGGTGCCTATAATCCCAGCTATTCAGGAGGCTGAGGCAGGGGAGAAAGAAAAAAAAAAAGAAAAGAGAAAAGTAGTCACTTGGTTTAAATGCCTGGATTTTGAAACCTAACTCCTTGTTTTACCTCTGTAGTTTTAGGCAAATCACTTAACTTGATTGAATCTCAGTTACTCTCACTATAAAAATGGGACCAGTAATACCTTCTTCAATGTGATCTTGAGAAGATTCACTGGAATAATGGTGAAAGTACCCTATCACAGAATTTATAGTAGGTGCTAAAAATGTTGTGTACCTTCCTTTCCTTCCCTTAGAAAGACAGTCTCTTTTATTTATTGATTGTACTTTTGCCACCACAGGGGGAAAAAAATCCCTGTTTCTTATAAAACTTTCTAGGAAATTCATGAATTTAGTGTGGGCCCTCTAATTCTGACAAATACAATATTGATTTTGAGTTTGTTGCTTTAAATTTGCCAAATGAAACGAAAGTTTTACGGTTTTCCTTTTAAGTCACTTCTGATATGTGGAGCAAACAAGTCTGTATTTAATAGTAAGTAGTTTGCTAATTGCAAAGCACTACCAACTTAACACAACTTAAAATGAGAAGCTGAGAGGGGGCCAGAGCATGAAATAAGTAAGTAGGTTAAGAACTGCCACACAGTCCATCATGCTTGCAGAGAAGAATGTGAGACTGTCCGAGGCTACAGTGCTGGTCACCTTAGCCTGTGTAAACTCTCACTTTCTCAGTTATCAGTGGAAGACAGGGGTTAATCCTTATTAGTCTGAACACATCACATTGCAATGATCTGAAAGCTAAAGACATGGCATAAAGGAACTCTGAAGAAACCACCTCCACTGAGACTGCTGATGCTTCGAATGGAATTTGGGCAGATGGAATGCTCATTTAAGGAGCAAATGACATGGACGGGGGGAGTCAAAATGATAAAGGGAGCCTCCTTGCATTTGTTGTATCTTACTTCTGTGTGAGTTCTGGCAAAAAGCAAGCATGACTAGAACCCTAGAAAAACAACCATTAGGTAGATACTAGTTATAGTCAATCAGAGAAAGCCAGTATGTGCGAAGAGAGAAGAGAAGAAAACCACATGGTAAAAATGTAATCAACCAGTGGGATTCTTTTAGTTCATAATTGTAATCATAGATGGCATTCCACTACCTTTGTCTTCCATCTGGACCAAGTATGGCTGTGTCTAGAGGTTCTGTTGTACTATTTCTGTGGTCCTTGAACTCTGATGGCAACCTACCTTGACAAGGCCAAAAACCTACACAACTCTGAGCCTTTCTTGGTAGTGGCATTATCTAAACGTATGCATTTGTACCTTATCAGGCTTAATGAGGGAAAAGAAACGGCTTTTGAAGACACTAATGGGAAATTATTATAAGTCAATGAAGTAAAAATGCAAATAGATTTGTATCTTAAAACAGGAATACTGCTAGAAGCTAAAACTGAGTAAGATCTTGCTCTGTGCCAAGCACATGCTATTTTGCATTAAAAGAGACCCCTGCCTTCTACATAGTATCCTCATTTTACGGGTAGAAATCTTGAGGTTTAGAGACGTAAAGTAAAGTAACTCACCTAAAGTTACATAGCTCATGAGCAATGTGGCAGATGTTTAAGGACACCTCGTCTGATTTCAGCGCCTAAATGAAGAGCCTTTTACAAGGATGATGATTTTTGCAGCAACAAGACAAAGATGTCCAGCAATAGGAAAAAGATTGTAAAGAAATGTTAATCCCTGTAGAGGGCACTGTTCAGATTTAACTCATCCAACATAATTTTCTAACATGATAAAGCAGACCTGCGCCAGCTCCTGACTGTTTCAGATAGGTTTGCCTCTGGGGAAGAAAGTGCAGTGATTCGTGTAACCTACTGTCAGTGTTATTTAAATCTCAGACCTAATCTAGAATTTACTTTAATAATCTTTTATTATTTTCCTGTATATTCTTATGATTTCTCCCTTCTCAATGAATAATGAATTTAGCATAATGAATTCAGTTAGTTCTAGGCTTCTTCATATCTATATTTAATATTCAAAGCACTTTCTTCTCTTTTATTCCTGATTTACCAAAATCTGTGATTGTGCCATGAAAAGATGATAAAGGAGACCATCTCTTGGATCTGGAAAGTGCTGCGTGTTAGTTTATAACTGGGCAAATGTAAGCATAACGTTTGGCCAGGGTTGGGTGCGGTGGCTCACGCCTGTAATCCCAGCACTTTGGGAGGTCAAGATGGGTAGATCTCTTTAGGTCAGGCATTTGAGACCAGCCTGGCCAACATGGTGAAACCCTGTCTCTACTAAAAATACAAAAATTAGCTGGATGTGGTGACAGACACCTGTAATTCCAGCTACTCAGGAGGCTGAGGCAAGAGAATCACTTGAACCTGGGAGGCAGAGGTGGCAGTGAACCGAGAGTGGCACTGCACTCTAACCTGGGCGACAGAGCGAGACCCTGTCTCAAAAATAAATAAATAAATAAAAAATAAAAAAAGTTTGACCAGAGGACTACCTCCATTGTCTTTCTTTTCTACAATCCAGTTTAGATACTTTCTGGACTAACCATAACTTACATGCTTGTCCAGGAGTATTGGCCAGAGTTAGAGTGGTCACATTAATTCTAGGCAAGGGTGAAGATGAAGGAGTAGAGCCATGTTTCCTTGAAGGACAGTGATGATGCTTTTTAGAGCTTATTACGTGTTTGCTATCTCTCCCATCCCAAGCAGTCAGGGGTTTTAACTTTGAAGATAATAATAACTGTCTTCAGTGGGTGAATTTACATCTGTTTTGACCCAAAAGATAATTTAGGATGACTTATGGAATCTGAAGCTAAATGTCAAATGTAATTAAATGTTACTGTTGTGTCTTGCCTTAAGAAGAGAGCTGGTGAGTTCTAGCAGGGTTTGGGAACTATTTGGATTAACTGCTTTGATTCTTTCCCACATTATATAAGAGGTGTTATCTCAGACAGCACAGAAATTGTCCCTGGGGGACAGGGAGGCATCACATTTCAGAAGTACCTATAATATTTCTTCAGCATGTCTTTGGGCCTGGCTTTCTCAATATTTCTACCTTTTCTTGAAATCTCCACTTGGATATGGCTCTGGAAGATGGCAGAAACGCCATCTTAAAATATACATAATATTTTTAAGAAATCAGTTTTGAAAAACAAGAAGTCTCTTTTCCTGACGGTCCTTCCTCAATATGCTTAAATTATTGAATAGGAAAGCTTCAGTAAGACACAACTATTAACATAAGTGCTAAGGATTAAGAAAAAGATCTGTCACAAATTATGTCTGTCTGTAGGAAGGTAAAGTTGTGCCTTTGATATGACACCTACCCCTGGAAATCATATTCTTTTCCAAGATATAAACCCAAATCAGAATAGGGAGTGAGCTGTTAATATGAATACTGAATCTGGACAGGCACGGTGGCTCACGCCTGTAATCCCAGCACTTTGGGAGGCTGAGGTGGGCATATCCCTTGAGGTCAGGAGTTCAAGACCAGCCTGGCCAACATGGTGAAACCCTGTCTCTACTAAAAATACAAAAGAAAATTAGTCGGGCACTGTGCTGTGTATCAGTAGTCCCGGCTACTTGGGAAGCTGAGGCACAAAAATCGCTTGAACTTGGGAGGCAGAGGTTGCAGTGACCCGAGATTGTGCCGCTGCACTCCAGCCTGCACGACACAGTGAAATTCTGTCTCAAAGAACAAAACAAAACCAAAAGAATTCTAAATCTGCTCTGAATAGTAGAAGACAATGGGAGACATTTATCTTTGGTAGCAACATATTCCAAAGACTTAAGAGTTTAAAGAAATCATCATTTTCCTATCGCTTCCTTCCTTTCTCTCTCAATCCTAAAATACTCTCTGGGCAATCAATTTCGGAATTCTTTCAAGGAAAGGAAACCTTGATTCGTCTGCCTGTTAACTACTACAAAATGTGTAGATTCCTGCTCTTCCATGTTACTACTCAGAGTAATAACGAAACACCTATTATTGTCATTATCTGGAGAAAAGAAGCTCCTATACTGGATTAAATGATGTTGCTGTGCCCATAAGAAAGGCAGGTATTGGGCAGTAATGAAGGTATGGCAGCAGGAATTTATACTTTGTCTCTTTCATCAGAGTAGCTCCCCCCTCCCCTTTTTATCCTGTAGGAGGAAATTGTGGAGTGAGAGAAGAGGTCTGATCTGTTTGGGGAAAAAGTATCACAGCCTATTAGTTAGAAGCAATGAAATTGAGACAGCTTTGGGACTCCATTAAGTGTGTGGTGTTTAGGCAGACTGTGTCCCTGGGTAAAGTGTGCTGTTGAAGAGGATAGTACACAATGAAATAATTGGGCTTGGGAAATCAACTGGGCTTCAGCAGCCTCATATCTCCTTGTGGGGAATGGGTGAGGGAGCTACAGCTTTCCCTCCCTTCTTTTAGCATAAAAGCTATACCGAATAAAATAGAAGGGAATTTCTTGCTGAGTAGATGGACTGTGAATATATTTTGAATAACACAAACAATGGAGATAATTAAATTTTGTCTGGCACAGGAAGGATTCAGAGCATGTCACTTGGAACCCCCTCATGCCATGTTCTTCTCTAGGCGTCTGGATATATGGTTGCAGCAACTGAATAAAAATAACTCAGATTTGATCAGTAATGGCAGCATCTATAGGGACATGTTTTAATGCACTGATGTGTATGAAATTAGGTTCTTAAATAAAACATTATTCCTGGATATTTTCATTTCAAAGGATAAGCTGAAATTCACGAACAGTGTGAACTAGACTGACTTTTCCCACTGAGATTTACTGATAGGCAAACTTTTGTGCACATTGTGGACACTGGTTGAGGGTAGGCTCACTAGTTTTGGTACTATTAATGGTCAGTTGCCTGTAGAACTTGTGAAGTAAGAAAAGGTATATCTATAGCAAGTTCAAGGTTCAGATAATTGTTGTTCTCTCTTAAGAAAAAGGTTTTGAGCGGTTGTCTTCTTTACACTTAGTGTATGTAATGATAGTTTGGCTAAATATGAAGAAGAAAGAGAAATAGCATTACTACTGTTTATTAATAACTTTTCTTTGTGCCACACATTTAGCTATTCAGGCACTTTGTGTTTGTGTGTATACATATACATTCTCTTATATACATTTGCGACATGTGGTAAAAGGCCCTACTTTTTGGAGTCAGAAATTGTGCTCATTTCTGTATCTGCCACCTTGTAGCTGTTGGCTCTTGAACAACAACTAAGCCTCTACTTTGAACATCAATTTTCTCAGTAAAATGAGGGAACTAGACTAAATAGTTGCCAAAATTCTTAGTCCACACACACACACACACACACACACCCATTTTGTACTTCTAAAGACACTGGAAAGAAGTTTACGGATGGAGGAGGAGCCAAGATGGCCGAATAGGAACAGCTCCGGTCTACAGCTCCCAGCGTGAGCGACGCAGAAGACGGGTGATTTCTGCATTTCCATCTGAGGTACCGGGTTCATCTCACTAGGGAGTGCCAGACAGTGGGCGCAGGCCAGTGTGTGTGCGCACCGTGCGCGAGCCGAAGCAGGGCGAGGCATTGCCTCACCTGGGAAGCGCAAGGGGTCAGGGAGTTCCCTTTCCGAGTCAAAGAAAGGGGTGACGGACGCACCTGGAAAATCGGGTCACTCCCACCCGAATATTGCGCTTTTCAGACCGGCTTAAGAAACGGCGCACCACGAGACTATATCCCACACCTGGCTCAGAGGGTCCTACGCCCACGGAATCTCGCTGATTGCTAGCACAGCAGTCTGAGATCAAACTGCAAGGCGGCAACGAGGCTGGGGGAGGGGCGCCCGCCATTGCCCAGGCTTGCTTAGGTAAACAAAGCAGCCGGGAAGCTCGAACTGGGTGGAGCCCACCACAGCTCAAGGAGGCCTGCCTGCCTCTGTAGGCTCCACCTCTGGGGGCAGGGCACAGACAAACAAAAAGACAGCAGTAACCTCTGCAGACTTAAGTGTCCCTGTCTGACAGCTTTGAAGAGAGCAGTGGTTCTCCCAGCACGCAGCTGGAGATCTGAGAACGGGCAGACTGCCTCCTCAAGTGGGTCCCTGACCCCTGACCCCCGAGCAGCCTAACTGGGAGGCACCCCCCAGCAGGGGCACACTGACACCTCACACGGCAGGGTATTCCAACAGACCTGCAGCTGAGGGTCCTGTCTGTTAGAAGGAAAACTAACAACCAGAAAGGACATCTACACCGAAAACCCATCTGTACATCACCATCATCAAAGACCAAAATAGATAAAACCACAAAGATGGGGAAAAAACAGAACAGAAAAACTGGAAACTCTAAAACGCAGAGCGCCTCTCCTCCTCCAAAGGAACGCAGTTCCTCACCAGCAACAGAACAAAGCTGGATGGAGAATGATTTTGACAAGCTGAGAGAAGAAGGCTTCAGACGATCAAATTACTCTGAGCTACGGGATAACATTCAAACCAAAGGCAAAGAAGTTGAAAACTTTGAAAAAAATTTAGAAGAATGTATAACTAGAATAACCAATACAGAGAAGTGCTTAAAGGAGCTGATGGAGCTGAAAACCAAGGCTCGAGAACTAAGTGAAGAATGCAGAAGCCTCAGGAGCCGATGCGATCAACTGGAAGAAAGGGTATCAGCAATGGAAGATGAAATGAATGAAATGAAGCGAGAAGGGAAGTTTAGAGAAAAAAGAATAAAAAGAAATGAGCAAAGCCTCCAAGAAATATGGGACTATGTGAAAAGACCAAATCTACGTCTGATTGGTGTACCTGAAAGTGATGTGGAGAATGGAACCAAGTTGGAAAACACTCTGCAGGATATTATCCAGGAGAACTTCCCCAATCTAGCAAGGCAGGCCAACGTTCAGATTCAGGAAATACAGAGAACACCACAAAGATACTCCTCGAGAAGAGCAACTCCAAGACACATAATTGTCAGATTCACCAAAGTTGAAATGAAGGAAAAAATGTTAAGGGCAACCAGAGAGAAAGGTCGGGTTACCCTCAAAGGAAAGCCCATCAGACTAACAGCGGATCTCTCGGCAGAAACCCTACAAGCCAGAAGAGAGTGGGGGCCAATATTCAACATTCTTAAAGAAAAGAATTTTCAACCCAGAATTTCATATCCAGCCAAACTAAGCTTCATAAGTGAAGGAGAAATAAAATACTTTATAGACAAGCAAATGCTGAGAGATTTTGTCACCACCAGGCCTGCCCTAAAAGAGCTCCTGAAGGAAGCGCTAAACATGGAAAGGAACAACCGGTACCAGCCGCTGCAAAATCATGCCAAAATGTAAAGACCATCGAGACTAGGAAGAAACTGCATCAACTAATGAGCAAAATCACCAGCTAACATCATAATGACAGGATCAAATTCACACATAACAATATTAACTTTAAATATAAATGGACTAAATTCTGCAATTAAAAGACACAGACTGGCAAGTTGGATAAAGAGTCAAGACCCATCAGTGTGCTGTATTCAGGAAACCCATCTCACGTGCAGAGACACACATAGGCTCAAAATAAAAGGATGGAGGAAGATCTACCAAGCCAATGGAAAACAAAAAAAGGCAGGGGTTGCAATCCTAGTCTCTGATAAAACAGACTTTAAACCAACAAAGATCAAAAGAGACAAAGAAGGCCATTACATAATGGTAAAGGGATCAATTCAACAAGAGGAGCTAACTATCCTAAATATTTATGCACCCAATACAGGAGCACCCAGATTCATAAAGCAAGTCCTCAGTGACCTACAAAGAGACTTAGACTCCCACACATTAATAATGGGAGACTTTAACACCCCACTGTCAACATTAGACAGATCAACGAGACAGAAAGTCAACAAGGATACCCAGGAATTGAACTCAGCTCTGCACCAAGCAGACCTAATAGACATCTACAGAACTCTCCACCCCAAATCAACAGAATATACATTTTTTTCAGCACCACACCACACCTATTCCAAAATTGACCACATACTTGGAAGTAAAGCTCTCCTCAGCAAATGTAAAAGAACAGAAATTATAACAAACTATCTCTCAGACCACAGTGCAATCAAACTAGAACTCAGGATTAAGAATCTCACTCAAAGCCGCTCAACTACATGGAAACTGAACAACCTGCTCCTGAATGACTACTGGGTACATAACGAAATGAAGGCAGAAATAAAGATATTCTTTGAAACCAACGAGAACAAAGACACCACATACCAGAATCTCTGGGATGCATTCAAAGCAGTGTGTAGAGGGAAATTTATAGCACTAAATGCCTACAAGAGAAAGCAGGAAAGATCCAAAATTGACACCCTAACATCACAATTAAAAGAACTAGAAAAGCAAGAGCAAACACATTCAAAAGCTAGCAGAAGGCAAGAAATAACTAAAATCAGAGCAGAACTGAAGGAAATAGAGACACAAAAAACCCTTCAAAAACTCAATGAATCCAGGAGCTGGTTTTTTGAAAGGATCAACAAAATTGATAGACCGCTAGCAAGACTAATAAAGAAAAAAAGAGAGAAGAATCAAATAGACACAATAAAAAATGATAAAGGGGATATCACCACCGATCCCACAGAAATACAAACTACCATCAGAGAATACTACAAACACCTCTACGCAAATAAACTAGAAAATCTAGAAGAAATGGATACATTCCTCGACACATACACTCTCCCAAGACTAAACCAGGAAGAAGTTGAATCTCTGAATAGACCAATAACAGGCTCTGAAATTGTGGCAATAATCAATAGTTTACCAACCAAAAAGAGTCCAGGACCAGATGGATTCACAGCCGAATTCTACCAGAGGTACAAGGAGGAACTGGTACCATTCCTTCTGAAACTATTCCAATCAATAGAAAAAGAGGGAATCCTCCCTAACTCATTTTATGAGGCCAGCATCATTCTGATACCAAAGCCGGGCAGAGACACAACCAAAAAAGAGAATTTTAGACCAATATCCTTGATGAACATTGATGCAAAAATCCTCAATAAAATACTGGCAAACCGAATCCAGCAGCACATCAAAAAGCTTATCCACCATGATCAAGTGGGCTTCATCCCTGGGATGCAAGGCTGGTTCAATATACGCAAATCAATAAATGTAATCCAGCATATAAACAGAGCCAAAGACAAAAACCACATGATTATCTCAATAGATGCAGAAAAAGCCTTTGACAAAATTCAACAACCCTTCATGCTAAAAACTCTCAATAAATTAGGTATTGATGGGATGTATTTCAAAATAATAAGAGCTATCTATGACAAACCCACAGCCAATATCATACTGAATGGGCAAAAACTGGAAGCATTCCCTTTGAAAACTGGCACAAGACAGGGATGCCCTCTCTCACCGCTCCTATTCAACATAGTGTTGGAAGTTCTGGCCAGGGCAATCAGGCAGGAGAAGGAAATAAAGGGTATTCAATTAGGAAAAGAGGAAGTCAAATTGTCCCTGTTTGCAGACGACATGATTGTTTATCTAGAAAACCCCATCGTCTCAGCCCAAAATCTCCTTAAGCTGATAAGCAACTTCAGCAAAGTCTCAGGATACAAAATCAATGTACAAAAATCACAAGCATTCTTATACACCAACAACAGACAAACAGAGAGCCAAATCATGGGTGAACTCCCATTCACAATTGCTTCAAAGAGAATAAAATACCTAGGAATCCAACTTACAAGGGATGTGAAGGACCTCTTCAAGGAGAACTACAAACCACTGCTCAAGGAAATAAAAGAGGACACAAACAAATGGAAGAACATTCCATGCTCATGGGTAGGAAGAATCAATATCGTGAAAATGGCCATACTGCCCAAGGTAATTTACAGATTCAATGCCATCCCCATCAAGCTACCAATGACTTTCTTCACAGAATTGGAAAAAACTACTTTAAAGTTCATATGGAACCAAAAAAGAGCCCGCATTGCCAAGTCAATCCTAAGCCAAAAGAACAAAGCTGGAGGCATCACACTACCTGACTTCAAACTATACTACAAGGCTACAGTAACCAAAACAGCATGGTACTGGTACCAAAACAGAGACATAGATCAATGGAACAGAACAGAGCCCTCAGAAATAATGCCGCATATCTACAACTATCTGATCTTTGACAAACCTGAGAAAAACAAGCAATGGGGAAAGGATTCCCTATTTAATAAATGGTGCTGGGAAAACTGGCTAGCCATATGTAGAAAGCTGAAACTGGATCCCTTCCTTACACCTTATACAAAAATCAATTCAAGATGGATTAAAGATTTAAACGTTAAACCTAAAACCATAAAAACCCTAGAAGAAAACCTAGGCATTACCATTCAGGACATAGGCGTGGGCAAGGACTTCATGTCCAAAACACCAAAAGCAATGGCAACAAAAGACAAAATTGACAAATGGGATCTAATTAAACTAAAGAGCTTCTGCACAGCAAAAGAAACTACCATCAGAGTGAACAGGCAACCTACAACATGGGAGAAAATTTTCGCAACCTACTCATCTGACAAAGGGCTAATATCCAGAATCTACAATGAACTCAAACAAATTTACAAGAAAAAAACAAACAACCCCATCAAAAAGTGGGCGAAGGACATGAACAGACACTTCTCAAAAGAAGACATTTATGCAGCCAAAAAACACATGAAGAAATGCTCATCATCACTGGCCATCAGAGAAATGCAAATCAAAACCACTATGAGATATCATCTCACACCAGTTAGAATGGCAATCATTAAAAAGTCAGGAAACAACAGGTGCTGGAGAGGATGCGGAGAAATAGGAACACTTTTACACTGTTGGTGGGACTGTAAACTAGTTCAACCATTGTGGAAGTCAGTGTGGCGATTCCTCAGGGATCTAGAACTAGAAATACCATTTGACCCAGCCATCCCATTACTGGGTATATACCCAAATGAGTATAAATCATGCTGCTATAAAGACACATGCACACATATGTTTATTGCGGCACTATTCACAATAGCAAAGACTTGGAACCAACCCAAATGTCCAACAATGATAGACTGGATTAAGAAAATGTGGCACATATACACCATGGAATACTATGCAGCCATAAAAAATGATGAGTTCATATCCTTTGTAGGGACATGGATGAAATTGGAAACCATCTCTCAGTAAACTATCGCAAGAACAAAAAACCAAACACCGCATATTCTCACTCATAGGTGGGAATTGAACAATGAGATCACATGGACACAGGAAGGGGAATATCACACTCTGGGGACTGTGGTGGGGTCGGGGGAGGGGGGAGGGATAGCATTGGGAGATATACCTAATGCTAGATGACACATTAGTGGGTGCAGCGCACCAGCATGGCACATGTATACATATGTAACTAACCTGCACAATGTGCACATGTACCCTAAAACTTAGAGTATAATAAAAAAAAAAAAAAAAAAGAAGTTTACGGATAAAAGAATGAGAAGTAGACTGACATTGTACTTTTCATTAACGTGTTGAATGCCTAAAGAATGGAAGGAAAATAAGCTTAAAATTTTGAATCTATGATAAAGAAAACTATTGATTAACCATATGCATATTTGACATTAAAATAATTCATAATTAGGACTAACAGATTTCTGGCTTAAAAAATCTAACAATTACTTTAAGAAGCAAAAGACATTTCCAGAATAAAGTAGGGGGATATATAGAAAAGTTGGTACCTTTTTTAAACAGAGTCTTCTTTTGTAAGGAAGTAGAATTTATTCATCAAAGGAGATTTATGAAAAGTATGGTGGTATAGTGAGTGGCCTCACTAGTTTTAATGATTGATATTTGAATATAGCTTAGTCTTATAACAACTCCCCAAATAAAAATTTAAAATTCATTTGTATCCCTTTGATTTTCAGTGCTAAAAACTAGATTGTGAATGTCAAGGAAATATTTAAGTTATTTCTGAACTAATGTATTTGTAGAGAGAAGAAGGGAGTGTGCACGTGATCGAGAATTATGTTTTGAAAATAAATGAATGATTGGCTATTAAAAAAATTTTTAAGCCTTAAAAAAAAAAAAAAAAGACACTGTATAAATGTTAGTTGTTTGAGCATTTTTGTATATACGTGTATGTCCACACACATATACACAACATTTTAAAATAACATCAGTTATTTTCCCTCTTTTATGTTTTTATTTTCCTAATAATTCATACCAGTGATGTAAGATAGTGGTACCCAGACCCCATAATCTAAGAGGAATTTGTTGCCATTTGAACAAGGAATGTGTTGCCTCATTCATATTTTCAAAAGGATATAAATACATTGTTGTATATCTTTAGGGGAAATATATATTCAGTATTTTAACCAGAGTTCTCACTGCTGTGTTCCCACATTGTTAATATCAGGTAGTTTGCCTAGATGTTCACAGTAGAAGTACAGGGATGTAGAAACATGGTCTTTCTTCCCAAAGAAGTCATTTTTCTTTAAAATTTGTGAAATAAATGAATTAATTGAGTCAGCCTTTAACATAGTAATCCATTTTGCATTATTCAGCTTTGATTGAAAGAGACAGAGAAAATATGTTTTGTCGGGGGGTGGGGAGAATGGGAGATAGAGATTTCTCAGAATTAACAGGGTGCTCTATAGCTCAATAAGAGGCCCTGTATATACAGCAGGATAGATTTGTAGTTAGTTAAGGAAATCTTAAGTCTAAAGGTTGTAATTCCCTTAGAATTCCTGTAAGTTAATTGTTTTTCCCCCACTGTAATGCATACCCTTGAAAGGCAGGAACCTTCTGTTTATCATTGTATCCCAAGGGCCTATCATAAGCACCTGGTAACCAATAAATGTTGAACTGATATATGAAATTTTCCTGATCTTAGAGATTAAGTATTATCCTCATGGTCTAGGGGAATAAAACATCCACACGTCCAAACCATAGTAATTCTGTTTCCATATTCTGCTATCTATGGGTTTCATTATTTTAAGTATTCTAAACTTACAGAGAGCAAGACTAATACTTTAAAATTTTATTTTGGTCTATAGGGAAAAAAAAAGGTTATTTGAGTTTGGTGACTGTGTCCATCACTTTGGTTTACCACTGAATTCACAGCAGATACTAAGAAGTATCTGCATTGTTTTGTTTGGTTTGGTTGGGTTTTTAAAACAGGGTCTTGCTGTGTCACCCAGGCTGGAGTGCAGTGGCATGATCATAGCCCACTGCAACCTCAAACCCAGAGTGAATGGATCTTCCTGCCTCAGCCTCCCAAGAAGCTGGGACTTCAGGAATGCACCATTTGTGCCTGGCTAATTTTTATTTTTTTATTTTTTGTAGACATGGGATCTCACTGTATTGCCCAGGCTGGTCTTGAACTCTTAGCCTCAGGTGACCCTCCTGCCTCTGTCTCCTGAGTAGCTGCAATCACTTAATCCTTTAATAGTCCCACCAATCTATTATTATCTCTGTTTGACAACTTATGAAACTGAGGTCAGATAGGGCAAATGCAGTCATGCACCATATAACAACGTGTCAGTCAACAACAGACCACATATATAGTGGAGATCCAATAAATTATAATAACATATTTTTACAGTACTTTTCTGTATTTAGACACACAAATACTTGCCATTATGTTACAGTACTGTACTACATAGGCAACTATGCTATTCAGTACAGTAACATGCTGTAGAGGTTTGTAGCCTAGGAGCAATAGGCTATACCATAGAGCCTAGGTGTATAGCAGACTGTACAATCTAGGTTTTTGTAAGTATACTCTATGAAGTTTGCACAGCAACGAGATCACTTAACAATACATTTCTCAGAACGTATGCCCATTGTTAAGCAAAGCGAGACTGTAATTGACCTAAGGTCACACAGTTAACAAGTAGTGAGGTTTTAAACTAAGGCCTTTGACCAGTGCTCTTGATCATTACAGAGTGGTACCAACATGGTAGCATAAGCTTTAAGAGGAGGGAAAACTTGGTTCCCGTGGCTTTATCAGGGAAGACTTCTTAGAGGAGGTAGCAGTTAAGCTAGCCCTTAAAGAATAAGTCTTATCTTGAACTGAATGTATGCTAGAGTCAGAATTATAGAGGATTAGATTCAGAATAAAAGGCCATCTGTTTCAAGTTCCTAATTTGCAGAGGAGAAAACTGGGATCTGTGAGGTTAAATAACTTGT
This sequence comes from Homo sapiens, assembly GCF_000001405.40. Taxonomy (NCBI): domain Eukaryota; kingdom Metazoa; phylum Chordata; class Mammalia; order Primates; family Hominidae; genus Homo; species Homo sapiens. Next base: position 70,206,079 of record NC_000007.14, read on the forward strand.
TGTAGGACATATGGCTAATTAAGTGGCATTAGAACTGTTCTCTTCCCTCCTCTATCCTGTGTTATTCCCTGTCCCCCTCCGTTAATGCACACTAGCTCATGTTAAGTCTGTTTTTTCATCAACACTTTCTAATAAGAGTTCCTAAAAACATTTTACAGCTTGAAAGTGGAGGCTTTCTTGTGTATCTATGTATGGTGATGAGGTTAAACCAGGAAAGGGTCAGGGCAGGCATGGAAGGAGATACTAGAGATACGTGGAGACATGGAGAGACAGACCTTTTCTATCTGTTTTTTGTTTTTTTTTCCTAGCATTTTACTTTATTGTTACATCTGTTTCCTTCCATAAGTATAGATAATTGAGTGTTGAGAGAAAGGGGACAAATGAAATTCTAATGAGAAAAAAATGATTTAAAATTCCACAAAATCTATGGAATTTCAGCCTCTTAAGTAACCTGGGATGTTTTTAACTTTCACTAATGTTTATTAGCCAGTGTCCTTCCTGCCACCCACCTACAAGGATGTCTCAAGGATGAAATGAGGTCATATATGTGAATACACACTTAGGATACAACTGCCATGTATTGGCAGTCTTGTCTGTTCCCTGGGCCTACACTGTTCCTTGCCTCAAAATGTAGTACTATCAGGTAGTGTTGATGTTTCATTAGCCAAGTGGTTATATCAGATTTATGTACTGCTAAACAATTGATCTGGGACTTGGGTAAATACTCATTGGAAAAACATTTGTTGTATTCTGAGTGCTCCCTGTTAATCTTCTCCTCCTCAGATAGCAAGCTAGATCTGGGACTTAAGGTGGATTTTTTTCCTTATTTTTTTTTCCTTTGTTTTACCCAATGATTGAAAATATAAAACTAAACCTTTTTCAGTAAAGTCTGAATCAGCAGATACTTACATTACTTTGGCATAGGCTTTTTATAGACTAGCTAGAAGAATACAGTAATTAGCATATGCATTTCCTCATTAAAATGTCATTAGTGAAGGCTTTGTTCTTTTAAGGTCCTTCAAATAAGGTTTATTGCATTGCATTCCATCACTAATATTTTACCAGGAGTCAGATATCTTACTTAGGTGTGTTGAAGCAAGGGTTACTTTGGACTTTCTATAGGGTAATGACCTAAGAGCAGACCTGGACACACATAAATCTCTATGCTTACATTGGGTGGGCCCTACTTTATGTACTAGTAATAATTACCAGTCTCTTCTCACACTGTCCATTCAGAATCCTTTGGATATATAGACATTTAGCAAACCTAGACTTGTTTGAAAGAATAAACTGTTATCTGCACTAAACTGTTTTCCTTGGTTATCTTGGTAGGATTTGATTTGAAAAAAATGTATGAAGAATTAGAAGAAAAGAAATTTATAATGTACTATAATCATTTGAGATACAGTATTATGCAGGAGTAAGAATACAGGCTTTAGAATCAGACCATTGAGGATTCAAATTCTTGCTTCATCATTTACTGGTTGTGTAACTTTGTGATACTTAGCCTTTATAAACCTCAATTGTCTGAATGTAATACGGAAATATGAGTGGTCCATACCTTATAGGAATGTTTGAGAATTCAGTTAGATTATGCATGTAAAGTATTTAGCACTGCTGCCTGGAATATATGATCTATTATTACATTACCGGCTGGGCATGGTGGCTCACGCCTGTATTCCCAGCACTTTGGGAGGCCGAGGAGGGTGGATCACCTGAGCTCAAGGGTTTGAGACCAGCCTGACCAACATGGTGAAACCCCATCTCTACTAAATATAAAAAATTAGCCGGGCATGGTGGTGCATGCCTGTAATCCCAGATACTTGGGAGGCTGAGGCAGGAGAATCGCTTGAACCCAGGAGGCAGAGGTTGTAGGGAGTCGAGATTGCGCCATTGCACTCCAGCCTGGGCAACAAGAGTGAAACTCCATCTCAAAAAAAAAAAAAAAAAAAAAAACCAACAAAAAATTATCTTTATAATAGAAAAAAGGAGTGTGTGTATTTTCATATGTATTGTATCTGCTTTCTACACATCTTTGACTTAAGAAATCCTAACATGAAATTTCAAAACAAGTAAGAAGGTATTTAAGGAGTGGTCATTAATATCATTAATTGGCTTAAGGCAAACTTTCTTTAAAAAGTCACACACATGGTGTATTCAAAATAAACTACTTCACTTAATCATTTTAACATTTCTGCTATGCAGCGTGACTAGCAACTTGAAGGAGCAAGTTAGGAAATGCCTTTGATGACCCCATGACATCACTATGTTATTAAATAACTGGAAATAAACTGAAAATTATGGGATAGTCTTTAAGGCTTTCATGACATTTCAGCATTTTAGGGTTGCAGTATTCCAAGGACTTTTAGAGTAATTGCATGTCATCCTTTGTGTGTTGTGGGCAAATTTGGGTTAGCTAAAAGTTGGTCAGTTAAAAAAAATTTATATTAAGCATCTACTCTGAGCCAGGCATTGTTCTTTTTTGCTGTGAATATAGTGCTGAACAAGAACAGAAGCCTTGCTGTCAAAGACGTAACATTCCAGGGTAAGAAAATAGATAACTCATAAAGAAGGAAATGATTAATTCAGATACTTGTGAGGCTATGGAGAAGATAACCTAGGCTAACGTGATAGAGATGGGTGGTGAGGATGTGAGTTAAGGGGAGGCCTTTTGCAGGTTGTTGGGAGGAGATGCAAGTGTTCCAAGCAGAAGAAAGAAGAAGTACAAAGTCCCTGATACACTAACAATCTTGGTGTGTTCAAGGGACAGGAAAAAGGCCGGTGTGGCTGGAATTTGGTGTTCAAAGCAAGAGAGGAGAGATAAAGGAAGATGAGTCATGCAGAGCCTTTTGAAGGCTGTGGGTAAAATGTATGTTATACGGAACTTAGTTCTAAATCTAGTTGCAGTGGATTAACCTGGAGAGTGATGCAAACTGAGTTTTACTCTGGAAAAACACTGTGACTGTTGTGTGGAGAATATGCTCCCAAGTGTAGAAACTAGATCACCTTGCATGGGCCAAGAGAGATGGTGGTAGTTTAAGACTAGGATTGTAGCAGTGAAATGTAAAGTGGTTGCATTCGGACATATTTTGGATAGAGATTTGACAGGAGGTAGGTGGATTGGACATGGGATGTAAAGTAAAAAGAGGAAGCAAGGATGACTTCCAGGAGTTTAGCTTGAGCAGCTGGATGGCTGATATCATGTGTAGGCATAGGGAAAGGTTGTATGAGGAAGAATTTATAGGGTGTGAGGGTGTGAAGCAGGGAATAATTTTGTTTTGACATGTTATGAAAGAAATGCCAATTGACGGCTAAGAAAAGATGTCATCTGGGCAGGTAAAGAATCTAGGAGATTGGGAAAATGTCCAGCGTGGAGGTATAAATGTGAAAACCATCAGCATATGGGATTGAAAGCTATGGGGCTGTTTGGATTCCCTAGGAAGAGAATATAAATAAAGAAGGGGGCTGAGAACAGAGTCTCATTTATAATATCCTGATAAGGAAGAAGACCCAGTGAAGGAGATGAAGAAGGAGAAGCCAGTGATGTAACACAAGCATGGATCATGGCAAAAGAGAAAAAGGTGTTTCATAAACAAGGATGCTTGGTATGGCCACCTGTGTCAGTACTGTGAAGTTGAATATGATCAGGACAAATAATATTAATTGGGGCTTTATATTTCTCCTTTACTACAACCGATTAATGAAACAAAAAATTAACCTAGCACCCAAGGTGTTTCTTATAGTTGGTCTCTCCAGTCTGTTTTAGTATCATTTGTTAGTTATTTCCCCAAACTAATGTTTAGCTTCTTTCTCCAAAAAGAATATATTTTTTTTCCTGGTTCTGCTTGTTGGAATCCCCCCCTCCACCATGATATAAAAGTAATGGGGCTTATTGTAAGAAAACAGAAAATACAAGAAAATAAGGGACAAGATTTTTAAAAATGGATTCAATTCTGGGAACAACAAATGACATTGGGGTATAGGAATTAAACCGTGTGCATTCTGTCTCTCACCCCAATTTTATAGTCATTTGCTGGGGACCTTTTCTCCCCAGGGTACTTGCATAGCTTTTGTCAAGAATAACCCTTCTCACTTCCCCACCTCCTTCTTCTACATGCAGATGCAGCACTTTTCTGGGTAAAGTTTTAGCAATGCCTTCCTTCTAAAATGAAAGCATTTTCTCCTCACGATTAGCATCTGTTTATAGAATAGTTCGTATTTTCGTAATTAGATCCTGCATAGAAATGCAAAGGCTGCTGTGTAAAAGGATAATGAATCTTTATTGCACAGTTGAAATCAGATTTGTGCAAAAGGCACTTTGAAAACAGTAATAAGCAGAGACATGTATTAAATCACCCAGATAAGGCACCCACTTTATATTTTCTATTTATAAATGGAAATTATGACTACCCAGTGGATTCCATATGACATTTCCTATTACCAGCAAAGGTTTTTAGCTTTGACCATAAAAGTTATCTAAATTCAAAAGCCTCTGTGGATTCATGGCTCTAAGAATACTTCTGGAAGGGGCCAAGACAGAGTGGAAAGGGTCCTTTGTCTTTTTCTTTTGTGTGTGTATGCACTCTGCAGAGGGGAAGGTTAGCAAGTGGTAGAAGAAAGAAGCCATTTGAAATAACCATGATAAGATCTAATCAGGAAACCCAGTGTCCATTACACACATGTGGTAACATTTTAAGACTCTTCTGGTTGGGCTCCTTGAGAACCAAGCTCGTGTTCTTATAAGCTCATCCTTATATTTTCCCATTGTATGCATCGTTGCATGGCAAACACAGGATTTATTCCCAAGCTAAACCTGTCTCTTGGGGTTTCTTATCTTTTACCTCCTTGGTGAGCCTCGGGAAGCTAGAGCATTGCTCTATGGAGAAAGGAGGGTGGCATTGGGAGGAAGGGTAGGAAAAACATTATTGGGAAGCAGAGAAAGTCAATGTCAAATGAACTGCCAAGGATGAATATTATGGCTGCTGGGAGCCTCGGAGAGTATCGTGTGTCTTATGTGTCTATTTCACAGTCGGTGCTTCATGTGAGATGGCAGTCTCGCCTGGACCGTGCTTAGTATCGATTTACTCTCAGGCATGCCAGACCATTTTAGCATTGCTGAAGGAAGGAAATCCTATGTATTTCCCCTTATAAACAGACATATCAAAAGTGTATCTTTTAAACCTTTTTCTTTCTGTCTTCTTACTGTTCTTTCTGTCTTACTGTAACTCCTCCTCCCTCCCTGATTTAAAAGAATTTTTTTTTTTTTTTTTAAAAGAAAAAAGACTTTCTGGCCGGGCGCGGTGGTTCACGCCTATAATCCCAGCACTTTGGGAGGCAGAAGCGGGCGGATCACGAGGTCAGGAGATTAAGACCATCCTGATTAACATGGTGAAACCCCGTCTCTACTAAAAATACAAAAAATTAGCCGGATGTGGTGGTGGGCGCCTGTAGTCCCAGCTACTCGGAAGGCTGAGGCAGGAGAATGGCGTCAACCTGGGAGGCGGAGGTTGCAGTGAGCCGAGATCGCGCCACTGCACTCCAGCCTGGGTGACAGAGCGAGACTCTGTCTCAAAGAAAAAAAAAGAAAAAAAGAAAAAAGACTTTCTTATTAAGAGAGCATTATACAGGCCAGGCGCGGTGGCTCATGCCTGTAATCTCAGCACTTTGGGAGGCCGAGGCAGGTGGATCACGAGGTCAGGAGATCGAGACCATCCTGGCTAACATGGTGAAATCCCGTCTCTACTAAAAATACAAAAAATTAGCGGGGCGTGATGGCGGGCGTCTGTAGTCCCAGCTACTCGGGCGGCTGAGGCAGGAGAATGGAGTGAGCCTGGGAGGCGGAGCTTGCAGCGAGCTGAGATCTCACCACTGCACTCCAGCCTGGGCAACAGAGCGAGACTCCGTCTCAAAGAGAGAGAGAGACAGCATTATACAGAGAACAAATTGAGTAGACTTTTTTAGAATGATAGAGTGTCAGTAACTACTCATACCTGTGGGGGAAAGAAAAAGGCTTCAAACTTTGCACACTTCTAGCCCTTCCATGAAAATAGAAGGACCTTATTTGAGGCTAGTTTTGTGGTGGTGGGATCTGAGCACTGCTGAGTGTTAACAAAAGGGAATAAATTGATGCCAAATTTAGAGACCAAAAATGCCATCATTTTCACCTGCCTGAACTCTTCTGTTGTTTTCCCTAGTTGCTGCCTTGCGCTTTTTCCGCAGTACAGGGAGAGAAATCAGTTGTCTGGCTGTCTAAACTCACGGCATCTGCTTAGCAGTTTCACCAGCTCATAGTTGGGACTCATCCCTCTGTCAGAATCCTTTGCTCCATTAGAAGGGAGACTGGGACCACGTTCCTGAATTGATTTGCATACTTCTACGTTACCTAGCTCAGACAACATATGGCCATGTGGAGCACTTGGATTTATTTCTGTTTCCTCAAATTAAATTCCTAAAAAATTGGATAACTCCACAGTTTGTTTGGTGTTACAAAAAATTTTAGTTCCTTTTTTGGTCGGCAAAGCAACACAATTTTGGCATTAAAAAAAAATCTCTGGATTACTTTAAAAAGAGTGTTGATTTGATTTGCTTCCCCTCTTCTCTTACCCCTTTCAGGAAAAAAAAAAATGTATGTTGAATCTTAAAACACTGCATCATGTTGCAAAATGTCCATTTAGGCACACTGAATAGAAAGTATCATCGAGTCATTTTTATTCTTGTAATTCAGTAATCTTGTATCTTTTGCCTTTTTCTTTTTCCTTAATGTTAATTGTGTAACTAAATGTCTCAAACTTGGGACTTTTCACTTTACACATCCATGTGTAAAAATACATAGATACATACAGTCAGATAGAAGAAATAAGACTCAGTGTTAATAGATCAGTGGTTGGGGTGGGGGAACTATACTTAACAATAGTATGTTGTACATTTCACAGTAGCCAAAAGAGAACAATTCAAATGTTCTTAACATAAAGAAAAGATAAATATATCAGGTGATAGGCATTCTAATTACTCTGATTTGATCTTCCCACATTATATAAATGTATCAAATTATCACGTACTCCCCATTAATAATACTGTATATCAACGAATTTTTTTAAAAAAAGAAATAGATATCATACAATGAATAACTGGATTAATGTGAAATGATAGAAAAAGTTACCATTTTAGGCTGGATGTGGTGACCCACGCCTGTAATACCAGTACTTTGTGAGTCTGAGGCAGTAGGATTGCTTGAGGCCAGGAGTTTGAGACCAGCCTGGTTAACGATACAAGACCCCCTTTCTAAAAAAAAAAAAAAAAAAGCCAAGTGCAGCAGCATATGCCTGTAGTCCCAACTACTGAGGGCATAGAGGTAGGAGGATCATGGATCACTGGATCACTTGAGGAGTTTGAAGTTGCAGGAAGCTATGATCCTATCACTGCACTCCAGCCGAGGTGACAGAGCAGCAAGACCCTGTCTCAAAAAAAAAAAAAAAAGTTACTATTTTAAATGCACTTCAACTTTGAACAGTACTAATGTATGAAAATCATCTTGTCTTCTTTAGGAAATTCTTTGTTGCCTAAATTAGGGATAGGTATCATACACTGGAATGAGCTCTAAAACGATGGCTCTTGCTATGGGAAACAGTTTTATTTGGGTACTCATGTCTTCTCTCTTAAGGGATCTTAGGAAGAGGCTACATGGTAAAGAAGAAATAGCATGGGCTTTAGAGTCAAGAGGCCTGAGTTTTAATTCTCAGGCTTTATTTGTCCTTCTGCAGTGGCCTTAGCAAATATTATAACCTCCCTAAAGTTAGAGTTATTGTAATTGTCGTACATACAATGTTATCATAAGAAAACAGTGAGATAACAGATATCAAAGTACCTGGGCAGTGTTTGACACTTGGTGGTCTATAAATATAAATATCATTTCATTCCTGAAGGTAACTGCAGCACTTTTGAAAGGCTGGTTTGATGCTAACACAGGAGGATTAGACCTAATTATATATTTCTAAGGTCTTAGAAATGGGGAGCTAGGTTTTTCAGACAATATACTGTATTTTGTTTTTCCTCCCTTTTGCTTTAAAACAGAAGGCAATTTGTTTCAAACTCTGTGCTCCAAACTGGTGGCTTAATTAGGCAAGTTTATTGACTGTCACAGAGGCTGTGGTTAAAAACTGGCAAATATCATGTGACTATATTAGTATCTCTGAGCAAATAAAGGGAAAAGACAGGATTCCACCCAACCACATTTTTTTCTTTCTCTTTTCTCCCAAGCTCATTCTTGCACTGCAACATTCCACTTATAATCTGTTAATTAAATCATTTCACTCCATTTTATATAATTTTTAATTTAGCATTCATTTTCAACTTAGCTTTTGGCTTCATTTACTGATAATAAACAGTGTTGCATACAACACATGTTCCACAAAACACTCAGTCACACACATACAGATGCCAATAATTTTTTCCAGTATGTCAGGCATATTAAAATTAAAGGCAGCATCTCCCCTCACCCTTTCCATTACTGAATGTGCACCCTGTTTGAATAATACATACTCCCCGACAGCCAGCAGTGGTCTAATGTGTAAAAATTATGTGTAGCGTGTCACTAGTACCTTTTTTTAAATTCGTGGTTTTCTCAGACATGCTCTGTGGAAGGTTTCTGGAATGGTCACTTCGATACCTTGGATCTGTATATTTGGCTTAATGTATACAAACAGTAATATTTTCTAGACTTATTACTTTATGGGTTTATAGCTATGTGATAGTTATTGAGAAAGAAAACTCTAGTGTAGCATTCAAATTACTTTTCTTGTAGCTTATTTTTTGAATCATAGTCTGAATTCTAAATATATGAATATCTTTAACCGTAGATGATATCCAGAAGTTTCCAAGACTGCAAGCTCAGGGGTTTATGGACCACTTTTAAAAGATAGATACTAAGCCAGGCACAGTGGCTCACGCCAGTAATGCCAGCACTTTGAGCAAGCAAGATGGACTGATCCCTTGAGGCCAGGAGTTCAAGACTAGCCTGGGCAACATACTGAGACCCCGTCTCTACAAAAAGTACAAAAATTAGCTAGGTGCGGTGACATCTTTTAGTCCTAGCTACTCAGGAGGCTGAGAGGAGAATCACTGGAGTCCAGGAGTTTGAGGCTGCAGTGAGGTATGATCATGCCACTGCAGTCCAGCCTGGGTAACAGAGTAAGACCCTTTCTCTAAAGAAAATAAAAATAAAACATAGATACCTGTGTTGTTGTTATAGCTGTTCATATCCTTAGAATTAATTTACCTTGTCTGCTCCTGCATATTATTTGTCTCCTCATAATTAGCAAAGTTCCACAGGGCCAGATATCACCAAATATGAATAGTAGATTTTATTCTAAGGTCAGTGAGAACTGAAGAATGTTAGGGGCTGACTCAATCAGATTTGTTTGTATTTATATTTGGAAAAATATTACTCTCCGGAGAATGTTTTGGAATGTTTGGCAGGGTGGTTGGAGAGACATACTACAGGAAAGAAATGATGGTAACTTAGTTGGCAGTGGGAAAAGTGAGTAGTGAATTACTCAGAGCTCTTTGGGGGTGAAATGGACTGGACTTATATCAGTTGAACTTGAGAAAAGGAGAAGCATCAAGGATGATGTAACTTTTAGGTTTCTGGCTTGAGCAGTTGTGTAGGTGGTAGTAATTTTTCATGGTGAAGATGATGAAATACTTTTTGTACCTGTCTCATGATTGCTTTCTGTACATCAAGGTCAGAGGTCATAAGCTCATAAAATGCTTGGTATTAGAATTCTTACATAAAGGATGTCTTCTGTTTTAGTTTAGTAATACAATTTGGCTTAAATCACAGACTTTCTCTAATCTTTGTTTTGATTGTCATCTGCCGAGAGCTTAAGACAGCAACTCACAGGTTGGCCCATTGAGAATCTGACAAATGAAAAATTATAAAAAAAATTCAGAATCCCTATATTGTAGCCCAACTTTCTTTAGCACTTCTATCCTTGAATGCTAGGGCAGTGTTGTATACTGTGAAGATCTTTGTAGATTTTTCTACTCTGTAACATTTTAATAGTTCCATTTTGGGGTATTACAGCTGTTCAGTCCTCCCCATACCTCAAATTATAGTTAGTCTCCTTCAAGTCCCAAATTTCCAGTGTACATATGTTTCATCTTATGTTTAATCTGGACAGAGTGTTGGAACGAAATATGGACCCTGAAAGGTGTATGACGGGCTTGAAGTCTCAGCCCTACTACTTGCTTAATGTTTGATTTGCTAATCCAAACAATTATAATCTGTTAATTAAATCATTTCACTCCATTTCATATAATTTTTAATTTAGCATTCATTTTCAACTTAGCAGATGCTCCTGGTGTCCCACCCATACCCCTCTTTCCCTTCCACTTTAGTTCACAATGGCCCTCCTTCCTCCCGCTAGGCCTTATATTCATTCATCTTCAGGGTTTGTCTAGTCAATGAATTCTGCTTTGCCTAAGGAGTAGGCAGGAAGTAGGTGAAATGAACTGCTACCTGAGCAACCCACAGTCAATGACTAATGAGAGTTGTTGTATAAATACACCAGCTTCCTTGCTTCTTAAGTGGGATAACTTTGAGGTATACATTCTACACTGGCTTCCGGAGTCCTCCCAGTGGCATTTGCTTCTAGTTGCCCATAGTGGTAGTTGGCTGAATAATTACATACCCTTTATTCCCTGTCTGCTGTCATGATCTTACTTTCCCAGTCTCCTGCTATTGTTTACCTCCTAAATAAACTTCTCATTGTCTGCTTCTGGGAGAACCCCAGACTAAGACAACCACTGCGAACATTGGTTTCCTCATCTTTATTTATTATTACTGTTTTTTGAGACAGAATCTTGCGCTGTCACCCAGGCTGGAGTGCAGTGGCACGATCTCAGCTCACTGTGACCTCCACCTCCCAGGTTCAAGCAATTTTCGTGTTTCTGTGGGACGTCTTACATAGGCGTATTTTTTTTTTCCGGCTACTACCACTATTTGGACTAATTATTCTGAAATTTTACTTGCCAAGTTTCAGCTTTTATTAGCAAGAAAAAATGTTATGTCCACAGTTTAGAATAAAATCACAGAGAAGAAAAGTTGGATGAGGATATTGGTTTGCAGTCTTCTGTCTGTGTTTCTGTCTTCTGAGCATTCACAGATGTTCCTATCCTTCTTTCCACTGGTGTTCACATAACCTGGGATCTTGTGTTGTATGCAGTCACTCTCAAGGTAGGAACTGGAAGATAAAGTATGTGGGTGACATGGACTACTTAGAAGGAAACTGAAGTTTACATGTTGAGCCCAATTAGAAGCAGCTGAAGAGAGGAGAGAAAAAATTAACTGAGAAGTTTAATAGGCACTTAGAGCATGGCGAATAAAGCTGAGTGGCACCCACTTTTCATTTCCTAGTTCATTCTAGTTGTGCTTTTTTAACTGCAAAGACTAAAAAACGAAAGCCTTTATTTCCCAGTCTGTCTTGCAGCTAGGATTCTGGGTGTGAATCAGGTATATTTGCTCAAGATTTGGAAGGTCGACATGAGGTAAAGGTTATTCATCTTCAGCTTTAGCTCTTTTTATCTGATTAGCCAGGGCAGGAGAAGTATGATTTTTCTGTGGTGATGTTTCAGTTTTCAACTCAGCTTCCTAGATGTTGAAAGGCAGTTATGATGCGATTTCCTGATCCCAGGTTGCAGCTTCGCTAGTGCATTTGTAGCTGGGCTGCTGCAACAATGGACTTCTGTTTATGGCAGAAGAAAGGCCATACTTTAACCTTGTCTAGTGATTTTTTGTAAGAGGTTGGTTCTCTGTATTAAATCACTTCCTACAGAAAATTTCTTAAGTGTTTTCTGGTTTTTGTTTGTTTGTTTGTTTGTTTTTACCAGAACCCTAACTGATATAGATGGTTGAAGCAAACTTTATGCTGTAAAGGTCCAGACCCAGATAAAAACGAGAGACAGGAAAGATGCAGCAAGATGGTCTGCAGGCCTGCCCATGCATACACTACTCCATGATCTGGTGTCTGCAAGAAAACAAAGCAACTGCTCATTAAGTAACAGGGCAGCTAATGCTTTAGCTCTTGAGGCCCTGTGTCATATAACTTCTAATTCCTCTAATTCATCCACCAAGGGGGCAGTGAGGCAGTTCTCTGTTTGAATGCTACATCGTTTCTGACTTAGTGCTTTGAAGTGGATGACATCTTACTTTTTTTTCTTATCTTAGAGATAAGGTGAACAGAGGAAAAGGAGAATGATTTGCCCAACCTTTGGCTAAAGGAGAAAGGAAAGATTTAGAGTCCAGTGCTTCTGACTTCCCTCTGATGCGGTAACAAGGATAATATGAGTATCTAATATGCTGGGGCACAGTAAGATGGCTCTGAAGGTATGCACAGTAGAGAAAGCCATGGTCCTTGCCCTCAGGGTCTGTGATCGGCCACTGAGGCACACATTTCCACTTCCTGTGTTCCATTAATTATGCTAATTTTCCAACAAGCCCCAGCCCCACCTCTGTCAATTATTTTTGTCTCAGCCTTCTAATTACAACATTATATGACCATTCAGACTGGTACTAATTAAATCATTACTTAATTCACAAAGTGTGCGATAATGCTAATGCTTCTTGTCAGCTGAAATTACAACATGGCACCTACTTTCTTCATTCTTGGTAGATGGGGCCAGGGGGTTGCTCTTTTACCAAACATCTTTTGCTTACCCTCTGATAGCCACCTGACCATCAGCCAGAACCTACCTTCTTCCAGAACTGGGAAAACAGTGCAGTAGACCTAGCGATATGTACCTGTAATTCATCACTATCATATGAAATCATCATCCCAGTTTTGTTTGTGGAGTAAATCTTGATACTCAAGAAAAAAAAATAGTAGTAAGATTTAGAGTACTATTTGCTACATTTTTTGTCATTTGTTCTGCGTATTATTTTTAACAGAGTAAACAGTAGCTTGTCTCTTTTTCTCATTTCTAAAACAGATTTGTTTTCCACTCAATTAGACTTGTGATCACGAGAACACAAAGTAGTATTTTTCTCCTTCTGGAGAGAGACATACCGTATGATGGGCAAATTGTCAGGAATAATTATACCAAATGATGGAATAAAATCCAATGGAAAACATCTCTCTCATTGCTAGTGATACATTTTTATTTAAGACACAATGAGCATCAAGCACATTTATGACAAGGTGAAATTGACAAGTGGCCCTCTGCCATGATTTTATTTTTAATTGCTAGTAAACTAATTAGCCAGAACAACATGTTGTATAATCCACAAAACTGTCGCTCATGCGTTCTCCAATAAAAGCAAGATATATGATGTGGAAAAGTTCTCTAAGAGCTAGCCAAAAAAAAAATTATTTCAGAATTTTGAGTGTATAGACATCACAGTAAAAGATGTCTCCTCACCAGTGGAAGAACATTTGTATATAACATTTGTTTTGAGATCTGAACAGAAATTAAGGACAAACAGTAAATTTTTTTCTTTTCCTTTTTTTTTTTTTTTTGAGAGAGAGTCTCGCTCTGTTGCCTAGGCTGGAGTGCAGTGGCATGATCTTGGCTCACTGCAGCCTCTGCCTCCCGGGTTCAAGCGATTCTCCTACCGCAGCCTCTCAAATAGCTGGGATTACAGGTGCTTACCACCATACCCAGCTAATTTTTGTATTTTTAGTAGAGACAGGGTTTCACCACATTGGTCAGGCTGATCTCGAACTCCTGACCTCTTGATCCACCCGCCTCGGCCTCCCAAAGTGCTGGGATTACAGGTGTGAGCCACTGTACCCAGCCTGTTTTTTCCCTTTTTAAGATCAAAGTATGCATCAAAATAGCCAACCACTTTCTTACATGTAATTAAGTTTTATGTAGTTGAGTCACATTAAGTCTAAGACATACATTCTAGGACTAAGACTTTACAGTCATTCAGTAGTTACTTATTTGTGCAAGGCTTGGCAACCTTTTCCTTTAAAGGGACAGATAATACATATTTTTGTCTTTGTGGGCTGTTCAGTCTTTGCCACAACCACTCAGCTCTGATGTAGAGCAGCCGCAGTCATAGATAACGCAAAAATAAATGTGGCAGTGTTCCAATAAAACTTTATTTATGGACACAAAAATTTGATTTTATGTAATTTTTATTTGTCACAAAAGATAATTCTTTGATTTTTTTCAATCATTTAAAAATATAAAAGCCATTCTTAGCTCATGGGTTATACAAAAGGCAGGGGTGTGGATTTGGCCTACAGGCTGTAGTTGCCAACCTTTCCTCTGTACCTGCTGCATGCCAGCGTCACTCCTCATTCTTTAGTATCAGACGTGTGTTAGGCAGGGTGCTAAGCATCGAGGGATATTCAGAGATAGAGCAAAGTCCCTTCCCTGATGAAGCTTACAGTTAAGCTAGAAAGGAACCATAGATGGGACAGAGACACATAATATTAGATGTTAAATGGTGTCCCTCTGTGACAAAAGCCACCATTGCTTTACAAGTTTAAGAGAGAGGGAAGTCACTTCAGCTGATTTAGGTGATCTGCTAAGTAAGACATGACCTGGCTAGCTACGGATGCATGGAAATGATGGGATATCAGCTGGATCCTGAAGAAAAAGGCTGTGGACCTTTGAAAAGGTAACAGGGCATAATGCCTCCTTTTAGAGGAAGGGGGAACTGAGGATGGCGAAAATGTCAACCATGAGTCACTTATTCCTATCATTTTTCCCCCAATTCTTTCTTTCATGTCTTCTCATGAAAATTTCAAACATATAGCAGTTTTAAAGAATGTTACAGTTAATACCCAAATACTCACCATATAGATTCTACCATTACTATTTTGCTATACTGTTTTATTGTATATCTATCCTATCCTCTTTTGTTTTAGAATTCTGGTCTCGCTCTGTCACCCAGGCTGGAGTGCAGTGGTCACTACAGCCTGCAACTGCTGGGCTCTGCCTCCTGAGTGGCCAGGACCCTATGTGTGTTTCACCACCATGTTTGGCTAATTGTAAATAATGTTTTGTAGAGATGAAGTCTCACTATGTTGCCCAGAGTGGTCTCAAACTCCTGGGCTCAAGCTGTCCCCCTGTCTCAGCCTCCTGCATTGTTGGGATTACAGGCATGAGCCACCACACCTGGCTGCTTTATTATATATCTGTCCTTCTGTCTATTCATTAATCCATTTTATTTTTGGTTTATTTTAAATTAAATTTCAGACATCAAGATACATTTTCATAAATATTTAAGCATGCATATCATTAACTAAAATTTAATGTTGGCTTATAGTTTTTCTTCTTTTGGTGTAAAATTTATATACAATTAATCGTACCAACATTAAATGTACATTCTCTGAGATTTGGAAAGGCTGATCCTTTTGTAGCCTAAATTGGAAGATACATAAAGTTTTCATCACCTCAGGAAGTTCCTTCTGTCAGTCCTTGCCCCCAGCCTACCCCTGGAGGAACCACTACTCTAATTTTCTCTGCTTTAGGTTAGTTTGCCTGTTCTAGAATTTCAGAGAAATGGAATCATACAGAACCTATCATTCGGTGACTCACGCCTGTATTCCCAGTACTTTGGGAGGCTGAGGTGGGCAGATCACCTGAGGTCAGGAGTTTGAGGCCAGCTTGGCCAACATGGCGAAACCTCGCCTCTACTAAAAATATAAAAATTAGCCGAGCGTGGTGGTGGGCATCTGTAATCCCAGCTACTCGGGAGGCTGAGGCCGGAGAATTACTTGAACCTGGGAGGCAGGGATTGCAGTGAGCCGAAATCATGCCATTGCACTCCAGCCTAGGTGACAAGAGCAGAACTGTGTCTCAAAAAAATAATAATAAATAAAGAATCTATCATTTGGGTTTGGCTTTTTATCATCATATATTTTGTCTTTACTTGCTTAGTATCTAGCAAGAATATAAATGCAATTATTTTGCCAGAGAAAAGTATATGTTTGATTAAGGAAAACATAAAATACAACTTTGTTTAAATATCTGTATGTATATTCTTAAATTATTGTAAAATTAAATTACCTATGGATTAAATTTTTCACATTAACATTACTTAG
Source organism: Homo sapiens (assembly GCF_000001405.40). NCBI lineage: Eukaryota > Metazoa > Chordata > Mammalia > Primates > Hominidae > Homo > Homo sapiens. The sequence goes on from NC_000007.14 coordinate 70,222,131, forward strand.
TCTATTATGCTCCAGCATTTTACATATTTATGTTATTTAATTAAAATCTTTGCAGTAGATATTTCCCATTTTGAAGAAGAGGAAACTAAGACAGCGAATAAAATAATAAACAATATTATTTCTTACCTCTTACTGTTGCCACTTCAGTGTCAGGGAGGAAGAGGGATAGCAAATGTAGGAAGGGTGTTTGCAAGGTGAGTGAAGGTGAAGCTGCTTTGTTACAAGTTTTCTTATCAAGAAATGGATAGAACATAGGAGTAGAGAAGTTCAATAGGAACATGCAAAATTTGTCTATTGTAAAAGAAGGAAGAAAACTGGAGAATTTAAGGACTATTTTTTAACATCTATGATTAAAATATTATGAAACAATATCTTTTTAAAAAGTGATATTTTTCCTCTAGTATAACACAAGTTGTTAGAAACTAAGGAATCACCCTATCTTCTTTAGTAAAAGCCTACAACTGGTAGAGTTTTTTTTTTTTTAAGGATCTCAAGATACTTCATGAACCTCAAAAGACTTTAAGTTCTCTGCAATGTTAGGAAATGACTTCATGAATATCACAGTTCAAGGTTCTGCTACTGCTTTTAGAAGCCCCCAAAGTGTGAAGACATCTAGTACAGTATACAGTAAGAGGAGAACTGGCTTTTATTGCTCACAATAGGAATGTTCCCATCTATCTGTTTGCAAACCAACTCATAAAATATTTGAATATTCTTCACTCTGCTTTATGATAATATTTCTTGGCTTGGAAATTTGCTTTTTTTTTTTTTTTTTGAGACAAAGTCTCGCCCTGTCACCCAGGCTGGAGTGCAATGGCGTGATCTCAGCTCACTGCAACCTCTGCCTCTTGGGTTCAGGCGGTTCTCCTGCCTCAGTCTCCTGAGTAGCTGGGATTACAGGTGCCCGCCACCACACCCGGCTAATTTTTTGTATTTTTAGTAGAGACGGGGTTTCACCATGTTGGCCAGGCTGGTCTTGAATTCCTAACCTTGTGATCCTCCTGCCTTGGCCTCCCAAAGTGCTGTGATTACAGGTGTGAGCCACTGCGCCTGGCTGAAATTTGCATTTTCATTAATAGATCATCCTTATTTAACAATGAACTTCCTATGTGTTTGTGACACATGGAAAATAAGTAGGCAGCATTTAATGTCATTTGGGAAGCAGTGCTTATAGTAGTTCGGTTTACATTCCTCATACAGCCATGTGCCGTATAGTGATGTTTCCATCAATGACTGCATATGCAACAGAGTCCCACGAGATTATAATGGAGCTGAAAAATTCCTATTGCCTCATGACATCATAGCCTGGTAAGGTTATAGTGCAACAAATTACTCTCACTTCTGTGCTGATGCTGGTGTAAACAAACCTACTGCGCTGCCAGTTGTATAAAAGTACAGCATATACAGTTATATACGGTATATAATACTTGATAGTAAAAGACTATGTTACTGGTTTATGTATTTACTATACTGTAATTTTACACTTATTTTAGTGTAGTCCTTCTACTAGTTAAAAAGAAAAAAGTTAACTTTAGAACATCTCAGGCAGGTTCTTCAGGAAGTATTTCAGAAGAGGCATTGTTATCATAGGGGATGGTAGCTCCATGCATGTTATTGCCCCTGAAGACCTTGCAGTGTGACAAGATGTGCAGCTGGAAGACAGTGTTATTGATGATCCTGTTCCTGTGTAGTCCTCGGCTAGTGTGCATGTTTGTATCTTTGTTTTTTTTTTTTTTTGGTTGGTTTGTTTCTTAGAAGGGGTCTTGCTATTTTGCCCAGGCTAGTCTTGAACTCCTGGGCTCAGTGGTCCTCTTACCTCAGCCTCCCAAGTATCTGGGATTACCCACATGCACCACTGCACCTGTCTGTGTCATAGTTTTTAACAAAAACATTTATAAAGTAGGCCATGTGCAGTGGCTCACGCCTGTAATCCCAACATTTTAAGAGGCTGAGGCAGGTGGATCACTTGAGCCCAGGAGTTCAAGATCAGCCTGTGCAATGTGGTGAAATCTTGTCTCTACAAAAAATACAAAAATTAAGTGGGCATGATGGTGTGTGCCTGTAGACTCAGCTACTCTGGAAGCTGAGGTGTGAGGATCACTTGAGCTCAGGAAGTAGAGGCTGCAGTGAACTGAGATAGTGCCACTGCTATCCAGAGTGAAGCCCTGTCTCAAAGTATAATACAATACAATACAGTACAGTACAATACAATACAATACAATACAATACAATACAATACAATACAATACAATACAATACAATACAATACAATATAATACCATACAATACAATTTAATAAAAGAAAGGTTATAGAATATGGATATAAAGGAAGAAAGTATTTTTATACAGCTGTACATTTTTAAGCTAAATGTTATTAAAAAGGATTCAAAATTTGAACAATATATAAAGTAAAAAACATTACAGTAGGCTAAGGTTAATTTGTTATTGAAGAAAGAAATTTTTAAATAATTTTAGTGTAACCAACATGTACAATGTTTATAACATCTACAGTAGTATACAATAATGTCCTAGGCCTTCACATTCATGCACTGCTCACTCACTCACTCACCTAGAGCTACTTCCAGTCCTGTAAGCTCCATTCATGGTAAGTGCCCTATACAGGTGTACCATTTTTTAATCTTTTATACTATATTTTTATTACGTCTTTTCTGAGTTTAGATATGTTTAGATACACAAATACTTGCCATCAGGTTACAGTTGCCTACAGTATTCAGTACAGTCACATGCAAGTTTATAGCCTAGGAGCAATAGGTTATGCTATGTTGCCTAGGTGTATAGTAGGCTATACCATTTAGGTTTGTCGAAGTGTATTCTATGAGTTCATACAATGACAGAATCATCTAATGACACATTTCTCAGAACATATTCCCATCGTTAAGCAACACATGACTGTGCTTAGTCTTCTACACAGGCTTAGTCTTCCTTGTTAATTGAAACTCTATGTTTCTTCTCAGTTTAAGAAGCTTATTTCAGGACTAATTTTCCCCCTTTTAGAATAAGTTTCCCACATCACTTGGTTACATGACAAAACAAGTTAAATCACTGTCCCTTTTTGGGTTTAATATGTCCAGATGCAAATTAAAGAAATAAAATCCCTTAGATTTTTCTGTATCTTGTCTCCCTTCCTCATTTTCTGCAGAACAGTTTTTAAAAGTTAATTTAGGAAATCTCCAAAATATTAGATTAGCATGACTTCAGAGCTATAAGGTTCCTGAAAAGTTTATGTAGAAATGTTGTTTTTAGTGCTTTAATTTCTCTTATAGCATCTTGATGGGTAGTCATTCTGCCTAAAGGAGAACTGAACTCATCCTGTGTCCCAGGAGCTTTGTCATATGAAAAGTTGTAATCCATTCTGGTGCTTCAGATGTTGAAGGCCCAGTGAAATTCTACAAGATGGCTGCCACTTGAGCTTTGGCCTTGCAAGTGGTTAGGAAGATGTTGGTCCTTTAATCTCTGTACAGGGGTTCAGAAGTAGTTGATAGTTTACTAATGAAAAATGTTATATGTAGCAAAACACAAGCAAAAAAATCAAAAACACTGATGACTTATATAAATTATTAACTTAAGGAAGATTATGGTACTTGAAAAATTATTTTACAAAAAAAGATTGTATTAGGAATTTTTTCTGCTCTTTTTTCTCAAGTTAGTACCAATGTAACATGGCTGTGTTCATGTAATTTCTTTTCTCAATTTGGTTCAAGATTTGTGTAGCTCCCAGTGGTAGATTTTGCGGTTGTATTGCATGATTAAAGTGTCCATCAAAATCTTACAGTTGGTAAACAGTATTAAAAATCCATCTCCAGCCTCTGTAAACTGTACAGAGAGCTATGAATACTAGAAGAAATGGAAGTATTTTAATTAACCCAAGTAGGACTAATCAAAGCAGAGCAACCAGTTTATTCAATTGAACATGTAAATGTCTATTCATTCTTGACATGGCAGAACATTTATGTCATCTATTAAAAGCTATTCTGTTGCTTGTATGATTATAAGCTATTGTTCAACGGGGAACTGAATCTTGTAAAGGCTTCCCCACCCCACTTTTTGTTTTTTTGAGAGGGAGTCTCACTCTGTCACCCAGTCTGGAGTACAGTAGAGCAATCTTGGCTCACTGCAAGCTCCACCTCCCAGGTTCATGCCATTCTCTTGCCTCAGCCTCAGCCTCCCAAGTAGCTGGGACTACAGGCGCCCACCACCATGCCCGGCTAATTTTTTTTTTTTTTTTTTGTATTTTCAGTAGAGATGGGGTTTCACTGTGTTACTCAGGATGGTCTCAATCTCCTGACCTTGTGATCCGCCCTCCTTGGCCTGCTGAAGTGCTGGGATTAGAGTCGTGAGCCACCATACCTGGCCCCCCCTTTTAATAATTACATATTACAGATTATTTTTTAACATGCTTTTTGCTGTATTCAGGCCACTTCAGATAACCCAGCTTCTTGCATGAAAGAATACAGACTTGGGTAACTTGGTTCAGCTACCCTGCCATCACCTCTTTCCTTCAAAGGGTTTTCTCTTCTTCATTTCTTCATAATAATTCTTAGTAAATATCTACTACATGCTGGGTACATGTATTCTAAGCATGTTATATGCAGTATATCATTTAATTTTTGCAACTATATTGTTATTTTTTCCATTGTATGATGAAGACATGGAGGAAGAGTGTTGCATAGTGCTGTAAGTGGTAGAAATAGGATATGAACACAAATCTCAGAAGATCCATTGTGTTGAAATGAATTTGAGTTGTACCAAAGGTGATTGACATTAGACACCAGGAAGAAATTTTTGAAATGAGTGGATGCTCTAAGGAGCCTTTTAAGTGAGTACAGCTAAAAGGGGTTGGGGTGAAGGTAGTTTCCTGGGATTTTTTATTACCATTAAGACACGTAAAAACAGTTTGTATAAAATCCCATTTTTCATGAATTAGTTACATTCTTACCTTGAGCCAGGAAGTTAAACTAGATGGCTGTCTGAAGACCCGGGTAATACATTTAATACAGTCTTATATGTGTATAAAAAGTGGAAACAATGATTCTTTTAACTTTTAAATATGAATTTTTATTGCAACAACAATTAGAAAATATAAATAATACTTACACCCCTGCCATTCTAATGTAACACTTAGTTTTGGGCCTACTTTTTTCTGGTCACTTTTCTCATGCATTTAAAAAAAAAAAAACAACCTTTTTAAAGGTTTTAAAAACGTTTCTTAAAATGTAGTGTATTATATTTATGCCCAAAAATCTATCCATGTTAAGCATATAATTCAATGAGTTTTAGTAAATTTGCAGAGATTTGTAACCATCACCACAATATGATACAGAACATTTGCATCATTCCAGAAAGGTTCATGAGCAGTCTCTCTTCTTCTCCATTCTTTGATTTCTTAAGGTGGAAGTGTCTGTTACTGGTTTACTGTTTCTTCCTTTCCAACATAGGTGTTTATGGAACTTCTTTAGCTGAAGTCATGAAAATTTGTATATTCTATTTTTATTTCTATTCCGTTCAAAATATCTTCTGATCGCTCATGTGATTCATTCTCTTAACTCATTGGCTATTTAGAAGTCTATTGACATATTTCAAAATATTTGTGAATTTCCCAGATTTTCTTGTTGTTTGTTTCTAATTTAATTAGCAATACAGAAAATATACTTTATGTGATATTAGTCATTTTAAATTTATAGATAGTTATGGCCTAGCATATGATCTATTTTGATGATGTACCATGTGTGCTTAAAAGGAGTATGTACTATACTCATTTGGGGTGGAGTGTTCTTAGGTCAGTTTGTTTGATAGTGTTGGTCAAGTCTACTATATTCTTGTTGGTTTTCTATCTAGGTGTCCTGTTTATTATTTAGAGTGGTATATCACAGTCTCCAGTTATTTTTGCATTGTTTGTGTCTCCCTTTAGTTCCGTTAGATTTTGCTCCATCTGTTTCGGGGTTTGTAGTTAGGTATATCCATGTATATCATTGTATCTTCTTGGTGGGTAGACCCTTTTATCATTATAAAATCTCTTTGTCTCTAGTAACAGTTTTGCTTTAAAGTCTGTTTTGTCGGACAGTATTCTCTCTCCCCTTTATTATTAAACTACATTTAATTTGTATTAAACTACATTTATTGTTCACATACTGTTTTTCAATCTTTTTTAAACTTATTTTTGCATTTGTATGTAAAATGTATCGCTTTTAGAAAGCATATCATTGGGTCTCTTTTGAAAAAAATCCAGTCTAACAATCTCTTTTTTTTGAATTTTAAATTTATTTATAGTTAATATTATTATTGATTTGATTGGATTTATGTCTCCATTTTGATTTTCATCTTTTTTTGTTCAGTTGATTTTCCTTTACTGCTTCTTTTGTAACTAAATAGGTGTGTTTTAGTGTATCATTTTTATTACTTAGTTCATTTTTGCTCTATGAAAATATTTTTTTCTGAATGGGTTAGGGTTTATACATGCATTCTACCTTAACACAGTCTATTTTAGTTTAATACTGACTTTGTATTAAACTTTGTCAGTTTAATAATGACTTTGTATTAAAGTCTGTGCAGTAGTATGCACAAACTTTGCTTCACTATAGATCCATGTCACCATCTTTTATAGCTATTATTATCACATACATCTATATATCTTATATACCCAACAATGCAGTATTGTAATTATTGCTTTGTATAACCTATGCTTAAAGAAGTTAAGACAAAGACAAGAAAATAGAAAAATGTATGTATGATTTCTTTCAACATATAAAAACCTATATGCTTACTGTTTCCATTACTCTTCATTTTTTAAATGTGGAATTGATTTATGGCTTGGTAGCATTTCTTTGGCACACATAACTATATTCTTTCTCTCTTTCTTTGTGCTACTATTATTATATATATTAATCTTTCTATATTATATGTCCTACAACACAATTTTACAAGTACTGATTTATGTAGCTCTTTTTTAAATCGTTAGAGACAAGAAAAGACAAAAATTATATAGCCTCCTATAGTTACCTACATAGTTACCTTTAACAATGTTTATTTTTCTTCATGTGGATTTGAATTAAGGTCTGTTGTCATTTTGTTTAATCCTAATGAACTTTATGTTTTGTAAAGCAGGTGTGCTAACAGTGAATTCTTTCAGTCTTTAATAGGGGATTTCTTAATTTTGCCTTCATTTTGAGGAATATTTTTGCTAGATACAGAAATTTTGGTTGACATCTATTTGTTTCTTTGAGCACTTGAAGACATCCTCCCACTGTCTTCTGCCTTCCATTATTTCTGATTGGAAGTTGGCTGTTCATCTTATTTTGGGTGCCTTGTACATAGTGAGTCATTTTTACCCTTGATACTTTCTAGATCTCCTCTTTTTCTTTGCCTTTCAACAGTTATATATGAAATGTGTAGATGTGGATCTCTTTGTGTTTATCCTACTTAGAATTATTTGATAATTTTGGAAGTTTAGATTAATGTTTTTCATTAAATTGGGGGAGGTTTTTACCATTATTTCTTCAAATACTTTTTCAGAACCTTTTTCTCCTCTTCTTGGAATCTCCATTATGTGTGTGTTTGTTATATTTGAGGTGTGCTACAGGTCTGTTATGTTCTGTTTATTTTCTTCATTTTTTCCCCCTGTTCTTCAGATTTACAACCTGGATCAATCTGTGTTGAAATGCACTGATTCTTTCTTCTGCCGTTCAAATCTCCTGGTGAGGTTCTCTAGTGAATTTTTTATTTGTTACTGTACTTTCAGATTTCAGAATGTCCAATTGGTTCTATTTAAGAATTTCTACCCTTTTATTGCTATTCTCTATTTGATGAATTATGACATCATGCTTCCCATTAAATCTCCAAACTTTTTCGGAAGGGGATCTTTGAATGTGTTTATAACAGCTGATTTGAAGTCTTTTTCTGTTGAGTCCATCATGTAGGCTCCCTCAGAGATAGTATCTATTGACTTTTTTTTCCTTTTGGAATGGTAAAATTTTAATTTTTTGCATGCCTAATATTTTTGCTGAAAACTGAACATTTTAGATAATATATTGTAGCAACTGTATAATCTGATTTCCCCATCTCTTCCCTCACACATACCTAGAGTTAATGGTTGTTTCTTTTTTGTTTTTTGTTTTTGCTTGTTTTGGGTTTATTACTTTAGTTTCTTACTGGAATGGTTCTGTGCAGCATGTTTCCCTCATAATGTGTGGCTGCTGTTGTCTCTACTCCATTGAGTTTGCCACCACCCTTACCACTTATATAAGCCTAGCTTTCTAGGGACCACCCCTGAAATCAAAATAGTTGAGTGCTCAGTTAAAGATTGGCTAGAGATTGTATCTAAACACTTAGAACCCCTAAATCACTGCCTTCTGCTTTTATGATGGATCCATAAATGATTTGGGGAATGAATCAGCAGTCAGCCTATTTACCAGTCTGGCCCAAATCTTAATTTTTGTGTTGTAAGGCCTCATGCTCAGCAGAAATAAGTAGCTTACTAAGGCTTTCTGCAGGCTCTCTGAGCAAGTGTGCAGCTTTGTGCATATGCACAGCTTTCCAGGCCATCAGAGATAAGTAGGATCGCATCAATGCCCTCTTTCAGTTCCTGGATCTGCCTATTAATTTTCTGACTGGCCTACTGGTTTGTTGCTTGCTTCAGTCAGTTATGAGATTTCAGGGTAGCTGCAGTGTTGTCCTTTCCTGATTGTTTGCATTAAGATCACTATTGTTTTTGACAATACCCTTTGTCATAGAATTTTCCACATAAAATCAGTCATTTCTAGGATCAGAGCCTTCATCTTCACAGCACACCCACCCCGACAGCACTTCTGCATCAGGAAGCAGGGGTGGAACTAGGGAGTGGGAGTAGCACCGCACTAAAGTGCTATAGACTCTCACTGTTGTCAATGAGGTTCGGTGAGTTTTCTTGAAGAAACACTTCTCAGTTTATTGCATGCCTTTGGTCAATTTCCAGTGTCCTTTAGAGATTGTTTTTGACAATTTTGTTCTGTTTCATTGTTTATTTTTGTGGCAAGGATTTGCCAACCTCCTCACTCAGCCATTTTGGAAGGTCTGCTGTCTTGGGTATGTTGTTGTTGTTTAGAAACATACATGCTACAAAGTACACTCTTGAGTATACAGCTAAAGATTTCTTACATGTGAAAACACACTCGTAATCACCACCCAGATTAAGATACAGGACATGTCCAGCACCCGTTAATCTTTCCTTCCTAGCCTTCTAGTTTCATCCCAGAGTTAACCACTGTCCTGACCTCTGTCATTACAGATTACTTTTTGTAATCTGTGTGGTTTTTTTGTTTTTTGTTTTTTGTTTTTGAGACAGAGTCTCACTCTGTCGCCCAGGCTGGAGTGCAGTGGCACGATCTTGGCTCACTGCAAGCTCCACCTCACAGGTTCACACCATTCTCCTGCCTCAGCCTCCCGAGTAGCTGGGACTACAGGCGCCCACCACCATGTCCAACTAATTTTTTTGTATTTTTAGTAGACACAGCGTTTCGCCATGTTAGCCAGGATGATCTCAATCTCCTGACCTCGTGATCTGCCCGCCTCAGCGTCCAAAGTGCTAGGATTACAGGTGTGAGCCACCACACCTGGCCTAGATATGAGGTTTTTTTGTTTGTTTGTTTGTTTGTTTTGTTTTTTTTCTTGAGACAGAGCATTGCTCTGTAGCCAGGCTGGAGTGCAGTGGCGCGATCTTGGCTCACTGCAACCTCCACCTCCCAAGTTCAAGCGATTCTCCTGCCTCAGCTTCCCGAGTAGCTGGGAGTACAAGCATGTGCCACCATGCCTGGCTAATTTTTTTGTATTTTAGTAGAGACAGGGTTTCACCATGGTAGCCAGGATGGTCTCAATCTCCTGACCTCATGATCCGCCCACCTCAGCCTCCCTAAGTGCTGAGATTACAGGCATGAGCCACTGCATCCAGCCTATAATCTGTGTGTGGTTTTTAAACTTCATTTGAATGAATATTTAAAATATGTCCTCTTTTTCCTCTAGCTTCTTTTACTCAACATAGTAACTTTTGAAATTTATCCATGTTTTAGGTGTAGCAGGGATTTTTAATTTTTTAATTGTTGTATAATACTTTATTAATAGATATGCCACAGTTTCCTTATTGTGGGACATTTGGGTTATTTCCAGTTTGTGGCTATTATTAATGAAGCTGCTATGAACATCCTCCTCTTTGTCTTTCTATGAGCATACATACGTACAGTTTTAACGTGGTCAGCAACATAATGCATGTGTAATTTAGGCTCTTGCTCTTTTTTTTTTTTGAGAGACAGAGTCCCACTCTGTCACGCAGGCTGGAGTGCAGTGGCACGATCTTGGTGCACTGCAACTTCCCCCTTCCAGGTTCAAATGATTCTCGAACCTCAGACTCCCCAGTAGCTGGGACTACAGGCGCATACCACCATGCCCAGCTAATTTTTGTATCCTTAGTAGAGGTGGTCTTGAACTCCTGACCTCAGGTGATCCGCTTGCCTCGGCCTCTCAAAGTGTTGAGGATTACAGGTGTGAGCCACTGCGCCCAGCCTGGGGTCTTGCTTTTTTAAACTTAGCATTATATCAAGTGTTTTTCCTTATCTCTGTCATTGTCATGACAAGAGTCATTATTTTTTCAGGTAGGTATACCGAAAGCTATTTCCATTTCTATTTTTAGAAAAAGTCAAAGGCCTGTATTTAATAATTACTCTTGACAACACAGGTAGCAGTTGATGCTCAATTCAATAAATATTTGTTTTCAACTTTTAAAGAAAAACTCCAGAATCGTATGCTTTTTAAAAATAGTATTTGATTGAAGATTAAACAAAACTTACTGCTTTTTCTGCCCCTTGAAATGTTCCATAACTCTATGCAATTCACATATTAGTAGTATCACTTTTTAAATGTACAAAAGCAGACATTACTGAGAGCCTTGGCCTCAAAACATTCATTTGATTGCCTTTCTTTAAAAACATATTTCATACTGGGTTATGGAAAACTCAGCATTTGGTTTTGGATATAAATAAAGCCATATGACCTTTCATATTTAGGAGCTGAATCCCTCTTGTAGAAACTTGTGATGTTGCTTTGCCCACTTTCCTACCCTCCCTACCACGTCATCCAACACATGTGCACTTATGCTCATTCACATACACCTCGCAGGCTCTCTGTGTCCTGGGACCTACACTTCACATAGTACTTGGAAATATTTTCTCTTGAGGAAATGGATATTAGAGTTGCAATGGTATAGGAACTGTATACGTTTTTCCTATCTATACTGTGGTTTTTCTTTTCAAACATTGTCGAGATTTCTGATGGATAACAGTAGTTGTGAAAGACACAAGGAGAATGGGAGGGAAAGGAATTGCTTAATGGACCTCACATAATTGTGACTATGACTCCAGGTCTGCTGCGTTTAGAAATGGAATTGCGGGCAGATACATTTGTCAAATTTAACTTAATCCCTTGGCTTTTATCTGATGTATATTTTTCCATTAACACAGTATACCTTTCATCTCTACTTTCACACAGTCAAACAGCGTCTAATTTTTGGTGGACTTTCTTTTCTTCTTTTTTGATGCTAACATTATCCCCGTAGGGTCCTAATCAGGTTTTAGACTATGGAGAGAAGACCATAAGAATCACCAAAGCGGAATTTCCCATTGCTGGTAAAGAGATGCCCAAGATGCAGAAGGCTTGAAATAAATCGGGCATGAAATAAGTGGCGTTACAGCCCTATACTGGCTTTACCGCAAGGGTTAAATTTGCTCAGTGTCTGCAATTTCACCTTTCCTGATTGTCATACAGAGTGAGATCATTGTCCAAAGGTTGATCATGTGGAGGATGTATGTGCTTTTGAAGTGATCAAACTAAAAGAGAAAACAAAGCTCATGGCTGAAGTCATCACACCTGAATACCATCTTGTGATGTCATGGTTTTATTGGTATGAATTCTAACCAAGCTGTGGGCATTTAAGTCATATTTGTGGATCAGAAGCCATAGATATTTGCGCTTCTCATAGGCTGTGCTTTTCTGATACTTTGATCATTATTATATGGTAACTAACATATATTAATATATTAATGTATTATATCATATTTATTTAGACCCCAGTATGGATACTAAATGGGATAAAGCATATGCCAAGATTTTTTAGGTCTTGGGATTATTTAATTTTTTTAGAACTGGCGTTCATTGATTGTCATTCACGTTTCTCTTCACTTCCTTATGAAAAGTTTCTCAACTCTTCTCTCAGTATTTTCTTTTCCCCTGTGAGATATGTTTCCTTTTACACTTTTTCATTCCTCTACCAAATAGTAATAATTGCAAACATTTATTGCATGTTTATGTGTGTACCAGGTGCTATGCCAGTTGTTTTTATGTGTATTTTCTCAGTTGCTGTCTTAACGGCTCTGTGGTATTTTTATCCTTGGTTTACAGATGAGGAGACTGAGCCTCTTTTGGTCTCTTTCCCCCTTTAAAGATAAACTCCTCCTATCTCCTTAAACTGAGCTTGTAACCTGGACCTCTGATTCAACAGCCCACACCCCAATTTGTATTTGGCTATTTGTATTGGGCTATTTGGGTGGTGGTCCTTTGAATGTTGTTGTGCTAATGGAGGCCTAAACGTTGAATCCCGTGAATGGAAACCTCTTCACATCTTTACTGCTTGTCCTGGGATCTTCACACCTGGAATATTGATCTTCACCGAGTAATTTGGGAAAAACAGAGGCAGAGGCTGGAAGCTGCTCACCGTCCTATGGCAGGGCAGGTAATGTCCTTAATGAGATGGGCTTATTCCAGTGGAGCAGTGGTGGGGAAGCAAAAGCTTGGTGTTCTCTCCTCATGGTTGCGAAAATATTCACATAAAAGATTCACTAGCTACTGTTAATAATTGAAGGACTTTCCTCAAAATCCATGTATTATAACGGTTTAATATACTAAAATGATTTGGAGGAAATCGGCCTCAGCATTGGTGAATGTGTTGACATATGAAGCTATTATTTTTATAATTCTTATTTTAGAGATGGAGTCTCACTGTCTCACCCAGCCTAGAGTGTGTTGGCAAGATCATAGCTCACTGTAACCTGGAACTCCTGGGCTCAAGTGGTCCTTCTGCTTCAGCCTCCTGATTAGCTGGGACTGTAGTCACATGCTACCACCCATGGCTAATTAAAAAAAAAAAAATGTGTGGAGACAGGATCTGACTATATTGCCCAGGCTGGTCTTGAACTCCGGGCCTCAAGTGATCCTCCAGCCTTGTCCTTCCAAAGTGCTGAGATTACAAGTGTGAGCCACCCCACCCAACCTAAAGTTGTTTTAAGCTTATTGTGTGCATGTTGGTTGTGTCACCAGCCGGGAGGGGCTTATAGGCTGCAACACTGTTTTCTTTCCTATACTACCTTTATTATCACGTAATAACTAAAATACGTACTATCTGTTTTTAGGTGGATGCTCTGCTTCTCTTGATAGATATGAAAGCAGGATACCTATCTTCCACCCCTGTGTTTTTCTTTTTTCTTTTCTTTTCTTTTTTTTTTTGAGACAGAGTCTCACACTGTTGCCTGGGCTGGAGTGCAATGGTATGATTTCGGCTCACTCCAACCTCTGCCTCCCAGGTTCAAGTGATTCTCCTGCCTCAGCCCACCATGTAGCTGGGAGTACGGGCACCCACCACCATGCCGGGCTAATTTTTTGTGTTTTTAGTAGAGACGGGGGACGTGATTTCACTGTGTTGGCCAGGCTTGTCTCGAACTCCTGACCTCGTGGTCCGCCCACCTTGGGCTCCCATCTACTCAGATGTCCTGTCTTCACAGGGGCCCTCTTTGACCACCCTCTGTAAAACTGTACTCATATTATTCACTATTCTTTACCTTGACCCTGTATTTTCTTAGCACTTATCACTATTCGATATAACATTTTATATTCTTCACCACCAACCCAGACTAGAATGTCAGGTCCCTGAAAGTGAGGTATGTGCCATACTCACCACTTTCTCCCCAGTATCCAGAGTGGTGTGTGGTACATAGCGAAACTCAGTAAGTATTATTGAATGAATGAATGAACACAGATGACTAGAAAAATTTCTAGAAAATTTTAAAACATGGGCATATTAGCCATGAATTTAATTTATAGTTTTGTTGTTTTCTTTTGGGTATTCAAAAATATAATTTCATTTGTTTATATCTCTAATGAGATAGTACAGTATTTGTGATTCTTCTAGTGTGATGGCATGTACAGTTTCATTGGTGAGTATATGTGACCTACTGTGCCAGGTGGAAATGGAGTGAATGAACATTTTGGGGGGAACTAAAAAGCAATTTTCAACCTTTTTGATAAGCTAGGTTAATACTGTCTTCTCAATAAAAAGTACTTTTTCTTCCTCTTATAATGTTCATGGTCTTCATCTGTATGTGTATATTGCCGATTTAGGAACTAAAGCCGAAATGGATCTCAGACTATTTCCCACAGACTGGTAGCTGTATCCCCTCTGTCAGCAAGTATTTGATATCTTCAGTGAAAATTGTTTCTTTTTCCACTTTTAGCTTCTGTTTAGTTTTACAAGTCTAAACAATTTTTGGCAAGTGCTAGGGGCTCACCTGATGCACTTTTTAATGCATTCCACTCCTCGTTGTTATTTTCTCTGTCCAGTACACATGGTGCTCCTTCCCCCTCATTGCCATCCCACTTTGGCAGAAAGCATTATGGATGCTGTGTATGTAGACTCATCACCCAAGCCAGCATGCATGGGAGAGGGGGCCTCTAGAATAATAATTGTTACTTGGTGTTCTCTGTACTACTCTGTTTAATCTCCCTGCTTACCACTTACTGCCTTCGTAAAGTAAGCTCAATACAATTATTTATTGCAATTTGTGTAGAATGTCAGATGTGGAACAGACTTTGCACACTCATCAGATCCAGCCCCTTTGTTATTTAGATACAAAGACTGAGCCCTCAGAGAGGAGTCTTGCACTAGACTCTAGACCTCCCTTGGGCAGGGGACTTTCTTGTTCACTGTTGATTCCTGCTTGTCTAATACAGTGTCTCCATGTAATAGGTGCTCAATAAAAAATATTGCATTTTTCAAAGTCTCATATGTAAGTAGTGATGGCAGGGCCAGAACTTGAACCTTGCATCTCCTAGTTATTTGTTCATTGTCACTGCCACAATTATCTCATTGTAGTTTAAAGAGAGTCAGCTTCCAGTCTTTTAAAATACAATTACCTTTAATTCATCTGTGGTAAACAAACAGCAGCTGTCTCTCATTGGCATGGCCGCAGTTCCACCACTGAGCAATTCTAGAAACTGACACTATTAACCATTCTGCTAAAAAGGACTCTTCTACTCATATGATATCCTGGCTGTGTCCAAAGTGTAATATTTAATTGCATTTTCTTAATCTTTACCACTGTATTGCTAAGCTTTCTAATACCTTCAAAATACCAAATCTCAGGCTTATCCTAATTAAAGAATCTCAATTTAATCCATAATGCATGACAATTCAATTTGTTGATTGCTTTTTCTCCCCCTCTTTGTGAAATTCCCGTCAAATGTATTAATTCAACATGATGAATCCTGTATTCAACCCACTGGAGTGAATAATTAAAATTAGCTGATAAAACTTTCAGCAGAATTACTTTGTGAAATTGCTGAACAGATGTGTCATTTTAATGAAAATCCACAGACAAGCTCCTTCTCCCCCTCGGCAGGATAAAAATATTATCCCCTCGGCACATACTTAATTTGGTGGTAAATACACTCGGAGCGATTGCTGGAAGGGAAGAAAAAGCAACTTGTCACACTTAGTAACTTGATTTTTCCCCAGCATGCAGTAACAGCTATCTACAGTAATTCATAGTGCTCTATTGTTGCTGCAAGTCCCAAAGAGAACTTATTAAAATGCAATAATCTCCTATTTAAACAGAAACAATAACCATTAAATTTCCTGTGGATCCAAAATTGAGCACAAGCCCCATCTGGTAAGAGTGATTAGAGGCCTGATGAGGGAATTTAATTTGCAACATTCAAAGACTAAATCTGAGCAGATCTTGTCACCTGGGACTCGAGTGCTGCTTGCTGTCTTCTTAAAAATCTCGACCTAAACTGAAAATGGAATGTAGAAGTGAAAATGTTACCCAGGGGCCACCCCCAACAGTATTGTGTTTCATTATGTCTCCAGCAGGCCTAGTGAGCAGAGGGGATTTTAGTGCTGTCCGCTTTAGCTTTGCCGGCAAGGCCTTTTGACAGGACCAACACTAATGCTGTCATTTCCTCTACTGCCCTGTGCATCTGTCATGTGGCTGCCCCTCTTAGATCGTGGACTGCCTGCTCCCTCCCTTCTTATTTACTTTCCTCTTTTAGCTTAGCAAGTCCTCTCTCTAACTTTAAGAGTTCTCTAGATCTCACCAGTCTCCCTTTCCTGTCCAAGGAGTCAGATGCTTTCAGCAGGCTACTTTGAGCACCACTGTATCATGCTTTACATTTTATGTCTCCTCCTTGCCTATAGACAGTACCCCCTCTGAGTTTATTATTAGTGTTTTTTTTTTAACTGTAGGAGGACTAAGATTTATTGCATGTTATTAGTAAATACAAATTGTCATTTTCCTCCTCTTCTTAGCTTTTCTCTTACAATCCCCCACCTTATTTATATTACTTCTGAGCTCCAGAGAAACAAGATATGCGTGCACTCATCATCAGAGAGATGTGTTTCTGTGTATGTGTGTTTGTGTGTGTGTGTGTACATGCACTTGTTTGTGTGTGGTTATAGGCCTGATCAGACAGATGTCAGTTTATCAATTAGTAGAACTCCCTAATTAAGTATTTGCTTTGAGCAATAGAGCTCTTATTGGTTGTGAGGTAACTTGGCAGGAGGGAGGCAGTTACCGATGTAATAGAGATGCCTGAGCAGATAGTTTCGTTGAGCAGATACTATTTGATGTCCTTTAATCATCAGACTCCTCCACTTTTCCTTCTTCTGGGCTCCTGATTTATCCCTAAACAATCAGAGCCTCTCCTCCATAATTTTATGAACTACAAAATTTACAAAAATGTTTTACAAACCCTCTGCCTCCCCAGTATCTTCTCCAGCCCCCATGTCTTGGGGCAGGCCACATCAGGTCTCTCTGGCTGCTTCCTTTCCCAGGCCCTACTACCTACTCTGGCCCATCATATGTCTTTTGAGAAGATGATTTTTCAGTTCTTTTCTTTAGTTTAGAAAATCAGAATTAATTGATTAATTTTTAACCCCTTCTACCTTTCTCCTCCCCTACCATATGAATTCATGCAGAGCCAGCCCTGCAACCTAATTTTTTTTGTTTTGTTTTTGAGACAGAGTTTCCCTCTTTTTGCCCAGGCTGGAGTGCAATGGTGCGATCTTGGCTCACTGCAACCTCTACCTCCGGAGTTCAAGGGATTCTCCTGCCTAAGCCTCCTGAGTAGCTGAAATTACAGGCACCCACCACCATGCCTGGCTAATTTTGTATTTTTAGTAGAGACAGGGTTTCCCCATGTTGGCCAGGCTGGTCTTGAACTCCTGACCTCAGGTGATCTGCCCACCTGGGACTCCCAAAGTGTTGGGATTACAGGCGTGAGCCACCATACCCGGCCCCTGCAACCTAATTTTTAAGGAGAGGTGGTAAGGTTCATTCCATGAATCATACCACTTGGAATTCTTGAAAAATTAATTGCATTTATTGCACACCTACTCTCTGTAAGGCAATGTACATAAGAATGGAGGAGATACTAAGAAAATTGAGTCCCACTCCTATTGCCGATCGGGAAAGTACGGCATAAGCACATGAATATTTAGAGGTCCTGTGGTTTAAGTAACGGTAGGTAAGGAATCATTGGGCCAGATGGGATCAGTGACTCACTGAATATTATAATCAGAGATGTGAGTGCAGAATAAGGAGGAGATATGACTGGGGACTGGTGTAGTTCTTAGAGGTTGCCTGAGCTGGCTAGCGTGACATTCCTACTAAGCAATGAGCCTAGCAACCAGAATCTCCCAGCCCCGGTAGCCAAGGAGCACAGGTGGTAGGCTATAGAAGGAGATTTAATGCAACACAGCTGGGTTCAATATGGTGCCTCTTTCAGAGCCCTGGCTACAATTGATGTAACCTGGTAACTAGTAGCTTTGACTTTGATGTCAGACACATCTGGTTGTGAATATTCCCTGAACCACTCTTAAGAGTTTCTCAACTCTTTGAGTCTGAGTTTTCTTGATTGTAAAATGGTGTTTGATAATACATATGTGGTTTTCATGGGGATTTTGTAAAGTGCCTGGCATATGGAAGGAGCTGGGTAAATGATGGTAGTACACTTATAATCTTAAGGGCAGAAGGAATGAATTAAATACAGAGTGAGGCCTAGGGACTCTTGCTATGCTCCCTCCTGACTCCGGTCTAGTATTACTAACATCTTTCCAGAAACCATTCTTCTTTATGTTGGTTTTGGCCCTTTGTGTCCCCATCTCTAGCCCTTTATTCAGTTGGTCTGCTCAAGGCTTGCATGCCATTTTTGGCATTGAACATGTGATCCTCTAGTTTAATATAGCATGTGCAATATGGTAATTTAAGAAAATAAATGTCTGTATGCATAGAAAACACAGCATCCTCCTTTAATTCATGGGTTTATGGGAGATTACAGTTTTCTTTTAGTTTAAGCCTACAAAGTGTTTATAGTAAAAAAGTTTCAATGAAATGATTTCCAATTTATATTTCCTTTTCACTCACCACCACAAGTCAGAAATCAAATCTTATGCTTAGAAGAAAGCAACTCCAGGACTGTATCCACTTCGGGTTTTGAATAACAACAGTAAGGTGGTCTGACTCCAAGATTAGGTCCTTGTTGTTTGGACATATCTAACAAGGAACTCCATCCCCAAGTGCTGGAGAATCCATGAAGTCAGTGGTGTCTTATGAAGCTTGAGCAATTGGGAAGCCTTCCCAGTCAGCTTTTTGGCCTCCTCTAGGTCTTAATTACAAAGCGGATTCATGGTCCTGCCTGAAATCTGATTGAGACATAGACTCCTCTATCCCAAATGATATCATTATCAACATTGGTTCCCTGTGGTACACATTTGTCATATTCATTATGATTTGTACCTAAGATTCCAGGCCACAATAATAGGGTAAGAGTGTATAATGGGAAAAATAACACAAATCGTTTTGATTTTCTTTAAGGAAATTCATTGCCTTAACATTACATACTTGCCTTTGTTTTAAAACTCACTCTATGCCTTATCTAAGAGGAGTCAATATAAAAGATTTTAATTTTAGCCCCATATGCTGTAGCTATATATAAATGTTCTGTAAAATATATCCCCTAGATAAAAGTACTTACTACTTTTTTGAAGTTTTTTTTAAAACCTTTCTTTTGGTAAATAAAAGTCTTTTTAGCTTTGATGTGACTATTACACCCTTGGTTTGGGTTCTTTCTCCATTCCTTCATCCCTAGCCCCTGTGGGACCCCTGTAAGAAAAATGGGAGGGGAGAGAAGCATGAATTCCTTAATAAGTCCCAAAGGTAATCAAAAGAAAGAAATGCAGTATGAACAAACTCACAAAATATTCTTGTGCTTCTTTGGGGAATACTTAATGCACATAAGGTCAGGCCTTTGTAATGTTAATTTGAGAGTGTTAGGAAGAAAGCCATCATTTTACAGGCAATGTTGCTCTCTGAAAAAAGCTTTGATTTACAGAGAAATGCTGTTCTAACACACCTGCATTAAACCAGTGCCTGCCGACTTTGAGAGGCCTGAGTTGCTTGAGCAGAGGAAATGCTTCATTGAGGATGCTTAGGGCATTTGGCTGAAGTGGTAGGAAGTTTGCCAGAGGTCCTATTTTCCTGTGGTCAAAACAACCTGTTCAGTTTGGATATGGTACAGCCCCTATTCTTTAGACATGTGCAGAGTGACAGCACAATTCCGCAATGGCCTCCTTTCCAAGATTGGCCTTAGGGAGGGAAGTCTTACCAGACACAGTGGCAACATAGTTAGTATAGGTATCTTGGTTATAGAGGTTAGACATGAATAGCCTGGTTTCCACCTCAGGTGGTTGCCCGTGCCTTCTCATCAACTTGTAAACCTCCATACTGTGTAGAGGAGATTGTGTGGCTAGAAGGAATGGATTCATCCCAAACCCCCAAAACAGGATTCGGATAAGTGACCATCCAGCCTGCACCAGAGCATTGCCAGAGACTGGCCATTAATTATCTTCAGAGGCCTCTCAGTTCATCTTTGGCTCTCCTCTCTCATCCATTTCTGTTTCTTCCTTCTTCCATCCATACTTCCCCTGCTCTTTCCTCCTGCCTTTTATATTGGTCTGTATTCTACTTTTGGGTGTTATACAAATCAGAAAACATTTTTATGTTAAAACAAATTAAATATGAATACTCTTTGTGAAGTGCCTGACATGCAGTAGGCACTCAATTACTTCCTCTCTTCCATCCTACTGTGTGATAACTCTTCTAGTAATTGAGATTATGTTATCATGAGACTACATGAAAATATTATCATGCCCCTTCTGAGTTAATCTTATTCAACCTGGTTTCTCATCCCTTCATCTTCTTAGTCTCCCTGCCCTCAAATAGTCCACTGTGTGTGCACGTGCGCACATGTGAGTGTATCTTAAAGTACAGTTTTCAAAACTAGCTGCACTTCCCTATGTTGGGTCTGATTTGCCAATTTTTTATGAAGGAATAAGCAAAAAGAAAGAGAGCAAGAGAGGAAGAGGGGAGAAATGCCGTGCTTTTCTAGAGGAGCAAATATATGGAAATTACCCTTGTTTCTTCTCTAAAGTAGTAAAGGTCACAGCAGTAGTTGCAAAACCCGTAGGCCGCCTACTGCCTTCCACACATTCAGCATTACTATTCTTGCCTATTTTACCCTTAGGCATCCTTTATTTCTTGCACAGATGGTCTCACTCAGGCCTAACAAAATGTTTTAAGCTTTGCATAAATTAAAACGAGGTCTCTGAGTACAAAAGTGCAACTTGTTTTTTACTTGAAAACAACTATGCTGGCATCTTTTACAAAATTACAGCCTCAAGCCAGGTTTCCATAATCAGTTTTCCTTTAAAAAATAGAGAGGAAAGAATGTATCCTTGTGTGTGTGTGTGTGTGTGTGTGTGTGTGTGTGTGTGTGTGTGTGTGTATGAGTATATATATAATATATGTATGTATACCAAACACAAATGGTCCTAATCAATGGGATTATGGCTTTTATGATGTTCTGTGTTCCTTTGAAGGTTGATCAGGCATGAGTGGTGGATGATTCAGTTTGAATAA
Source organism: Homo sapiens (assembly GCF_000001405.40). Lineage (NCBI taxonomy): Eukaryota > Metazoa > Chordata > Mammalia > Primates > Hominidae > Homo > Homo sapiens. The sequence goes on from NC_000007.14 coordinate 70,243,415, forward strand.
ATAGATTTGGAAATATTATTTTGGGGGTCCAGGATTTCTGAGTTTCTTCATTAGTTTAGTACATGATAACAACTGTTGAGACATTTCAGTGTGCGGAGACTCCCTCCTAGAACTCTTTACTATGTACCTTATAACAGGGTTTTACTCAGGCTAACCTTGACTGTGCTCAATTGAAAGAAAGTGATGAGTCAGCTCAAAGAGAAATAGTCTGTTTCTCCCAACTCTGCGATAATGTGTCCCAAAGTAGTGACACATGGCATATTCCATTCTTAAGATAACTGGCAGACAATTTGTACAATCTTCTAGACACATTGCTTCCCTTTGATTCACACATCATCACCAAAAGGGTAATGCTACAAATCTTTTCTCTATTCATGACTACTCTTAACAGGGATATGGCTTGTAAAGAAGCTTATTGATGTGCTTTGCTTGAAATAGAATCATTAGACTGGGCCTGCCCTCTCATTTTTACCTTGACAGTAATAGTAAGAGTATGGGAGATACTCTTACTCTTATTATTACTATAACTATAATAGTAATACTATTACAGTATAGTAATACTATTACAGTAATAGTAAGAGTATGGGAGATACTCCTATTCTTACTGTTACTGTCAAGGTAAAAATGAGAGGGTACTGTGTGAGTTATTTTTTATATATTGTCATCTTTTAATAACCCTATGTGCCCACTATAGAGAAGTTGGAAAATATAGAATAGAAAGAAGAAAAAGTTATTTTTTTATTTTCCACAGTTAATATTTTCACATATTATTTCATTATGTTTATTTCCTCACACACTAGTGATCATACTTTCAACAGATCATACTGTAGATATTACTGTAGATGTTATATTCATTTGTTCACTTAAACTAATAATTTGAATATACTTTACTATTATTAAGAACTCTTTGTTAAAGATCAAATTGTTTTAAAACTTAAGTTAGAGAGGCATTTATAGCATTAGATAATGCCAGCCAGGACATATACACTATCTTTAAAAATGAATCTAACCCTTAAATGAAATCCAGCAGCCAATCTAATGTTTCTTTGTAATAAGCAAAATATTTTTCTGTGTTATTGCATCTCACAGGAATCTATTCCTAAAGGATTCAATAGTAAAGATGCTCAGTAATCATGCTCTAGAGTTTCTCATCCCTCTAAAGAACACACAGCAGTTCTGTGAATGACTAAGGATCAGCAGGAATGGATGTCAGGTGAATGTTGGCACTACTGGATACAATTGATATGCTTTATGGATTTTTTGTTTCAATGTGATTCTGCATAGATGGCACCTGTAATTATGACCATTTGGATCATGTGAAAAATGATAAATTTTCGGTGAAAGGGAATGGTGCTTGATCCTTTTCTTTGTCTTTGAACTGTTTAGAAACACTAAACTTAACTGATAAAAGTAAGTGCAAGATGGCCGGGTGCGGCGGTTCACACCTATAATCCCAGCACTTTGGGAGGCTGAGACAGGTGGATCACTTAAGGTGAGGAGTTTGTGACCAGTCTGGCCAACATGGTAAAACCCCGTCTCTACTAAAAATACAAAAATTAGCTGGGTGTGGTGGCGCATGCCTGTAATCCCAGCTACTTGGGAGGCTGAGGCAGGAGAATCACTTGAACCCAGGAGATGAAGGTTGCAGTGAGCCAAGGTTGCACCACTGCACTCCAGCCTGGGTGACAGAGTGAGATCCTGCCTCAAAAAAAAAAAAAAGTGTGTGTGTGTATATATATATATATATATATATATAAAAAATAAAAAATAAACAAAAATTAAAAAGTAAGTGCAAGACATCTTAGAAGTATTGCAGTTTTTTAAAGCTCTTGACAGAGTAACTTTATTCATGCAGGTAAATTCTAGCTCTTTTGAGCAATATGTTAATAAGTCACTGCTAATGGCCTAATAGTTTTTAACTTACAATTAAAGACCCATGATGGAAACTGGCAGCAATTTCATAACCCACCAGTCTAATTGTTTCACAGTGAACAATTATTTGCCTTGCGAATACTTACAGTAAACATTTCTGTAAAGTTTATCTTTGTTTCCTAAACAGTGATATTTGTTTTGTACATTCTGTAGATGGAATATATTCTGCAGTTTGGTTTTTCTGCTGCTTAGTTGCTGAGAATTGACTGTGTTGTTGCACATAGCTGTAATGCATTCATTTTCACTGCCCTGTAGTGTTCCATTGTATGAATATACTATGGTTTACATATACCTTGTATTGATGGACAGTGGACATACAGGTTGTTTCCATTTTTGATTTGTTAGAAATAGTGCTGTATGACTGTTCTTTTATGTGTCTCCTGGCACATATCCTTGAAATTTACTTAGCATTAGAATTGCTTGGGTTTAGGGTATGCACATAAGGAACATTACTAGATAACGCTAAGTTGATTTCAAAATTAATTGTACCAATTTCCACTCTAACTAGCAGTGTAGAATTGTTGCCATCGTTTCCACATTTTCATGAATACTCTTATCATACTTCATATGAAATAATCTTGTGCACATGTGTATGTGTGTGTGTTCAACAGCCTCATTGTGGTTTTAATTTGAATTTTTCTGCCCTGGTTTCCTCTTCTGAGCATGTTCTTTTGGGTTTTTTAATCTATGTCTTTATTTTAATGTTGAACTTTTTCTTATTCAGTTATAAGAGTGCTTTATATATTTTGATCACTATTCCTTTGTGAATAATGTGTGTTCCAAAACATTTCCTAAGTTATGGTTTATCAGCGCATTCTGTTTATGGTGTCTTGTGATAAAAAGTTCTTAATGATAGAATAGTTGAGTTTATCAAACTTTTCCTGTATAGTTTGAGTCTTGTTTTGAGAATTCATCCCTACTCTGAGGTCATAAAAGCATTCTTACATGTTGTTTTCTAAAAGTGTTCTAGTTTTATCTTTTACACTTAATTCATTGCTTTATCTGGAATTAATCTTCATGTATGATGTGAGGTAAGGTAAGGGTTCAACTTTATTTTTCTCCATATGGACAAGCAACTATAATACCATTACCATAATATATTTTAAAAGTTTCTTCATCTCTCAGTGATCTGATGGACCAACTGTCATAAATTATGCCTCCAAATTTGCCTAGGTTTATTTCTGAGTTTTCTCTTTCATTTGTTTGCTAATTTATATAACAACACAACACTGTTGAAATTATTACAACTTTTAATTATTGCTTGATATTTTAAAATTCAGTCTCCCTCCCCCACCTCTTATTATTTTTCAGGTACACATTGGTGACTCTTGTCTTACTACTCTTCCGTGTAAATTTTAGAATCAACTCATCAAGTTTCATATTCTCAAAAAAGTGAAATTTTCATTGGAATTGCATTGTTTATTGGATAATTTAGAAGGAATTGGCATCTTTATGATATTGATTCTTCTAGTCCTTGAATATAATATTTATCTTTATTTATTTAAATCTTTTTTCTCCTTCCGGAAAATTTTATGGTTTTTCTCTATATGTTTTTTTTATTACCTATTTGCAAATTTCTATTAGATTTGTTCCCAGGTACTTGATTTTTTTTGGTCCTATTATAAATGGTGTCTTGAAAAACCATGTTAGCAGCAGTTCTCGTTCTTCGTATATACCCAAAATCATTCATAGCAGGGACTCAAACAGATATTTGTTCACCAATGTTCATAGCAGCACTATTCAGAATAGTCAAAAGGTAGAAATAACTCACATATCCATTGACTGATAAAAGGATAAACAAAATGTAGTATATTTATACAATGGAATATTATTCAGCCTTAGAAAGGAAGGAAATGTTGACCCATGCTACAATATAGATGAACTTTGAAGACATTATGGTAAGTGACACAAGTCAGTCACTAAAAGAATACTGTATAATTTCACTTATATCCAGTGCCTACCACTGTCAAAGTCATAGAGACAGAAAGTAGAATGGTGATTGTCAGAGGCTGGTGGGAAGAGGGAATGGGCTCTTATTGTTTAACAGGTATGAGGTTTCAGTTTGGGAAGATGAAAAAATTTCTGGAGCTGGATGGTGGTGATAATTGAACAATATTATGATATAATTAATACTATTAAGCTACACACTTAATGGTTAAAATGGTAAATTTCATTTTAATGTATATTTTACCACAATAAAAATTATGTGTTCTAAAATTTACTGCTGGTGTATAGAAATACACTTGATTTTTGTATATTGATTTTGAATCTAGCAACCTTGCCAAACTTACCAGTTATAGTAAGTTTTTTGCAGCTCGTCTAGATTTCTGTATATGCAGTAATGTCATAATGAGCATTTTGTTTCATCTTTTCCAATCTTCATACTTTTATTTATTTATCTTGGGTTATCCAGTTACCTATGACATTCAATAATGTCAAATAGAATAATAATAGCAGGATTTCTTGCCTTGATCTTAAAAGAAGCGCTTAGAATGTTTCCCATTAAATATGGTATTTTGTTTTGTTTTGTTTTTAGGTAGCTTTTATCAGATTAAGGAAGTTCCCTTCATTTCTAGTTTGCTGAGATTTAATTTTTATCATGAATGACTGTCAGATGATTTATTGAAATGATGATGTGATTTTCTTCTAATCTGTTAGTGTGATAAACTACAGTAATTGATTTTCCAATGTTAAATCAATCTGTAATTCGGGGGTTAAACACAAATTGATTATGACATATTATGCCTTTCACACAATGCTAGATTCAGTTTGCTGACATTTTACTTAGGATTTTTCATCCAAGTTCATGAGTCCAGTTGTCTTGTAGTGTTTTTCTCAAATCATCATTTTGAGGATTGGTATCAAGATTCTCCCACCTCAGCCTTCCTAGTAGCTGGGACTACAGGCACCCACTACCACGCCCAGCTAATTTTTGTATTTTTAGTAAAGATGTTCAGTAAAAAAACATCATTTTGCCATGTTGGCCAGATTGGCCTCAAACTCCTGACCTCAAGTGATCTGCCTGCCTCGACCTCCCAAAGTGCTGAGATTACAGGCATGAGCCACCGTGCCCAGCCATGTCTCTGTGTTTTAGGTATGTTTCTTATAGGTACTATATAGATTGATTTTTTTTAAAATTTTTTTCTCAGACCTCACAGGGATGAAGATGTTTTAAAAAGCTCTTCTGACCAGATAATATTTGTCTGTTAAATGGAGCTTTTTGTCTATTTATAATTATAGATCAGTTAGAATTTATTTTGTGCATTCTATTTTTGCCCTTTCTACATTTTTTTTCTGATTTCCTGCTTTTCTTTGAATTGTTTCTTCTTACTTCATTTTTTTCTTCTGCAATTTCAGAAATTCTGTAAACCATTTTCATTCTTTTGGTTGTTACTCTAGAAATTTAATAAAAACATTTCAAAGTCTAAAGTTACTCAGGAGGAAAGGAAAGATAATGATGAATACAGGGACTTTTGAACACTTTAATTCCCATCAGTTTGTTATCATTTACCTTAATTCTGTTGTATACACCCAGCAGATGATATTGTTCAGAATTAACCACATATTTTCCCATGTTCTACTCTTCATTTTTATTGCTTTCAGACCATTCATGTTGGATCACTTTTATTCTAGATAAATTATATTTTTTAGAGAATTTTTACTATGGAAAGATACTTTTTACTCTATGATATTTTAAGTTAACAAGTTTCACTTTGAATATTGAAGATGTCATTCTAGTGTCTTCAAGATTCTACACTGTTACTATTGAAATATAAGGTGTTATTTAATTGTTGCTTCCTTTAATGTAATTTGTTCTTTTTCTGGCTGCTTTTAAGTCTTTCTTTTGTCTTTGGTGTTCTGCAGTTTAAGGTGCATTTAGGTTGAAATTATTTTTTGCGTAACCTGCTTAGGATTTGTTGTCTTCTTTTTTTAATTTTAAATTACGTTTTATTTAACCCGGTAGGTCCAAAATATCATTTCAATATGTGTCATCAACCACGCTGCAAGCCCTCAAAAGCCACATGTGGCCAGTGGCTACCACACTGGAAACCATATGGGACAGTTCTATAGAATGGAGTTTAGTGCGCATTAGAATAAATGGGAAATCTTACTTAAATGCAAGCTCCTGGGGCGCGTTCTTAGAGGCTATGATTCAGTAGGTCAGCAAAGAGACCCTGGGATCTTCATTTTTAACAAGTTTCCCCAAGTGACTCCAATGAGAGTGGTCTGCAGAACACTCTTTGAGAAACACTGATGTAGGAGATTGTTCAGGGCAAAGCAGAAGGTTCACCTGACTCTCAGGGAACCAGAATAACCTAGTAACCATGGGATCATTGTTACAGGATCCACATCCCTAAGAGGATGTTCCACTGCAGTTTTCATTTTTCTCTGACTCAAACTCAGTAAGTGGATTAGATACATGCAGGTGATGATGCAGGTGCCCATATGGGACATAAAAATTTCAAGTTGGGTCCATTTGTTCTTGCATCAAATTATGTTTTAAGTAAAATATTAATATTTTAAGTAAAATATTTTAAGTAAAATATTAATATTTTAAGTAAAATTTTATTTTACTTTTAAAATATTAATTTTTTACTTAAAACATTAATTTACTTAAAATATTAATATTTTACTTAAAACATAATTTGATGCAAGAACAAAATATTAATATTTTACTTAAAACATTTAATATTAAGTAAAGTATTAATGATCCTAATAAATGGGGAAGGAGCTCAGACAGAACCCCATTCCCTTCAAAGCAAGACAACTTTGAATAGCTGTGAATCTTCATAATGGCTTCTCTTTATGAAGCCATTGTTTTATTCAAGGATCTACTAATTGGGTAACACCATCTCCTATGCACAAACATGCCCTAAACTTGGACTCAGTTACAAATAGGGATGAAGGTAAGAATGGTCAGACTGTCTGGATTTTCCTTCTCTTAGTGTTTCTCAAAGCATGGTCTAAGGACCAGATAGGGCCATGATACCAGACATGCAATAGACAGACCTGCACATTTGCAGCATTCTCCTCCAGAGACAGATTCACATGGTCAGGTACAGACCCAGAATCTGCAAGGTCTGCCACCCACCTCCATTCTCTGCCCCTGGATAATTCTGATACAGGGGATTAGGGTGAAACTAGTGGAACCCATATATACCACGCTGTTCTCATCAGAATGAAACTACAAAATTCACTAACATCTCTCTTGTTTTTAATTTTAATTATACATGTACTATTTACAATAGCAAAGAAATGGAATCCACCCAAATGCCCATCAGTGGTAGACTGGACAAAGCAAACATGGTACATATACATCATGGAACACCATGCAGCCACTAAAGAATGAGATCATACCCTTTGCAGCAACATTGACAGAGGTAGAGGTCACCATCCTAGGCAGACCAACACAGGAACAGAAAACCAAATACTGCAAGTTCTCACCTATGAGTGGGAGCTAAACAACAACAACACACAGACACTAGGAGGGGAATAACAGACACTGGGGCCTACTTGAGGGTGGAGGGTGGTAGGAGGGAGAGGATCAAAAAACTATCAGGTACTATGCTTATTACCCAGGTGACAAAATTATCTGTACACCAAACCTCTGTGGCACGCAGCTTACCCATATAACAAACCTGCACATGTACCCCTGAACCCAAAACAAAAATTAAAAAAGTATACATGTCATATGAATAAATTTCCAGTTATAAAATATTTCTTTTTTTTTTTGTTGAGACGGAGTCTCACTCTGTCGCTTGGGCTGGAGTGCACTGGCACAATCTTGGCTCACTGCAACCTCTGCCTCCCAGGTTCATACAGTTCTCCTGCCTCGGCCTCCCAAGTAGCTGGGATTACAGGCGCCTGCCACTACACACAGCTAATTTTTTGTATTTTTAGTAAAGAGAGTGTTTCACCATGTTGGCCAGGCTGGTCTTGAACTCCTGACCTCATGATTTGCCCACTTCGGCCTCCAAAGTGCTGGGATTACAGGCGTGAACCACCACACCCGGCCAATATAAAATATTTCAACAAATACAAGTAAATTAAGTAAAAAGTTCCCTCACCTCTTCTCTAAATGTACTCTTCCCCCGGGGTGACCACTTTTATCAGTTAAATTTAAGGATTTCTTGTCTTCTTGTATCTTTGGATTGATATTTTTCATCAGTTTTGGAAAATTGTCTATTCAGTTTCTTTTCAAGTATTGCCAACTCCTCATTCTCTCTTTCCCTTCCTCTTCTCTGGGAACTAAGATTATATGTTTGTTAGACCTTCTTTCTCACTGTCTCTTCCTTGACTGTCATAATTTCTGTACTACATTCCAGATGATGTTTTATTTTAGCTTCCAGTTTGCTTGTTGGCTCTTCACCAGTACCTAATCTATTGTTAATTCTGATTACTGAGATTTTCAATTTTGATTAATATAGTTTTTGTTTTTATAATTTTTTTAAATTTAACTTTTTATTTGGAAGTGATTTCAAATTTGAAAATCATTGTAAGGTCAGAAACTGTGTGAATAATACCATATACCCTTTACCTAGAGCCTCTGATTCTTATTTCACTCCATTTGATTTATAATTTGTTTTTTCTCTCTCGGATATATTTTTTTCTGACCATTTAAAGATAAATTTCATACATTATGACCTTTTTCACTAAATAATTTAGGTTATATATTTCTTAATAGGCATATTCTCTTACCTGATTACAGTATAGTTATCAACTGTGAATATTGCTGCAACGAACATGAGAATATAGCTACCTCTTTGGCATACTGATTTCAGTTTCTTTGAATTTATATCAGAAGTAAGACTACTGGATGATAATGTAATTCTATTTTTAATTTTCTGAGGAACTTTCATACTGTTTTCCTTCATGGCTGTATTAAGTTACATTCCCATGAACAATGCACAAGGGTTCTCATTTCTCCACACCACTGCCAACCCTTACCTTTCATCCTTTTGATATCTCATTGTGGCTTTAACTTTAATTTCCCTGTTGATCAGTGATGATGAGCATTTTTTCATATGTCTGATGGCCATTTGTATGCCTTCTTTGGAGAAGTATCTATTTAGGCCCTTTGCCCATTTTTTGACTGGGTTATTTGTTTTATTGCTATTGAGTTATTTGAGTTCCTTATATATTTTGGATATTAACCCCATATTAAATATATGGTTTGCAAATATTTTCTCCCAATCTGCAAGCTATTTCTTAACTCTGCTAATCGCTTTTTTTTGCCATGAAGAAGATTTTTAGTTTGATACAATCCCACTTGTTAATTTTTGCTTTTGTAGTCATATTCAAGAAATCTTTTCCTAGACCAATGTTGTGGAACGTTTTCCTATGTTTTTTTCCAGTAGTTTTACAGTTTCAGATCTTACATTTAAGTTTTCAGTCCATTTTGAGTTTATTTTTGTAAAAGGTGTGAAGTAAGCATCCAGTTTCATTGTTCTGCTTGTGGATATCCAATTTTCCCAATACCAGTTATTAAAGAGACTATCTTTTCTCCATTGTGTGCTATTGGCATCTTTGTAGAAAATCAGCTAACCAAAAGTGTGTGGGTTTATGTCTGTGTTCTCTATCCTGTTTCATTGGTAATTTGTCTTTCTGCCAGTACCATACCTTTATGATCACTGTAGCTTTGTGATAGATCTTGAAGTCTAGGTAACGTGATGTTTCTTTTTCATTTTTTCTTTATGTAGTCAATTTATGAATTCCTATTTTCCTAAGCAGTCTTGAATTCATTACTAAATAATTTTAGTACTCATTTCATATTTGGCCAGTGGTGTCCACATCTAAAATGGCTCCTGTAACCTAGTGATGTGCTCATGTCATTGATTTGAGCAGTTGTTTATGTTATGGCATAACAAGATGTCATTTTGTATCTACTCTGCCTTAGTCCTGGAATGGAAAAAAGAAATTTTTTGAATTCAAAACTGTTGATTCTTTATTTAAAATCTTTAACTCTGTTAGTACATACTAGGTGGTGTTGATTTTTTTTGAGACTGTTATTCTTCTTGAGACATTACATATACTTAGCGTGTCTGAAATTTCAATGTCTGAAGCATTTCCAATGATTTATGTATCTGATTGTTGTTATCTGCCAGCTTTCACTCATCCTTTTGCCTTTCCTTACTTGTTTGGTAATTTTTACTGTGAATTGCTTATTTCCCTGAGAACTTTGTGTGAGTATTGCTTGTTTTTCCTGGAATTTTTAGGAATTCTTTGACACCTGGGAGAAGGTGGTTTTTACCAGATATTTGATTATTTCATGCCTCTAGTGAAACTACCTGTGTGAGACCATCTTATATTCTCAGGGTGAGGTTTTTCTTTTCAGACCATTTTATGTAAATTAAGGCTTTAAAACTCTATGAGAGTCAGCTTGTCATTATGCATTATCAGAAGAGATTTTTTTTTTCTGCCGGCAATACTATTTGAGATGAGAAATTTTCATTGCAATTTACTTGAGGGAGAGGGTAGTTTATTTTTAGTTCATCTAGCACTGAATGTGTAGTAGGTCTTTTGTGTATAGCTCTGTTGGGATCTTCTACTAGATGTCTTACCTGGGGTGGGGGCCATGTGCTATGCTCTTGATCCCTGGATTTGTGAAGACTTGAAGCCAAAGCTGAAGTTCTAACTAGTTTGGGAAATATTCATAAGAGGAAACAAAAACTAAATTTTTTTTCTTCTCTTTGCTTTATTTTTGACCTGAGTATTGCTTACTTTCTGTCTAGCTCATGGATGTAGATTAGAATAATATTTTAAACTTCATTCTGTTTAGTTTTTAAATCGTTTTCAGTGGAAGTATCAGTCTTAGTACCTAATCTCCCATGGCATAAGGCTGGAAATAGCCATGATCCTGCCAAACACGGACACTCTGCAACCTGGAACAAAATATTCTACTCTAAAAATCAAGTAATTATGTCTTTTTTCAATAAAATATAAAGTATAATCATTAATGTAATTTACTTCTTTCATTCCAGTCTTCACTCATGCTTTCAAACATAGATTATATTATTCCAACCCTTCTTAAGTGGAATTAGTATTTCATTATTCCATAAGGTTCTACAAATACCTACAAAGACCATCATGAATTCCAGGTGCTCTGTAACCTGATCAGGTTGGAGAACTGCTGATGCAACCAAATTTAATCACTTAATGTTCTTACTAAGCACTCATTTGTTTTTCTGCTTCTATGACTTGCTCTCACTGCTTGCTATCCCAAACACTGTCCGTTTGTACATGTTCCAATGTCACCATTCCTTTTTCGGGCAAATGCTTCAAAAGCTACTGTTTCTATAAAACTTTCCTTTACCCTTCTCTTTTGACTTGTTATGAGCTCCTTTTGTAGTTTGTAATCTCCTTAAGAGCAAATTTCACAAATGTTATATTTGTAATATCTTATGTAGCAGAGTATTCTCACAGTCTAGAACAGATGGTTCTTCTGTATCTGTTGAAAGAAATGGGAAGATAGCAAAGCAACATAATAGGATAATTTTATTTTTGCCTACTAGACTATCTCAGGATGTATGTGTTTTAAATCCTAAAACTGGTTAGTGGTATTTCAGTTGAAAAGGTCTTGACCCTTTCCCTTCTAACATAACAATCCTCATCATAAGTGAGAGAGAAGATTGGGTGAGTAGGGCTCAGTGGGGGAAGCTGGTTCCTTTCACCCACCTTCAGAAATCCAGGTATGGAATACAGGGGTTGTTCTGGACCTCAAAATTACCTTTTTTTTTTTTTTTTTTTGACGGAGTCTCACTCTGTCGCCCAGGCTGGAGTACAATGGTATGATCTTGGCTCACTGCAACCTATGCCTCCTGGGTTCAGGGGATTCTCCTGCCTCAGCCTCCCGAGTAGTGGGGATTACAGGGATGTGCCACCACGCCTGGCTAATTTTTGTATTTTTAGTAGAGACAGGGTTTCACCATGTTGGTCAGGCTGGTCTCGAACTCCTGACCTCGTTATCCGCCCGCCTCAGCCTCCCAAAGTGCCGGGATTATAGGCGTGAGCCACCACGCCCAGCCACGAAATTACCTTTAAAAAGGTGGTCTTTAAAAGGCAAATAGGGAGATACTAATTGCAAAAAAAAATAATGATGAAATAAGTTATCTTTCTGTTTTCCACTTTTTCTGTGGTGTTCCTTTTGACATTTGCATTCCAAACCAGAGCCCCACAAATAACTGAGTTTGCACTCTTTTGGCAAGCAAGGACTGCTCTCAGATGTATTTTATAACTTCAGCTTATATGGGAAGAACTTTTCTTTCCAGAGACGGTTTCATAGTAATATCCTTCAAAAGCTCACATTGTAGAATATGACTTTTTTTTTTCTTTGTTGTTATGTTTGCTTTGTTTTGGTGGGTTTTATTCATCATTTCAGCCAGCTTATAGAAAGAGATAGAACTTTTGTTGGATACTAAATCATGTCTATCAAAAGCACTATTGACCTTGTGTTGTTAAAACTAAAAATGTAAGAACAAACCATTTTCTAAGGTTTTTAATTATATGCACTAAAACAGAGTAAGGCCTAGATTTATTAATCATTGGGTTATGGTTTGATGTGGAAAGAACCAGCCTATAACTTTTCCCTTTGTTTAACAACGTTATTGCTGAAAACTTTAATAGACTTAAGTGTACTGGAACTAGGGAGTGAAATCTTATCTTTCCCTGAACACCAGGGCTGCTTTGTTATGGTGTTTCCATTTGTGGCATAATGAATGTGTAGGACGCTAATGATGTGGTCTCTAGGTGTTCTCCTACTACACAGAGCACTGATAATGAGCTGCGAGTAATCTAGTACGAGTCCCTGAAGATGAATCCTGATTACCTTCATGGGGCCATTCCGCTCTGCTCCCTTCCTCCTTGATGTTTCTGTAAAGAGCATTTGGATTTTGAAGAGAGTATTGTGTATTTGACTTTTAATTAGATTTGCAGTGTGTTGGGTTAATAAACTAGGGCTTCTTCTTCTTCAGTTTCCTCTAAAGGGATGTGTGTAAATGTTGCACAGTGGGCCAAGAGAACAGAGGGTCATAACAGGCAGCAATGGTGGTGTCGCCCACTTCATGCCCCAGTCCTGAAAAGAAGGCTTATAGTGGCTGAAGGTTGATTTCATCCCATGGTCCATAGTTACAAATGGCTTCCAAGCTGCCAAGGACCTGCTAAACCTATTGCATCTGTTCTGTACGAGGAAGCAGTCTCAGAATGAAATATGACAGTTGTCTGTCAGGGCTGCCCCAGAGTCCTGCAAGTTGGTATTATCTGCTTGCGTTCAGAAAACACATCACCGTGGCTGACCACAGCTTTGTACTTACTGTGATCTTAGGGCTCGCATTTTTAGGGACAACTTGCCCTTTATGCCTTTGGTCCCTTTCTGCCTTCTGCTTTTGTTTTTCTGCCAGTTGGGTTCATTTATCTTCTTTCCTGTGTGTTTTGCCATGCTTTTCTTATTATAGCTTTCAGATTCATCATGGACAGAGATAGAAAGTACTCTAGTGTCTTTATCCCACCTCAGCTCTCAGTCTGGTGTAGAGCTAAGGGAAGGAGAATTGCCTTCACAGTCAACTTTCAGTGTGGTCCCTGAACTTTTTATTTTGTTCAGTGAATCCAGCACATCTCATATTGTGCCCCAGCTATAATGGGTAGTCCTTTCCTGATCTTCTAAGAAAATTAGATGCCTGGCTTCTGCCTTGCTCTTCATTGTTTTTTAAGCATAGTCCTTACATGATGGTCCGGGCCTTCCTTACAGGTCTAATTGTGTGGCTGGGCCTTCCTTCTGCATGCCTATTCTGTTTTTTAGTTTTTGTTTTTCTTTTAAGAATTGGGGTCTCACTCTATTACCCAGGCTGGAGATCAGTGGCATAATCATAACTCATTGCAACCTCGACCTCCTGGACTCAAGAGATCCTGCCACTTCAGCCTCTCAAGTAGCTGGGACTACAGGCACACGCCACCACACCCAGTTCATTTTGAATTTTGTTTTTGTTGTTGTTTTGAGACAGAGTCTTGCTCTGTCCCCCTGGCTGGAGTGCAGTGGCACAATCTCGGCTCACTGCAATCTCCGCCTCCCGGGTTCAAGCCATTTTCCCACCTAAGCCTTCTTAGTAGCTGGGATTACAGGCACATGCTACCATGCCGAGCTAATTTTTGTATTTTAAGTAGAGAAGAGATTTCGGCATGTTGGCCAGGCTGGTCTTGAACTCCTGACCTCAAGTGAGCCGACCGCCTCGACCTGCCAAAGTGCTGGGATTACAGGTGTGAGCCACTGTGCCTGGCCTGAAGTTTTTTTTTTTTTTTTGTAGAGACGGGGCCTCACTGTGTTACCCAGGCTGGTCTCAAACTTCTGGGCCTGAGCGATCCTCCCACCTTGGCCTCTCAAAGTGCTGGGATTACAGGAGTGAGCCATCATGCCCAGCCTGCCTATCCTATTTTATTCTGAGGCTACTACTACTCCTTATGGGTAGATCCAAGGATCTGACATCATTTTCATACATCCTGTTCAGTGTGTGAGTATAGAATTGAGGTAGGCTGACAACACAAAAGTGGGCAGAGGTTTCCCACTCATCCCCGACAGGGATTCTCTGTTGGCATAGGTGGGCTCTGGTCCAACTCCTGGCCGACATGAGCATGGACAATGTGGCACAGTTGTGGCTCTGCATCTTGTGTGTGACTGCTGCCCTGTTTTTGTTTAGCAAGCTGCTGTGCCAATTTACTATGCATGTTGTTACATATTCTGCTCTAATTTGACTGCCATTTTGCTTCAGCGAGACGATGATTGTTTATGGCAGGGCTGTAATGTGTTGTCAGCACAGGTTACTCGCTACTTGTTGGCAATGGCCTAACATTGCCTGAGACATGGTGTCACTGTGAAATGGTTTGACAATGTTGAGACTGTAGTTATGTTGAGCAGTAACAACTGTAGAGGTCAAGAAAGGGCATCTAAGAGGAACTGTGTTCATAGGGGAAAGATGGAGAAGGAATACTAAGTAGGACAGTAGCAAATGTCATCAAAGAGCTTCATTTTCACGCAATTTTCATAATTCAGTCTGTTTTCTGTGAACAGTGTTGGTTCAGCTGTTGCTCGGGAGTAGAAGCACATTTCTGAGTTAGAAATGAATTGTGCTGATCATGACCCTATCATTTTCTTCTTTGAACATTTTTAGAAAGTTATCCAGCTTGCTGAAGAATGCACTAGATCCTTGTCCATGTGTGAGGCAAGGGACTCATTGGGCCACCTTCACAGGGTTTCATTTTTGGAACATTTATCTAAGGACTATCTTACTACCCTGAGAGACCAAGATGTAGGCTACCTTAAGTCGTATGAGGCTGCTGTGAAAATGGCATTTGTTTTTTTGGCTCTAAGAAATTTTCAGGACCTAGTCAAGCATGTGACAACAAATATTTAATGATAGTGGACAAGGTAAACTTCAAAAGTGACTAGAAACCCTTGTGGAATCTAAGACAGAGGGACTCTAACAAGCTTGATGACATTTTGAATACGTTTTGTATTGATTACTGACTCTTTTCCCAATAATCTGTGAAGCTGGCTTTCTGTTTGGCAAGGCAGCCCCAAAAGGAACCTTCATCCCATACCTCCATGCAGGAGTAGCACAGAACAGCACCCAGCATCGGGCCCTCCAGAGTCTGGGAGGGTTCGGTTGTCTCATGAATTATGTGGTGCCCTTCAGGAACTCACTTTGACCTCTGATGCCTTTCCTTTCAAGCAAGTGGTGTGGAAAAATATTAAAACTCTCAGTAATGACAGTTTCCAGATATGCATATCTTTGAGTGGACAATGAAGGCAACATTTATATTCTGTCCACGATGCGAGCATGGTATGCATTCTGCAGCTGTCACAGAGCCTTCCTTCTGGTACCAAATACCTTACTTCCTGACAGGTATGACCTCTGAGACCTCCCTAACCCCTTTCTTTCATTTCATACAAAAATCTAGAGCTTGGCTTTTTTTTTTTTCCTTCTTTTTTTGTAAAAAGAGGTTTTTCCATTTTAAAAAGCCTTTTCAGTTCTTAAACTTGATCATTGATATGTTCCACCTCATCAAAAAGAGGAGTGCAGCTAAACTGACAATCAGTTCATGCCATTGGCCTCACTCATCATCATGTCAAGGACCTGGCATGCCCATTGAGAAGGGCCTCTGTGCATTCTGTCCTCACCAAGCCTAATTCCTTCCCCTGTTGATGGTTTTGCCAGATTCTTTGCCTGTTGATGCCCATGCCAGGGCCACGGTGCTTATGCCAAAGCCTTTGACAGAATGAGTCAAATCTGGTGCCAGTCACCCTTGGCATATGCCACCTTGTTCTTGACCACTTCCTACCAGGGATGGGCTGAAAAGAATAGTGTCTGCTAAGAGCTTGTAGAGGACTTTTCTGTTAAGTGCTAAGTGTTGACATTACTCCAGTTTGAATCAGATCATTTGGAACTCTTGCTTGGATCTCTCAAAGCTGTTGACTCATTTGTATCTTGGCCTCACATTAGTGGGGTAGATAGGAGCCAAAAAGTTTGAGTGAAGTCAGAATAAATATATTTTAAGTGTGGATCTGTGGAGAAGAAAGAGGTCCCAAGAGCATAATGAAAACTGTGGTTAAAACTGTGAATCAAGAGGTTTGTTTTAATTTGCCATTTTCTTACGAAGTTTTAAAATATTTTCTAATAAAGCTTCTTATTTATTGCCTTAGTACATTTTCTGTTACTTATAACAGAATACCTAAAACTAGATAATTTATGGCCAGGCGCGGTGGCTCACACCTGTAATCCCAGCACTTTGGGAGGCTGCAGCAGGCGGATCATGAGGTCAGGAGATCAAGACCATCCTGGCCAATATGGTGAAACCCTGTCTCTACTAAAAATACAAAAAAATTAGCCAGGCGTGGTGTTGCGCACCTGTGGTCCCAGCTACTCGGGAGGCTGAGACAGGAGAATTATGTGAACCCAGGAGGTGGAGCTTGCAGTGAGCTGAGATCACGCCACTGTACTCCTGCCTGGGTGACAGAGCAAGACTCCATCTCAAAAAAAAAGAAAAAATACTAGATAGTTTATAAAGAATGGGAATTTATTTCTGCAGTTATGGAGGCTGAAAAGTCTAAGGTAGAGGGGCTGGGGCTGCATCTGGTGAGAGGCTTCTTGGTGGTGGGGACTTTCTGAACAGCTCCAAGGCAGCACAGGGTGTCACATGGTGAGGGGGTGAGCATGCTAACATGCTAGCTCAGTTCTCTTCCTTTTCTTATAAAGCTACCTGTCTCTCAATATTGCTGCATTGGAGATTAAGTTTCAACACGAGTTTTGGAGGGGGCATTTAAACGATAGCATATATATAGTGCAGCAGTCCCACTCCTAGGTATTTACCCAAGAGAAATGGAACTATATGCTTACACAAAGACCTGTACCCTTTTTACACTTTTTTTTTTTTTAAGACAGAGTCTCACTCTGTCGCCCTGGCTAGAGTGCAGTGGTGCAATCTCGGCTCACTGCAACCTCCGCCTCCCGGGTTCAAGCGATTCTACTGCCTCAGCCTCCTGAGTAGCTGGGACTACAGGCACGTGCCACCACAGCTGGCTAATTTTTGTATTTTTAGTAGAGACAGGTTTCACCATGTTGGCCAGGATGGTCTCGATCCCCTAACCTTGTGATCCACCCGCCTCGG
Organism: Homo sapiens; assembly: GCF_000001405.40. Lineage (NCBI taxonomy): Eukaryota > Metazoa > Chordata > Mammalia > Primates > Hominidae > Homo > Homo sapiens. The sequence goes on from NC_000007.14 coordinate 70,261,001, forward strand.
GCTCCCAAAGTGCTGGGATTACAGGTGTGAGCCACCGCGCCCGGCCAACCTGTACACTTTTTGTAATAGCCAAAAACTGGAAAGAAGCAGTATACATTACTAGGTGAAAATTACAGCATATAGAGATAATGGTTATTTCTAAGCACAAAAAAGAATCAAACTGATATTCCTAACAACATGGATGAATTTCAGAAACATTGTGCTAAGTAAGAGAAGGCACACACAAAAAGGTACATACTTAATAATTCCACTTGTGTTAAATTCTAGAACCAACAAAACTTATCTGTAGTAACAAAAAGTAGTTCCATGTTCACCTGGGTGCAGGGGTGGGAACACTGGCTACAGAGTTGCATGAGGGAACATTGTGGGTGATGGAAATGTTGTTTCTTGATTGTGGTGGCAGTTATATAGATACAGACATATTTGTCCAAACTCATCAAACTGTATACTTCAAGTGGGTACATTTTTTCTTTTATGTGTATTATACCTCAAGTATAATGAAGTTGATTTTAAAAATATATTTGTTGTAATCCCACTTTTGCCACATAAACAGGGTCCAGAGAAATATTAGGTATTCCTTCTCTCTCTCTCATGTATATCCTGATCAAAACATTTATATGAACATATTGAAATCAGATTTAAATATCAGTTTCCCTAATGGACTCAGCTGGACTCAAGTTAATTGACTTAATAAAATTTCGAATCTCATTTGTTCCTATTTTCTCCTCCCTACAGTTGTTATCTTTACTGTTATTTGAAGGACTTGAATAAGTGAATTTTGAATTCAGATAATACACTATAGGGAGTAGGAAAGCAGACCCCTGGCCTCAGGAGCGCCTCTTTGATCATGAATGTCTATGACTGCCATTTTGTTCTCTAGATTCATGTCTTTATATTGTCTATTTGGCTTATAGTTTTTTCTATCACCATTTTTGTTTTCAACTGTTTTTTCACTAAAAGACAAAATTTGATTTTCATGCTATTAATTTCGTACTAAAAAGAGCACAGCAGGCATAATTAAAGCATTTTAAGATGTAGTAATTTGATTTAAAATATTTTACTAAGCGATATATTACAAAAAGTTATTTAATTATCTGTAAACTTTAAAAGCAGGTATTAGCATTCTATGGCTATTGTCTTTAATAATTACATTTTAATTTTAATTTTAGTTTTTTAAATGTATGTTTCTTTTTGTTGTTGTTGTTCTGAGATGGAGTCTCGCTCTGTCACCCAGGCTGGAGTGCAGTGGTGCGATCTTGGCTCACTGCAACCTCTGCCTCCTGGGTTCAAGCAATTCTCCTGCCTCAGTCTCCGGAGTAGCTGGGATTACAGGCACCTGCCACCACACCCAACCAATTTTTGTATTTTTACTAGAGACGAGGTTTCACCATGTTAGAAAGGCTTGTCTCAAACTCCTGACGTCAAGTGATCCACCCCCCTCCGCCTTTTAAAGACCTGACATCTTAGTTGTTACTGTGAAATTGATTTTCTTGTTTTCTCCTCATCTTAACCTTGTTTTATATATCAAAGTAAAGAAGAGGAACTGTTAAAACTTATATGAAGTATGGCTGAATCTTCAAAAAGATATCAAATATTTAGAAACTAATTTTAAGCTGCATATGTTTTATGAATGGTAGCAATACAATTTATAACTGTCATTTCTGAAATCTCCGGATTTAGGTCTCCATTGCCAAAAAATGTAAAAAATAGAATTATGACAAGTGATCTCTTGAATTAAAACCAAATGTTTTTGTATTACAATACCTGTGATGATGATTCCAAACAGGCTTCTCTTTAATAAGTGGCCACAGTAGAGTCATGATGTTAGCCCTTATATTTATAATGAGGACAATTCTGGGTCACCAAGGGCCTGGATATGGGACCCTTGGGGCCCACTGTGATATTTATGGACATGAAATACAGTCATAGGCCATTTATCAGATTTATCAAATTTGGAAACTTCCAAATAAATTAATTTGACAAATATACATAAACTTCAGTAAATTTTATTAGTTTTATTTTTTGCCCTGTGTATTTGCATAAATGTTACTAGGAAATATATTTAATAAAAGTAGAAGGATTTTTTTTTTTTGCGTGATACTCAGCTATATTCTTCCAATAGTTGTGGAACAGCTTAGTGCCTTCAGCAGTGGCAGTCTCCTAAAACGATTGTCTATCAGTTAAAGGTTAACTGAGTATTTGGACCAAGTAGCAAACTAGAATTCTTTTCATCTAATCTCTGTTTAATATAGGGATATCCAATATAACATCCTTGGGTCAGTGTAGTACATCTTACGTTAAGTTTTGTCTCTAATGAATATTTATATTACATAAATGGGAAAATTGGTGGGTTCCCTTGGTAGAAACATGATATTGGTATTTTTAAAGTAAACTTAAATAGGTCAGAATTTTTATCCTCTAGAGAAAATTTCACGTCTGATTAAATAGTTTACATAAACTTAATCTTTTTCTGCTAGATGCATTATAATCTCAGATATTATTCATGTAGCTATTCCTCTGTGAACCATAAAATGTTCATTTCTTCAAAATGAATATGAAGCTCAAAGCATTAGTGGTCTTAAGAGCATAAAAACTTTATTACTTTGTGCTTCACATTTTTCAAGTGACTTTGGAAAGCCGAAACAAATTTTGCATTTAGATTAATGGAAGATGTTTTCCATGTGAAGGAACTGGCAAGGGAGCAACAATAACAAAAATCCCCCAAGGTTAAAAATGTAGTGCTTTTGATTCTTCCCAGAACTGTGTTAGCAGAACAATCATTTCTCAGCATGGAAAGGTATCATAATTGGTCTATACAGTGGCAATACTGAAAACGAGTATGCTTCAGAGAAAGCTAATATGACTCTACTTAATAATTTCCTTCAAGAGCCTGAATTTGAATGTATGTTCCACCCAGCTTGAGGCAAACAATTTGTTCCTATAAGTTCTAGTGGAAGTTACCGGGGGGTCATGTAATTTATTTTTGTCTTGAAGTTTTCAAAACTGTGTAGAAATAAAGACACGTTTACTTGCATTGTTCCACTAGTAATTTGATCCAATTGGCAATGCTCCTTTCTCTTCTTCTCAATTCTATTATGTTGGAAGAGTGGAAGCGTTCATAAAATGTTGTGACAAACAATTCTTCCTAGAGACGTTTCCTCTTTCTGTTTGAACCTCTGATCCACTTGCGAATGTTAGCATTCTTTTTGTTTGTTTGTTTGTTTTTGAGATGGAGTCTTGTTCTGTTGCCAGACTGCAGTACAGTGGCACGATCTTGGCTCACTGCAACCTTCACCTCCTGGGTTCAAGCGATCCTCCTGCCTCAGCCTCCCGAGTAGCTGTGACTACAGGCATGCACCACTACACCCAGCTAGTTGTTGTATTTTTAGTAGAGAGAGGGTTTCACCATGTTGGCCAGGATGGTCTTGATCTCTTGACCTCGTGATCTGCCTGCCTCAGCCTCCCAAAATGCTGGGATTACAGGCATGAGCCACTGCACCCAGCCAAATGTTTGCATTATTTAGTAAGTGGTTTTTTATTATGGGTCTTTACTTACATGTGCTGTTATTGTCCTTTTCACTGGGATTATCTAGGTTTTCAATCTGTTTCTTTGTATTAATTTTTTGGCTATGGGACTAGTTTTAAAGCCCTACCACAGAAGTAGAGGGTCTGTAGTTGGAGTACGGTGAGTAACATGAGAGAATGTTTCCTTTTTTTCCTTGAAGAATGGATAGTTTTAGGGGAATGTGTGCAGATGTCAGAAGATGGCTACATAGAGAATGAAGCATCAGAAGGTAGACACAGGTCTCTGCATTGCAAATATCAGTAACAGGGATGAAGAAAGAACAGCAAAATTTTTAGAAAAAGTGTAAAGGATGGTTAGACACTTAGACCCTCTCTTTTATAAGTTTGATTGTGTACTTCTAAGAAGCAGCAATAAGTTGAAGGTAAAGTTATCTCAATACTCTGATAAGATGTGGTCTCTGGATTCATACCAAACATTAGAGTTCAAGGCATTCCCCTTCAGTTTATTTTATATTCCTCAAATGTATCTAATTCCTTAGGATTAATGATTTGTTTCTCTTAAAAACAGCATTTATTGCTTTAATCTGAGAAAAAAATAAGACTTCCAGTGTTTATATCTACAAACACAAGGATTGAAAAAAATTTTATAATCAGCCTCGCTGCTAATTCTTATAGGTGAAGCAATGACTTAGAAGAATGGGGAGACTGGAGTACATGATAGTTTTGTAGACAGCCACAGTTGGCAAAAGATGGTGGTGAGGCTGTCCCCGTTGTAAATCCTTTATCTCCATGAGAGCAACTGTTGCTGGCTAGTTTCTTGTGAATTAAGTATGCAGTTTGTCTTTTTTTTAATGTGATAAATGAACGTATTTTCTAACTGGCTATTTGCTTAATAAAAATGAGTAATATAATAAGGAATTAGGGGAGCATTGGAAAGATAATCACTGGGAGGTGAGAAAAAAAGTTATCTCTCTGCTTCAGTCCCTTATTCTCATCTTTATAGATCAGTTCTCCCAGTGAGAAGCCAAATGGGATGTCATTCTTTGTTTGTTTGTTTCATTAATTCTTTGCAATCTATAGTAGGACTGTTGAGGAGAATGTATAAACTGCAGGTTACCAGCAGGTGGAAGGAGGGGAATGAGGGCAGGTGGTCCATAAGCAGAAATATTAATTCTTGACTGATTGGGACAGTGAATATTGACCAACATTGAAAACATTATATTATGGTCTTATTTAGGCCTGAACACTGACAGCCAGTTGACAAGTCTAATTTTTTATAACTTAAATGTGGTTCATTTAGGAAAAACTGCCATCAAGGGCAATTCAATTCTATTATGACAATTAACTCTGACTTTGAAGTAAGTAGAATAAATCAGTTTATTTCTCAGTAAGGCCCAAATAAACTGAGATTGTTGTGAAAATTATGCAGTTTGTGACTACAGTGTGGATGTTGTGTGTTGGGTTGTGCAGTGTACAACCTGCAAAGCTGTATGAGGCAACCTGGACATTCTACTCCTAGCTATATACCCAAAAGAAAATACATGTTTCTACAAAACCTTGTACAGAATGTTTATAGTACCATCATTCATAATAGCTAAAAAGTGAAAACAACCCAAATGTTCATAAACTAATAAGTGGATAAACAAAATGTGGTGTATCCATAAAGTAGAATATTATGTAGCCATAAGAAAGAATGGAGTACCACACGTGCTACAGCATGGCTGAACCTTGGAAACATTATGCTAAGTGAAAGAAGCCAGACACCAAACGGCACATACTGATTGTATGAGTACATTTAGATATGAAATATCTAAAATAGGTAAATCCATTGCCAGTGGCTGAAATGGGGAGTGATTGCTTAATGGGTATAGGGTTTTCCTTTGGGGGTGATGAAATGTTCTGGAATCAGACAGTGGTGGGGTTGCACAACCTTGAAAACTACTGAAAACCCTGTGAAATGTACAGTTTAAAATGGTTAAAATGATACATTTTATGTTGCATAAAAGAACATTTAAAAAAATTAATCCAGTGGGGTCTGATGGCAAATTGACATGAGGGAACTTTTTTGAGGGTGATGGAAGTGTTATCAATCTAGATTAGAGTGATGGTTGCACAACTGTATAAATTTATAAAAACTCATCAAACTGTACTCTTAAAATGTGGGTGTATTTTATGGTATGCAATTATACCTCAATAAAGCTGTTTAAAAAAAACCCTCTCTGAGTCATTACTGAAATCAGTGCCATTTTCTGAATTTCAGAAATATCAAAGGAGAGCTTTCCTAGTGTGAATTTATCATAAATAATGTTTGGTATTTTTTTTCCTTTGACTTAACGAGAGCCTGAGATGCAGAAACAAATCTGCACTTCCATGTTGTGTTACCCGCTTTGGGCCATGGCCCATTTGCCAGTTGCAGATTGCCTCCTTGTCTGAAAATGGGTGTGTTTCTTCATAGTAACTCTCAATTCTATTGTTGGTGACAGCGCAATAATGGAACTTTCTTCTGTGTGGATAAGCCCCTTCAGTGATATTTGCAAATCAAATCATATCTGCTTTTTGTGCTACATTGTCCTCAAAATCTTCTGATTGGTTTGGTTATAGACATCCCTATATCAGCTTTCCTGTTCTCTTTCAGTTTAAATATCTGTATGCTGTAGCAAATTGCATTATGAAATCCTCTCACATTTATCGCTGTTTAGTGCATGGAAATGGCATTTCCTCATTACCAGTCAAAGATAAACTCTAAATGTTTCTTTTTTTTTTTTTCCTGAAGTATCAAATTATGTATTCAAAAAACTTTTCTCTATAGCATTATTTCTCTGAGCTGTTTCTTTTTTCCCTCCTGAATGCTGACACCAGATGCAGTCTGCATGGACATTAGTCCCAGGGAAATCTTGTCTTCTACCCAGGACAAGGAGATTATAGGAAGCAATGCTGACTCTTGTTGTAGATTCACAATGTGCTGACACGATAATAGGACATGAATGGGCTTTTGGAATGCCTTTTCCTTTGAGCTGGGCTGAGAGGGGGACAGAGGCAGACAGCTCCATGGCCTGAATTTCGTTAGCTGTGTGACAATGGGAGAGATAAGTAGATGTGACAGTTATGAATGATCCTCTGTCATGCACTTTCACGTTCAGATTCAGATAAACTGACACTGCTGTCAAACACAAGCTATGGAGAGCTGAGACCTCTGATGAACCTTCTAATATGGTAAATGGGAGTCTTAATTCTTCATTAACTGAAAAAAGGAGATTTGGCCATGTAATTTTCTCCTTGCTGCCTGTTTTAAAGATTCCAATAACCCAGCATTTACAGTTGACTAGGCAGGGATTGCTTTTCCCCCCCTACACTTGCAACATGCAGACTGTGAAATCTGAGGAAACGCTGCTTAAACCCAGACTTATTGCCTTGGTTATCTTTAATGACTTTGAAATGTATTGGCCTCATTATGGAACAGTGCAGTTATCAATTCCTCTAATTAGGTGATGTGCTCCCATAAGAAATTTAACATTAAAGCACAAAAATGAACTCGTTAGAGGCATCTATTGCTGGGAACTTCAGTATCAATGGTGAATTGAAGATACTGTGTTTCGTTACCAACTCTTCTGCACCATACATCTGACTCCTCCTTGAAGACTAGAGCATGGGCATTTTTTTCTTTTTCCTTAAGGGTTTAATCCTCATATAGCACCTCTAACACCTTTGATGACATTTTAGTGCTTCTGGATAGTAAACTGTGTGCCTTTGACTAAATCGACTAGGAGTCTAGGGAAGGGAGGAGGTGAGCAGTTTACATTTAAATGCTCCACATATCAGCCCATCTTTCTTTCTTGGAATTTAACCCATGGCTATTTACTCTTTCTTATGTAAGTCCAATAAACTTCCTTTCTATAAGTAGCTTAGTACAGTCTTTGTTTTTATCACGATAGGGACCATTATTTGTTTATTAAATAGTGATGCTGTTTCACTCATAAATATTTCAGCTGTATTTCTAGAGAAGTAGGATGGGGTTTCTGGGTTTAGGCTTCAGTGAAGGGACTTTAAGTCTCTTAACCCTTCTTTACCTCAATCATCCATCTGAACAAAAAAAATCATTATAGCCTCCCCTTTGGGGAAACTACATAGTTTAATTAGTGTTTTCTAATAACTTACAAATCCTTAGAGAAAAGTTATAGTAGAAGCATAAGAAATTATCTTTGGGGTTAGTTTATTATTATTGCTATTATTATCATTATTACTATATGGGACTAGTTGTTTTTTTAAATTGGCTACTTGAAAATGTGTTTCAGATCTCATGGAGTGAAATTTACCTTTCATTTACCTTAGGGCTCAAATAAGAGTATACTGAATATAAAAATATGGAACACTAATTTCTTTAAAATACCTGAACCTATTAATAGCCAGGAGTGTTAACTTCGTCACCTGGAAGAAGATCCTGTCCTAACTTGAAAATGTTAGAATGAAAACCTTAATCGTCTCCTCTCAAAGGGTCATTGAGGAAGCTGGGCTTGAGTCTGTGCAGCTGTTCTTCAATAATGTTATATCATTCTGAACCAATTATCATCCTTAACCCAGATTTGCTTTGAATCTCTGTGGCATCTTGACTACTGTCTATAACAACGGTGATTGCCAGACACTGCCTGATGCTCAGGTTTCTATCAATCCTCTTCTTCTCCTCACAGCAGGTAGGAGCTTCTTGGTGTTCCGCTCCTTACCCAGGCTTGAGGAATAGTCCTACTTTTTGCCATGATGCCTTGCTGCAGTTCTGGCTCTTCCCTTGTGCTGTTGTTCTCTTTGTCATGCAGGTTTCCCAGTATCTTAGTAGAAGCCTTGAACAATTCCTATTACCTTTTCAGACCTTCCTTCCAAGAACTGGGGGATGGGGGTGTTCTGGTCTTGTCACAGGTGGGTGCCACATGTAAGGACCCACTGGTTCATGGGATTCTTTGAGAGAGTCTGACGCTCACTTGTCTGGGTTAAAAGTCTGGTGCTGACACCTGCTTTCTGAATGACTTTAAGCAAGTTATTTGACTTCTCTTTGCCTCAGTTTCCTGCCTACAAAATGAAGATAATAGCGCCTGTCTTATCAAGGTTCTTAGAGAAGATTAGATGCATTAACACATGTAAAGCACTTAGAACGCTTTAAGTCACATAGTAAGCATTAATAAATATCAGTTGCTAACAGCTTTTGCTTCTGCTCTGTTACCATTTTACTATCTCACCTCTCTCATAGCCCATAACAGCAAACCAAACTCTTTGGCTCTTGGTAGATATATTATTCTTAATGTTTGAGCCCTACTATTTGCTATTGCTTCCTTTTTTACTCCTATAATGTGTGAAATTGAAATAAAAAACAGAATTGAGGCCAGGCACAGCAGCTTGTTCCTATAATTCCAGTGCTTTGGGAGGCCAAAGTGGAAGGATCGCTTAAGCATAGGAGTTTGAGGCTGCAGTGGGCTATGATAGCACCACTGTACTCCAGCTTAGGTGACAGAGCGGGACCTTGTCTCAAAAAAAACAAACAAAAACAGAATTGGTCACCATGATATTAAAGAGCCATGAAATATATTAGCATGTCTTTTTTCTGCCTATCCCCTCTATCCTAAACATTCCATGTAGTCTTGGGAAATAAATTCTTTAAGGTAGGCCAGTTATTATGAATATAACATGATTATCTATTGTGTTATGTTTACTGGGTTGATGCCAAGGAAAAATGAATATGGCAGGTCCCAGCAAATAACAACAACAACAAAAATAGTATTGTCTACTATTTCACAGAGGGTGTGGAGTTAGTATTGGGTTTTGAAGGATGAATAGGAGTTTATCAGATGAGGAGGATTGAGAAGAGCATTCAGGGCAAAGGTATGTGGAAAAATTGGTGTGGTAGTACACGCCAATCCTGGGACCTTCAAGTTGAACATTTAGGAGTGTAGTGTTTATGTTTCAGAAGCAGAGGATGAGTGGAGAGGGCAGCAATAGAATGGCATTAAGACCCTTGTACAGTATACTAAGGAGTTTGGACTTAATCCTGTGGGCATGCAGGACCCTTTGAAAGATTTGCAGTGGGAAAGTGATCGGATCTGATTTGCTAACTCATTGCAATGGCTCTGTGGAAGAATATCTTGGAGAGGGGTTCAAGACTTGAGCCAGGGGACATATCAAGTAGTGTTTCAAATGCTAACTACCCCCTCCTGCTTCTCACATTGCTAAATAGAGTGCAGCAGAATGAGGTGTACTTCTGAAGACAGGTTTTTGAATCAGCTTTCCAGCAGTCCCTTGAGTACATTGAGAGGGTGCATGGAGGGAAGACATATCATCTTTACCCTGCCCTCTCCCCATGTTAATCTATTAAAAGAGATGGGAGCAAAGCTGCTATCACATTGGGCTTGACTGAAGACAGAAGTCCTTGAGCATCCTTCCCCTGAGTGCGGGCAAGCCTCGTGCTTGCAGAGGAGAGGAGATTAGAATAACATCTTCACTCTTCGGTGAGAGGGCAGGCAGACCCTCACACTAGATGGTTCCACCCCGGAGTTCAGGCTTCTCCTGACAAGTGTTGCGAGCATCTGATGTCCTTGGCCTCTCTTCTGCACTGCTTACCTTACAGCAGTTAAGCATGAGGGCATTCTGTGTCTTCCTTTCTTTCCCTTCAGTTGCTTAAAGAAGATGAGAATTTGCTTTAAAGAAAAATATTAATAAATCTTTATAAAATGGCATTAAATAGAAAATCTCACACTCTTTTCTTCAGAATGCTTTTCTTCAATTGCCATTGTATCTTTTTGCCCCTTCCAAAGTCTTACCAATTATTATTAATATATATTATCATAATTACTTGTAGAAAATCAATAGAATTGCTTGTCTTTATCAGCAGTGCTACCTTTCTACCTCTCTCTCCCTTTTCATCCTCTCTTCGTCTCTTGCGAATTGTTGTTTCTGGGGGTATTATTATTGTAATTACGGAAATTGATAAAAATACCATGACAATTTCATGCCTCAGAATTATTACACAGGGTTTATAAAAAAAGATTATTATACATCAATGCAGTATTTGTTATTCCTAAATGATTATTCCAGAAATACTAATCAAAAACATCTCCCTGCAGAATAGTACTGTGGCTTTAATATCAGCTGCTGTTTCTTTGAATGGGGTTGCCCAATCTTTCATCAAAGAAACACATCACCCATATCCCTGTCTTTAAAAACAGCAATTATGTGTAAATGCCTCCTGATTTATTTGAGCCAGGGCCACTGGCCAGTATGAGTCACCACAATTTATTGCTAACCGTCACTTTTACATGATAGGTCTGTAACAAATATCTGCCGCATATTGTTAAATTAATCTTCCATTTAAAATTAATGGAGTTAGACTCCCCAGGTTCAATGTAATTTCATGTTCACGGGCAGGGAGGGATGTGTGCTGCATACAAAATGAGACAAGGCCCAACGCCCTAATCTTTCATCACCTTGAACCTGGAGACTAGGACGCGTCTCAGCACCAACTAATGAGATTGAGCCTGCGTCTCTCCTGAGGATGCCGGCTCAAAGAGGCTTTTCTGCTCAGAAATAGCAGGCTCTGTCTTATTTTAATAATTCCTCAGATATGACAAGTCTGATGTTATGTATGAAAGAGCCAGGCTTGAAAAAGAGATAAAATGAATTTTATATCATTACTTCAAAACCAAACCAAGGGAAGTGTGTTGTAGTTAAATTAAAAAAAAAAAAAGATAGGACACATTTTAGTCATGAAATATACTGACTGTAAACCAGGAGTCATCCTTTCATTTATTTTAATGCACAATCACCTTAGATTTCTCTTCTGTAATTTTTAAACCTATTCATGCGTTAATCAAAATAATGTGGATGAAAGCAGGAGCTTGTTCAATAAACATTTAGATGAAAATATCAGAGGGGACATGTAATTCCTGATGGGGTATGTCATACTGAACCTCTGAAGTCCCATCGCTTCTTTTGGTGGCATCTTTTGAAAATGCATCTTTTTTCTGTGTACCACTAACCTATTACTGTTTAGTCTCTTAGACTTTAAAAATGCCTAAGCCAAATTACTCAGGGGTATTGGGTTCTCTCGTTTTTTTTTCTGTCTTTTTCACAAACCAGGTAACTATTTTGCATCCATGGAAAAGAAGGTTTTACAGAACAGATTTCGGCTCTCATACATCTATAGTACTTCTGGCAAATGGTTGCTGTTTTTTTGTTTGTTTGTTTGTTTGTTTTAATTCTTAGGGAGGACTGAGCCCCAGAGACAATGGGACCCTTTTCCTAGGTAAAGAAAACGTCTCTAGAAAGACACTAAGTTAAGAGCCAGGCAAGGTGGTGCACACTTGTAGTCCCAGCTACTTGGAAGGCTGTGACAGAGAATTGCTTGAGCCTAGGAGTTCAAGACCAATCTAGACAAACATAGCAAGACCTCCAGATAAGGTAAACTTCCTGGTTTTTAAAAATTCTGTGAGTTGAGTTCTGCTTCCTCAGAGGGGAATTCTAAGTATCTGCACTTTGTGTCTGATTTATTTATTTTATTTTTTTGAGACAGGGTCTCACTCTGTCTCCCAGTCTGGAGTGCAGTGGCACGATCTTGGCTCACTGCAACCTCCACCTCCTAGGCTCAAACAATCCTCCCACCTCAGGAGGGAGCTGGGACTACAGGTGCCTGCCACAACACCTGGCTAATTTTATATGTTTTTGTAGAGACAGGATTTCATCATGTTGCCCAGGCTGGTCTTGAATTCCTGGGTTCAAGCAATCTGCCGGCCTCAGCCACTGTGCCTGGCCTGTGTCTGATTTATAATACAACATATGATTGATTTTAAAGCTCTTTTTTGTGATTTGTTGTAATTTGGGACCACAATAATTTTTTTTCCAACCCCTTCTTCAGACATACATAATAAAATTTCTAAAGAAGTAGTATTGGTATTATACTACCTATAGCTTTTATTATTATTATTATTATTATTTTACTGGCATTCTATAACTTAGAATTCTATTTTCTTACAATCTTTGTATATTTAAATGAACATTAGGGATAGAAAAAATGTAAACTCTAATACAAGAATCAAGTATAGTCACTTAATTGACACGTGCAGTTTTAAAAATTATAGTCACCCCTTGGTATACTGAGGGAATTGGTTCCAGTACCCCCTCACCTTCACCCCCATATATATTCAAGTCCTGCAGTGGGTCCTGCAGAGCCCTGTGTATGAAAAGTCGGCCCTCTGTATGTGTGGGTTTTGCATCTTTTGAATACTGTATTTTAAATCTGCATTTGGTTGAAAAAAGTCTGCATGTAAGTGGATCAAAACCCATGTGGTTCAAGGGTCAACTGTGTATCACTTTGATAGGCTATTTATAAGAGAAGATTTTAAAAATATTGCTCCATGTCTGTACTTGAATAAGATTTAGAAAATCTTAGGGGTATTTTAGAACCAGATAAATTAGTAAAAATAATGATACTGTAAATTGGAAAATAAATGAATAATAGTAGGGCATCTTTCTCCATGAACCTGAATTGCTTTGCTTTCCTCTCTTTTGATGTCTGTAAGCTGTTGCGTTTTGTACAGTGGGCCTCAGGGTGCTTCGTGAGTCCCAAATACCAGATTTCTTTTTCTCTCTTCTACTTATAGTATATTTGCCTTAAGTTCTTGATATTTTCTTCTGCCCTCTTTTCTTCTTTTAATATCTTCAGCATTTTTCTTCTTTTTTCTTTCTCTCCCTCTTTCCTTCCCTTAAAAGGGCTTCTTTATTTTATATAGAAACTCATCTTTTTTTGTTTTGAGACAGGGTCTTGCTTTGTTGCTCAGGCTAGAGTGCAGTAGTATGAATCATGACTCTACTGCAGTCTAAACCTCCCTGGCTCAAGCGATCCTCCCACCTCAGCCTCCAAAGTAGCCTGGACCTCAGGCATGCACCACCATGCCCAGCTAACTTTTGTATTTTTTTAGAGACAGGGTTTTGCCATATTGCCCAGGCTGGTCTTGAACTGAGCTCAAGCAATCTGCCTGCCTCAGCCTCCCAAAGGGCTGGGGTTACAGGAATAAGACACTGTGCCCAGCCTTCAATTTTTTTGTTATTGTTGTGAGTGAGTGAGTGAGAAAGAGAGAGAGAGCGCAGGTTGATATGCTCAAGCTTAAGGTCTGTAATGGGTTTAAAGCTCCAAGTTTTATAATCGGAATGGTAGAGACGGAAAGGATCTCTGATCTAATCCATCCTCCATTTCATAGGTAATGCCATGGAGGCCTGAAAAGGTTAAGGTTCTCAAAGATCAAAAATGTATCCTTTTGGAAAGTATTATAGTGGTTCCTCAAAAAAATTTAACAGATAATTACCATATATGATTCAGCAGTCACACTTCTGGGTATATAATCGGAATTAAAAACAGGGACTTGGACAGATACTTATATTCCAATGTTCATAGAAGCATTATTCATAATAGCTAAAAAGTGGAAACAGTCCACATGTATATCAGTTTGTAAATGAATAAATAAAATGTGGTATATCCATAGAACAGAATATTGTTGTTACTTTTGTTTTTGAGTTGCATTTTATTCTGTCACTGGGGCTGAAGTACAGTGGCACAATCACACCTCGCTGCAGCCTCAAACTATGGGGCTCAAGAAGTCCTCCTGCCTGGTACTACAGACATGAGCTACCATGCTCAGCCTGGAACATTATTACCTAGCCTTAAAAAGGATGATAATTCTGACAGTCTGCAATACGAATGAATCAATGTAATTTGAAAACATTATGCTGATTGAAATAAACTACACACAAAAGGATAAATATTGTGGGATTTCACTGCTATGAGGTACCTAGAGTAGTCAAACTCACAGAGACAAAAAGTCACCAGGAACTGGGAAGAACAGTGGGATAGGGAGTTACCCATTCATGGGCACAAGGTTTCATTTTGGGATGATGAAAAAGTTCTGCAAATGAATGTTGGTGATGATTAATAATGTGAATACTCTTAATGCCACTGACCATATACTTAAAAATGGTTAGAATGGTAAAAAAAAATTTGTATATTTGCCACAATAAAATACACAGACACTGGTATGATTTGGCTCTGTCCCCACCCAAGTCTTATCTCAAATTTTAGTTCCCATAATCCCCATGTGTTGTGGGAGGGATCTGGTGGAGAGAATTGAATCATGGGGGCAGTTTCCCCCATTCTGTTCTTGTGATAGTGAGTACTCACAAGGTCTAATCATTTTATAAGGGGCTTTTTTCTTCTCTGGGCACTCATTCTTCTCTCTCCTGCCACCTTGTAAAAAAGGATGTGTTTGCTTCCCCTTCTGCCATGATCGTAAGTTTCCTGAGGCCTCCCCAGCCATGCAGAACTGTGAGTCACTTAAGCCTCTTTCCTTTATAAATTACCCAGTCTTGGGCAGTTCTTTATAGCAGCATGAGAACGTATTAATACAGACACGCACACATTCTTTTATTACCTGAGAAAATTTCTGGCAATTAGTATGTCTGTCCTCCTCTGCCTCCATCTCTGTAGCTAACATTTGGACATTCCTCTGTTTCAGTTTCAGATTTGCTCTCATAATGTTTTTGAATGTTACATCTTTCCCTTTCTTATTTCAGTTTTCTTTTTTTCTGACATTGAGTACGTGCTTTGTGATAGTCACTAGAGATACAAATAGCTCAGAATCAAAGAAAGAGTGTACATGAAGTATTTTCAAGAATATGCCTATAAAATATTCAACGATTTCTCAGAAAATATCAATTGTAAAATAAATAAAATACAACAAAACTTTCTTATTTGCACAAATGCGTAAAGTACATGTAGTCTAATTTAAGTAGTTTTTATTTTTTTTCTCTAAAGTAAATTTTGTGACTTTTTTTTTTTTTTTGAGATGGAGTCTTGCTCTGTCACCCAGGCTGGAGTGCAATGGTGTGTGTGATTTCGGCTCACTGCAACCTCTGCCTCCCGGGTTCAAGTGATTCTCCCACCTCAGCCTCCCGAGTAGCTGGGATTAGAGGTCCCAGCTACCACACCCAACTAATTTTTGTATTTTTAGTAGAGATAGGGTTTTGCCATGTTGGCCAGGCTGGTCCCTAACTCCTGAATTCAGGTGACCTGCCTGCCTCAGCCTGCCAAGGTGCTGGGATTACAGGTGTGAGCCACTGTGCCTGGCCCAATTTTGTGACCATTTCATATAATATTATAAGTATTCCTTTACTAAGGCAACCTGTTAATATAGGTCTCTCAGTTGCAGGCTTTTCTTATTCTATGGATTGACTAAGAAGCCCCCAAAAATCCTTATGAGGAAAGATAGAGTCATGTGTCATAAGAGAAGGCTAGTAATAGGCTTGAGTTTCAAAGAAAAGAGTTTATCAGACTGAGGAGTAAAGAACGTTGGTAACTGGCCTTCAAAAGATAGTTAAGATTGCATCCGGAAAGATGTGGGGAAGGGGATGTAAAATGGATAGCAAGGCAGGATAGCAACAGGGCATTCTTGGAATAGACAACCATCCATTTGTTCTCAGTGTGAAATATACATGGTTTTGTAATGGGAATTAAGGCCGAAATGGCATGTCAAGGCCAGTAGTTGAGAGCTTTGTAGGTCACATTGAAGAGTTTGTATTTGGAGTTTGATGGACTCCTAGGATGGATCTGTCCAGTGGACAACTGGATTTCAGACCTAGGAGAGCCTCTATAGAGGTATTAATTGAAGCCTTTGGATGATCGAGATTGTGAAGATAGAATATAAGACAGAGCCTCTTGAGCATTTCTCCCTTAGTGAGAAGAAGGTGGTGATACACAGAAGGAACCTTCAGCAAGGTGAGAATGATAGATAAAGGATGGACTTTCCCCAAGAAACCTGGCAAGGGAGTGATCAGGAGTGTTAATACTGTCACAGAGACTTTAAAGAGGATCACAAATGAGGGGAAACCTTGGATTTTAATCTTGACTCTTAGTACTCAAGGAAACTGCATGTTAAGATGTGGTAATTAAAGTATTAAAATATTCTAAGGGTCCCTTGCACTCTCCCTTTCTGTGCCCATTGTGACAGCATGGTCACATCATTGCTTGAGGCATGCAAGAGTGCTTTATTGAAGATAGTATTACGGGGGGAGATTTTATTTTGATAGAGAGTAACAAATAGACTAATAATCTATCTTAAAGTAAGTATCTTAAAGTCAGTAGGCAAAGGAGAAAAAAAGATATTGATAAGGAAAGCATCTGCAGGACAGATTCTAGATTTCTGTTTTTTGTTGTTGTGTATGTCAGGGCCCAGACTATGTAAATGATAGGGCAAAATGTGAGTAGCAACATAGTCTTATTAGAAACCTAAATATCTACAAAGAGAGCAAAAAACTATCAAGTCAAGAATATGTTACCCATTTTAGTAAAAAGGTTAGATTTCATTTGCCTTGTGTATTTGTGTGTGTGTGTGTGTGTGTGTATGTATGTATGTGTGTGTGTGTGTGTGTGTGTGTATGACAGTACTGTATTAGGAATGCTTAGTAGGCATTTGGAGAAGTTTTGGGTGATTGGTAACATGAACCATTCTTCCCTTTAATCTGGTGCATCTGAACATATTCCTGGGCAGAAGGTATACCTGTGCACATTACAGACGTTTGTGGGTACTTTTATTTCATTATCCTCAAGCAAGAATACGAGATTGCTATATTCTACATTAGACCAACTTGTTCTTAGCAAGCACAGAATAATAACCTTTCAGTGTGAATGTTTGTACATAATAGTAGTAGGATGTATTTTGTGGTATTTTTTAAATGAGGATTCATTTTAGGCTTGGCACAGTGGCTCACGCCTATAATCCCAGCACTTTGGGAGGCTGAGGCAGGAGGATCGCTTGATTGAGCCCAGGAGTTTGAAGCCAGCCTGGGCAACATAGTAAAACTTCATCTCTACGAAAAGTACAAAAATTAGCTGGGTGTAGTGGCACATACCTGTGGTCCCAGCTACTTGGGAGGCTGAGGTGGGAGGCTTGAGCCTGGGTGGTGGAGGCTGAGTGAGTGAGAGTGTGTCACTGCACTCCAGCCTGGGTGACAGAGTAAGACAGTCTCTCAAAAACATACATACATACATACATACATACATACATACATACATACATATGTACATGCATACATACATGCATACAAATGAGGATTCACTTTAAAAAGCATTGAAATGTAAATATCAGCTATACCTGAATGTTTATAATTTAAAGGTAAGATTGTCATTAAAGGAAACCTTAGGAATTTCTCAGACATACTGAAAATCAGCCCGAAAGTGTTTTCTGTTGTTTGGTTGTTGTCGTTCTTTTAGGATTTTATGGAGTACTCTCATTACTTATCACTTAGACCAAAAGAGAATGTCAAACTGCCAACAAAGTTGTTTTTTCTACATTTCTACTAAATAATGTTAAGTAGTCAGGTTCATCTTTGGAAGGAAGATTCTTAAGTGCTTTGGCCTCCAGTAGTTTAGATGAGACTTCTTAAAACTCAAAATCATTTTATTGGAAAATGCTTTATTTTCTGTCTTTGTGAATTATATTTATAATAATGCATTTAATTTAGGCCTTGGGATTTTGTATACCTTTGGGTGGGCCTCTTCCTCTTCTCCCCCTGCATCTCTAATAAGCACTGAATATCAAATTGAAACCATGATATTCTGAAATCGGAAAGTTTCTGCCTTTTGCAGCTTATTTGATGGGAATAAAAATGACTGATGGCACTCTCTCTTGGACCCTTTTGTTCAACTCACCTATGATTATGGAGCCTATTAGCTGGAGTTACAACCTATTTAAGAGCAGTGCTTACCAGTAATGGGGGCCAAATGATTTTGGAAAGTTCAGATGTACTGGACTCCCTGCAGAAATGAATTCAGCACTGAACATATTGATGCAGAACCCGAACGAGGCTACTCCAGTGGGACAAAGAGAATTGTGAGCTCTGCAAGAAATGAGTGGGTAGTAGAATTAAAGATCAGATAGATGTTCGGCTCAAGGGCAGTCTCAGCTCTTAAGTTCATCACAGCAATTTAATCAGGCCCAAATGAGCGTTGCCCAGAAAGGAATCAGCCTTCGGTGTGACAGGAAATGGAGTTTATTTAAAAGATTCTTTGTTTCTAGTAATTGTGTGTTAAGGTTTTCCAAGTCTACACTAAAATTACGGAACTACTACATTTGATAGGTGATAGCACTTTGGTTTACCTTGGTTCAGAAGATGTACTGTTGAGAAGATTTATACAAGTCATGATCTTGTCCAGAAGGAGCCTGCCACCTCAAAAGTTCCAGCTCTATCGTCTTTTGGATTAAGTAGGCCAGAGTGCATCTTTGGCTATAGCTATCTGATGCCCCCTTCCATTGTAAAATTATTTTCACAAAAATATATTTGTCTACAGTAAGAGTTATATAATATAGCAGTAAAGACCACAAACTTTAGAATGAGGCACACCTGGGTTGGAATCCCACCTCCTCCACTTGTTAGCTATATGACCTTGAGCAAATTACAACTGTAGTTGAACACATAGTTCTTTACTTACGAAATGAGAATAATAATTCCTGCCTCACAAGATTATGGGGAGAGGTCAATTAAATGATGTAGTATGTATCAGTTGCTTCACAATGTCTGCACATAATAAGGGCTCAATAAATAGTAGTTACAGCTCTAGAGCTCTCTCATCTTGTCCCTCACCTCATTTGCCCACTCCTCTACTCTCTTCATGAGCCAGAGTGTTCACTGCTTTAGGAATAAGTGAGGGAAACTTTTTTTTTCTTTTTTCTTTCTTTCTTTTTTTTTTTTTTTTCCGAGACAGAGTCTCGCTCTGTCCCCAGGCTGGAGTGCAGTGGCACGATGTCAGCTCACTGCAACTTCTGCCTCCCGGGTTCAAGCGATTCTCATGCCTCAGCCTCCTGAGTAGCTGGGATTATAGGTGCCCGCCACCATGCCCGGCTGATTTTTTTTTTTTTTTTTTTGTATTTTTAGCAGAGACAGGGTTTCACCATGTTGGTCAGGCTAGTCTCGATCTTTTGACCTTGTGATCCACCTGCCTCGGCCTCGTAAAGTGCTGGGATTACAGGCGTGAGCCACTGTGCCCGGCCAAATAAGGGAAACTTTTTAGAGGATCTTTGGCTTCAGTCATGGAGAAAAAGAAGAAACTATAAACACTTGGAGGTCTGAACAGTTCATTGATTGTTAAGAACCCAAACAAAAACACTCCGTCCCCAACCCCGACACAACAATACAGTGGGGTATTTTGGATTGACACATTATTAGCCTGGAAACCTATATTGACAGCCAGGTTATGATTTTACACATGTAATAAGAAGAGTCTATTGGTTTTTCTTCTTTGTTGCTCACTAGTTCTTAAGTTTGCTCACTAATGTATAGGTATTTTTGTCTAACACTGACAAAATTTGAAAAGAAGTATAATAAATTTATTAGGATTTTACTTCTCTCCTTCATGGACCTGGCAAATAGTGTATCTATGTCTCCATACCCATATCCACGTTCTTATTTTTTTTATCTGTATCTATTATCTGTCTCTGTGTGTGTGGAAAGTGATAATGAATGAATGAATGAATGATAAAAGATCCAAACTATGAACTTTATGGATATCGGGGTAAACATCCAACAATCCCTTAAATTTGGTGCACTCAAGTAAAAGCTGAACTGGAGAGAGTTGACCAGATCCTCTTAAAGTTAAGCTTTTTATCCCTCTGCCCATAATTTGTACCTTGAGATCCTATAGGGATGTGCCTAGGCCTGTGTGAATGGCAGCCTCATCTATGCTGTACCTGCAGTACAGACCAGCCTCATCTGTGCTTTACCTGTAATACAGAGCGAAACATATCTAGAGAAAGAGATTAGTTTGCAATTAGGGGGATCCCACCCATTCCACAGCTTGGCCCAGTGGAGGTTCCCTGCTTTGATCGTCTCTTGGTGAAGAGAAGAAGAGACAGCAAGTGCTGTAGAAAGTTTTCTTCTTTGTAGTTAAAGTGATAGGGTGGAAACAGGAGCATAGAAAAGACATTCAGAGAATAGAAAGTGACCAACCATTTGAAAACCTAAAGGAAGACCTGGGTTCAAACATTTGTTAACATACAGAGAAGAAAAATATGATCTGTTTGGGGTATTACAATCCAGTGTGTATTTTCTATCATACTTACCAAATGTACTTACTTGTTGTAAACATTTAATATTTGTTTAGTGCTTTGAAGATTCGGAGTAATGTTTCAGATCTACATATTGTATCAATAAGCAAATAACATATGCTAAGCACTTAAAGGCTATTGTCATTCTCCAGCTAGTACAGAGCAAATGTGAAAGGGTAAAGACTATGTAATTTCAGGTGCGGTTTCAGTGAGGAAGCCAGAACAGCAGTCTACTCTTATCTGCTGCTTTCTTCCACCCCAACCCCCTGACCCATAACAACAAAAATCAAACCCAGAACAAACCGCATAGATTGATCAAAGAGCATAACATGCATTGTTAGGATTTCAGATATGTAGACAGAAAGTCAGATTAAGCTTTAATGATAATTTTGAGTTCTTGGAGCAATGCTCATTGATTACAATGTGTGTGTGCTGGGGAGCAATATTTGGGGTACCCATACCTTCCCTGGGCATGTTAACCTTGTGGGGCTTGCCTTGTTTCAGAACATGTTTCCTATTAAAAAAAGATGACTGTAAAATCGTAGGCCTTTTCTAGCATGCACCTCAAAACTCTTCCAGCCTCTACCCATCACCCAGTTCCAAAGCCACTTCTGCTTCCACATTTTAGTTATTTGTTACAGCAGTACCCTCCCTTCTTGGTACCAGTTTTTGTCTTAGTCCACTCAGGCTGCTATAACAAAATACCAAAAACTAGGTAGCTTATAAACAACAGAAATTTATTTCTGACAGTTGTGGAGGCTGGGAATTACAAGATCAAGATGCTGGCAGGTTCACTGTCTTGTGAGGCCTAGTTTCTGGTTGTAGATGGCACCTTCTAGCTGTGTCCTTTACATGGTAGAAGGGGTACACGAGCTCCTAGGGCCTTTTTTCTAAAGGCACTAATTCACTCATGAAGGCTTCACCCTCATGACCTAACCACCTCCACTAAAGGCCCACCTCCTAATACCATCACCTTGGTAGTTAGGATTTCAACATGTAGATTTTGAGTGGACATAAACATTCAGACCACAGTCCCTGTGAAGAAGGTATTTGTTATTCTGGCAGTGCAGGAGCAAGCTAGCACACTTGCCATATTTAGCTGATAGAAGTAATGTGAAATGAACCGTTAGGAGGAGGGATTTTGTGGAAGAAGGAATGGCGGACTGAGCAAGATAAAATATGGAGAATTGCTCCCTCTTCAAGAAACGCCTCCATCCTGATGTATATCAGCTTTCATATCCCCATGGATATTTTACAGGCATTGCTACCTCTTTAAACATTTATGCTATTAAAAAAATCAGACCAATTGTTGACATAAAGCTAACATAGCAGCTTCTATATAGACAGAATATGAATTTTTTATGCTGTTGATGAGAAGTTTATGTCATTTATATACTATAGTAGGGTAGAAGATGGATTTGGAATCCTGAAAAAGCTACTGTTTGTACCATTCAGAATATTAGCTTGTGCTTTGAATCGAAATATTAAGATACCTGTATTGTCAATGTGAGTGTTTCTGTGCAAAGTGGCTTACATATGGGTGGAATGGGAGAAATTGCTCTACCTGGAGAAAATAGCAATAGTTTTCTTTCGTTTATGTTTTGTTTTGTGAAAGGAAGGGTTAATAGCATTTAATACCTGATTTATCTGTGCTTCTCTGCACCATTAAAAGAATGAACTGTTGTGGTAATAAAACCATATTTCATTGAATTAAAAGTGCCATCACTTGCAAGATGCAACATTATTTTATGTACCTCTAAAAAACTACACTAACAAACTGACATGTCAAACTGACATGCCATTGATGTTAAGATGCATTCCAATTTCAGAGATGTAAATATACTTTAAAATGTATATCTTGGAATCAATGAAATACTGCATATAGTTCTTTTGTGGTATGTGTATATATGTATGTATACACACACATATATACATATGCCACAAGAGAATAAAGTATACTTCTATTTGGTTATAGTCTATAATATTTTGAATCATTTTACTGAGTTAGGTTTTACTTATTTTTTAAAGTTGCTGTTGACATCTGTTTGATACCATTCATTTAACATGGCATGAATTTAGAATCTCTACTTAGAATAGTCCTTTGGAAGCCCTAGTTTGTTGAGTTTTCAAAAGAAAAAAGAGTCTGGTGCAAGGAGGCAGACTGACATTCAAGTCAGATCATTTTTTAAAAAAGGAAAGAAAGGAGGGAGGGAGGAAGGAAGAAAGGAAGGAAGAGGTTCATCCTGTCAGTTAGGAACCAGCTATCTTACTTTTCAAAGACAAAATCAGATCATACTAGTATATCACAATCCCGTAGTTTATCTAATTGCATATTTATAATTCTTCTTGGATGGTGTCTCTCATCTTGGATTACCTCTCTCACCCAAAATCATATTTTATTTTGTTTTGTCATTATAAAATTTACTATATGATCATTGCAAAACAAAAACAAAAAATTACCAGTACATATAACAATACTGGATGTCATATATTAAGTTCACAATAAATTATGGCGATTTTTCCACATCAATACCTTATCTTCATGTTTCACATCAATACATAATCTTAATTTTTAGTGACTGCATATTATATCATTGTATAGTAAAACATAATTTTTAACCATTTCCCTATTGATGGACATTTAGATTGGTTGCAGTTTATCACTTTAATGGCATGGCTGCCATGTACTTTCTTTTTGTCACACTTACCCAGTGATCATTTTAGGATCAATTCCTAGCAATTTCTGGATTGCTGGATCAAAGGCTCTGTCTTCATGTTATTATGTGTTGGGAAGGGACCATTTCCTCATCTGTTCACCAATACAGGATATCAGCCATCTCCCACCCCACCCCATCTTTACCTACTTGATTGGTTAAAAAAAAAATCTATTTTTGTTTTTATTAGCATTTTTAAAATTGTAGTTGAGGTTGAACACCTTTTCATATGTTTTGGCCTTTTCAGAGTGGTTCTTGATAATAGAAAGCACAGCAGGTCAGAGAGCAAAAGGTCTTAATGAACT
This sequence comes from Homo sapiens, assembly GCF_000001405.40. Taxonomy (NCBI): domain Eukaryota; kingdom Metazoa; phylum Chordata; class Mammalia; order Primates; family Hominidae; genus Homo; species Homo sapiens. Next base: position 70,284,668 of record NC_000007.14, read on the forward strand.
TCCATTCTGCTTCACAGAAGCCTATGAGGTTTTGAGGTAACTTTCTCAAGTTCGTTATAAAGAAGATGAAACTGATAGAAAATAACTGTGATGTAGAGATGGGGTCTGGCCCACTTTCAGCTGGTCTACTCTCCAGCACTGGAAAGGAAGACTGAGCATCAGAAAGCCAGGGAAGATCCCTCCAGAGGTCCAGGATTGTTCTGAGGAATACTGAAATCAAAAACTCTAGACTCCTTCCTGCTTTCTGAGATGCAGGGATTTGACAGAGAGGTCAAAAAAGGGCCCCTTTCCTCTGCATGTGCAGCTTTTATTTACTATTGTTTCCTTTTTGTTGTATTGAAATGTCTTCATTGCTTGCCTTTATGGATACAAATAACCGGATACTGTAATTTGAAAGTAGTTAACAATGAAACTGCATAGTATGAGCCATGCTGATTTTTTTTTTTAGTGGGCAAATGGGGTGATTTCTCTATGAGCCTCTCTGCTGTCAGAAGCTCTTAACATTTGAGTCAACATGGGAATTATATTTGGAATAAATTAGTAAATTCCCATTCAGCATGCCTATACCATGTAATCTTCAGGAACCGTAATGACTGTGTAGTAGAGTATATTTCCAACTTGGTATTTATAAAACACATTTGCTCTGAGAAACCCTTCAGTATTTGTTCCTCAAGGCCCAGCCCTCATGCTGCCTCCTTTGTTAGTCAGTGTTTATTTTGTAATAGTTGGGACAGTGTTGTACAGTGGAAACCCATTTGTCTTTGGAGTTAGCCCAGACATAAATGGACTCTTAGGCCTGCTATTTACTAGCAGTATTCTCATGTTTGGAAATCAGGAGCAATGTAATTGTTGAGACAATTTATTTTAATGAGAGTAAGTCATGCAGTAAGCATCAATCTTAGCACATATACATGTTGTCTTTTTTTGTCTCCCTGAAATCTTCTTCAGCTGCTTCCATGTACTGATATCTTCTTCCAAATTCCTTAAGAGCCTTCATCTGGGTCATACATTGACATTTATTTGATACTTAATATTGATAGTTATCTCTTGATGTTTGTGTATGTCTTTGTATCCATAGGATCCTCCATTAGCACATGTATTCATTCATCAAATATTTATTGAGCCACTTCTGTATATTAGGCATAGAGTAAGATGCTGGAATATGTTAATGAACAGGAGATGTGGTCACTGTGCCCTCCTAATGCTTACATCCCAGCAGGCAAGACCTATATGAAACAAAGTTTGAATTACTAAATGAAAGACATGGCAGTTGCTATTAGCAATGTTGTAAGGGGCTGTGAATGTAGACTAGCTTGTACATGACATTTGAGCTGATATCTATTGGCTGAGTAAGAGTTAGCCAGGTAGAGGTGGGAGTGATAAGTCTTTAGGCAGAGAAAGCAGCACGTTCAAAGACTCTGAAACAGGAAAGGACTTGTTTCAGTGGTGCAATAGAGGATGAGCAAAATGTTCTCAGAGAATGGAGTGCAGAAAGCAGGCCTTCAGAGAGGTCATTGGCAGCGTAAAAATGGGGTAAGAACGGCAACCTTGTGCAGGGTCTTGAAGGCCAGGTGTAGGTTCCAGTCTGTCACCTGAGAGCAACAGGAAGATACTGAAGGGTTAAAGGTTTACCTGTGGAAGAGTATCAGTAAAACATAAATGGATAGATTCTAAGTGAGTCTACTTTAAGCTGGAGTTTGGAGTCGCAGGGTCCTGCGTGTGTACCACCATACTCTCTACACTTTTAAAACTAAAACAGAAAGTATTCTAAAACATAAAACAAAACTGGATTGTATTTTCAACTGTTCCTTCAACTCTGAAATACTATGATTATGCTAGAGTATGAGAAATTTTATTTTCCAAACAAATATAAAGATGTATTTCTGATGAAAAACATTTTCAACCTAAGCTAAAAGGAAATCTAATGAAAACTTTAAGGATCCTTTAAAATACTAATATTGTGTTTAAAGAGAAAATGATACTTGTCTTTAAAATGTTTTAAAACATTTAAAATATGCTACTGAATATAAGTGAAGAGTGGTAGATCCTAAAGTAGTATTTCTTAGAAGAGTAGAATAGGTTATTTCCAAAATCTTTTTCATGGAATTTTAGTGAAAGCTACCATAGGGATCATGTTGTCCAGCCTCTTTGTCCTTATAAAAACATCAATATCTTCATAAATCAAGAAAATGAGTCCCAAAATTGGACACATGAGCTACCCATTTTCTAAGATTTTGCTGAACGGAACTTTGATCATAGGGGTCTCTTTCTAAGGCAACGTATTAGAAACTCCCAGCATCACTGTATTCCTTATAAGAATCATATTTTTTACATTAATCTCCAGAATCAAACTACAAGACAATTAAGTTGTTGCTTTTACCAGGTTGAAACTTGCCTTGATTTACTATGAATGTTGGTTGCCTTGATTTCTTCTACTTTTTGTCTCAGTTCTACATGTTGTTGTTCTTCTGGTTTTGCTCCTTATGAGATTCGCTGGATCTCTGTATCTCTTCAACTGTGGTGAGTTTCATGGACAGGGTCAGAACTTAGGGAAATGTTGAGAATAGGGTGTGGTCCTATGATGGGTCCTCCTCTTCTTACACCTTCGACTGTTGTACCACTCTTTGATGTTACAAAGATGAATGACTTGTGGTCCTTGGCCCAGAGTTTCATATTCTGGATAAATTATTATTTATTTGTAGTGTACTTCTATATTTTTACATGCTGTCAGAATATTAGAAATACAGTGTTTCCTGTCAGAAATGCCAGCTGAGCAAAAGCCAGTAAGTCAGATACTAATGAATGGATTAGCAAATTATAGGGACTAATGAAATTAAATAAAGATTATTCAACTAAACTAGTGGCTCCTCCCAGTAGTTTAGAGCGTTGCTGACCACCTTCTTTTTGTCCACTCACATATTAGAATTAAAAATGTCAAAGTAAAATTAAAATAACATTCTCACCTACAAGAGGTAGGGAGAAGGAAAGTAATATTTATCTTTAATGTTATTTTCAGTTGTGCATTTATTATGTATATTTTTGCATAAAATAACTTGTAGTTTTTGTTTGGACAAGCCAATCAAATGAGTCTTTAAGATGAAGAAGGAGAGCGAACCCACAAGAGATGAGTTTCGTATGTCTTCTCAAAAAAAAAAAAAAATTTTTTTTTAGCTCACCAAAAAATGTTATGAAATGAGAATTTTGAAACCTTACCTGTGGAAATCACAGTGGTAATACTTATATTTCAGCCCTTAGATATTCCCAGTGGTGTTTTGATCTTAGATATTCCCCCAAAGGTGTTGATTAGATTCTGGCTACAGCTGAAGGAAGAGAATTTTTGCTTTTTAGCTGAATAGTAAAACAAGCCTCTAAAGATATGAGGCATGGGGGAAAAAAACTAAAGGCTTCTTCAAGGTGGTGTAAGGGCATAATTTTTGTCATCTTTATTTTAAGAGCTCTACCAGGCCAGACGCGGTGACTCACGCCTGTAATCCCAGCACTTTGGGAGGCCGAGGCGAGTGGATCACGAGGTCAGGATATTGAGACCACGGTGAAACCCCATCTCTACTAAAAATACAAAAAAAATTAGCCAGGCATGGTGGCGGGTGCCTGTAGTCCCAGCTACTCAGGAGGCTGAGGCAGGAAAATGGCGTGAACCCGGGAGGCGGAGGTTGCAGTGAGCCCAGATCGTGCCACTGCACTCCAGCCTGGGCGACAGAGCAAGACTCCGTCTCAAAAAACAAAAAAAAAGCTTTGCCAAAGGTTTCCCCTTAGTAAAGAATTTAATACTTGAAGTCATCAGATTAGATTTCAGACTTCATTTACCCGCTCTATGCATTTTTTTCGTCTTCCTGGGTTTGGTCTGCCTGTGCTTCTTAGTCTACAGGTGTCTTTTCTCTGTACTGCCAACCTCTAATTGGAGATTTATTAGGTGCTCTTAAGTAAGAGAGGAGGAAGGCCAAAGGAGACAGAAAATGGAGAAGCAAGAAGAAACTGATCAAGGCAGGAGAGGGAGGAACTGGAGAGGATGGAGATAAAAGATGTATAAATGAAGACAAATGGAAGAACAATGAGATAGAGAGGCCTGAATGGTAGAAAAATTCTAAAACTGAGCTAGTGAGAATGCATATAAAATAGGGGTCTGGTAGAAGAACTTCAGCAAAAGTGGTGTAAATCAATGATGAGTAAATTAATAGGGCAATTGTGCAAATGGGACTCACTCATTTATACTAAGCGTAATACATCATGAATGATTTAGAGATAATGCAACCCGTAGGGCATACCTTTTAATCTACCCAGGACCCGGTAGAGAATGCTGTCACTTCAAGAGTAAAAAGGCAGAGGATCAGAATATTGGGTGTGTCTCTTCATTCTAACAGTGTTAATGAGATAGATTCTGAGCAACATGAAAATTAACCAGACTCACAAGCTTAGTTTGTGATTTATAGATTGAAAAGAAGCTTAATATATTCCAAACATCTTCCTACAAACCCAAAATATTTAAGTGTTTTGAAAGTATTCATTTGAATAGGTTAACATGTGTGATTGCCATGGATGGAAATGAAAGTAAAATGAGTCACTGCACATATGATCCAAGGAACATCTGAGTGTTAAGTGGGTTGTAACTGCATAAGAATCCAGTGCTATTGGAAGATGCATCAGAGTATTCTGAGACCAGGGAATAAAATTCTCTTCCATGTGCTCCCTTCTCTTTCATTCGTGTGCCTATTCACTCACCATTCAATAGGTGTCTATCGACAGCCTTCTGTGTGGAAGGTACTGAGGAATGTCCTATGGGTTGCTGCTTCTACCTGAAACAGAAACATAAGATTTACATCCCTCAGGCCCTCTTACCAGTATTTTTATGGGAGGATATTGAGGAAGGGAAGGGAGAAAGTGAATATAAGAAGTGGAGAGAAGTCTTGGTTTATAGAGCTGTTAGGGTTCCAAGTCTGCTGTTCTTTCTTGATTCAGAAATGGAAGCTCACAAAGGTTGTGTCTGGACCAAAGACCCAAGATAGTTGGAGTGTTGAGGATTAGATGATTTTGGGCTTCCCTTCTAGTTCATTCTTAGAATTTATTCCCAGTTTTTGTGTTTATGAAAGTTAGAGATACAGTCTTCAACCATTAGGAGTTAGAGGTGAAAATAATAGTAATTGGATGTTACCAAGTATGTAAACACTTGTAGGGAAGGGAAATACATAAATAACTAAATTCTCTATTAAATTCTGATTCTGAAAACTTCAAAACAGACCTAATTTAGTAAGAGGGGCTGCATTTTTATATGTGATCCCACAGAATGCTTCTAGACTTCTGTCACTGATGGGGAAAAATCAAATTATTCAAAGTCTTGCACCATATAACAAAAAAGCTAAACTAAGACGAGATTTCAGGGAGTATAGAAACCAGCAATTTGTGAAAAATCTTGTGTATGAAGAGTCATGATGTAGAACATTCAAACAAATGGATCACAAGAGATTTCTCAAAGCATGTCTTAGAGGTGAGCAGGCAGGCATCAATTTTAAAATTCTCTGTTATAAATGATCATAAGCTTATGTTTTTCTGTGTAAAGGAGAAATAATTTCCCAATTTTATAAAACAAATTACCAATGATGTAAAAAAAACATTTAGCACAGTATTATATCAGAGGGCATTTAACATTCTTTTGAATCATTTGAGATTTTCATGTTTCCATTTCAGAGATCAGGGAAGATGTGCCTTGGAGAGGAAGCATGTCTTAAATCTGGAAATGATATGAAGAGGGATGTCAGCAACACTTCATCCTGGGCCAGTAATAGGGAGAGTTTCTTTTCTCTCGTCAAATTGCTTAAAGGATTCTAGTTCCGTTTGGTGTGGTCACTCACATTTGAATTCTAATACTCTATGTGATATAGATTCTGTTGACTACTGTTAGCGTGACCCCAATGAGAAATTAAACACTTCCCTCCTTTTCATTTGCAGTGTGTTTTAGTTTAACCTTCATTTGTTTCTCTTTTCTCCATTCCTCATCCCAATTCAGGTATCAGATCCTTTGACAATTGTTAACCTGCCCAGCTGGGATTTTTGGCATTAAGCTATGACTGTAACGTTTCTACTAATAAATTAGATTTTTTAAAAGAGTGCTGCTTGCCAAGAAGCAAAGTCATTACATAGTGTGTATATGTTCAATGTATGGCTATAAAAGTCTCCTTAGCCAAACATAATCGACAGTTAAAATAAATTTAAAATAACCGTGCTACCTCTAGATTTTAAAATTGTTAAGGTGAAGATAGGTGGTCTAATTTTACTCTATTTCCATTTTTCTTATTCACAGGGTATATTTGTTCTGTAAAACCACATATGTATCTTATAGTCTGCAGCTGATGTATTTATCTGCCTAAATACACATTTCTCCAATGGAATATTCTGTAATATCAAGCATTTCTTTTTTAGATGGAAATTAATTTTATAACAGTTGAACATCATCTTTGTCAATCAGCAGCTTTATCTACCATAAAGAACAAAAACGTACTTGGCGTGGCCTGCTTTAACTTTTGTAGTTCCTATGTTTAAACTGAACAGAGGAATATTATGTGAACAAATTGGAAAATTATATAAAGAAATAAAAATCTTTTTACTATTATAGTTATCTTTACCCCATAGCTTTCAAAAAGGCATTTGAAGCAATTTAATAAAATAGGAATAACAGTAAGTACTAGATGTGAGAGGTGAGAAAACAACTTTGTAAATCACCCATCTCACGAAGTTGCACAGAGGTTCCTGATAGCCCAGACAATGAAATAATGTGATAATTCCTATTTTCAGAAAAGATAACTAGCTCCTTATTTTGTTTTGGGTGTAGAATGGGGGAAGTGGTATATTTTTGCTAAGTTCTAAATTCTTAGGAAAATGTTCACATGGGTTTTGAGAGTCACTGTATAACTGACAATGTCCCCAGTTACAGATTTCCAGAAAATTCAGACATGGAATTCATGTTACTCATTTTAGTTCTAACCTTTGATGAAAGATTAGGGCATTAGATTGAAGCTTAAGTAAGCAAAGGCATTCTTCAGGTGATGTGGTTCATTCTAATCAGTAATTTTATGATGGTGTTCATATTCCATTCCAATGATCAAATGGACTAGTAAGCTTGAGAAATAAGACAAACTAGAGAGAGAGATTATTTTATAAATATGAAGGAGGCTAGTGAAATTTTGGTCCAGATGGAAAGCCACCCACTCTCCCAGGTCAGGACTGCATAGATGAAGTATAAGCAAAACCGTCATTCACACTTTGAAGGTGCTGCTTTAGAGAGATGTCATTATATGTGGTGTCAGATTTTTCACCCTGTTCAGTACTGGGCACTGATTTTTAAAACCACTTATCTATATTTTTTAAATGTCTTCTGACTCATTGGATTGATTTTGTGGACCTACTGGTAGTCTTTGGATATCCCCCAGTTAATCTTTGCTTCCATGATGAGCATTTATTGAATTCTATTCTTATGCCAGGCACTGTACTAGATTTTAGGAGTACAGTAGTCAGGTTTTCCTTGCCTTCATGGAGTCTCTGGTCAAATACTTTGGTTCTTATATAGCGGTTCATGTTCCGACACGTGGTTACCCACACAGGCTTTAGTTAACATCTGCATCACCTGCTGCACATTCTCATCTAAAATGCGTATGTGAAAGTACAGTTGTAGCCACTCAGTGTCACTCACCAGTGGGGCTTTAGGCCTGAGACTTTCCGATAGCCTCTAATTATGTAAAACCATGCCTGTATTCAGGAGTCAGAAGTGATCAAAATGTTTTAGGAAGCACACCGTCAGCATAGATGTGTCAACTCAGCAGCAAGATTTTTCATTCTTTTAAAGTTACACATTTCATAAAGAAGAAGGGTATCAGTGTAAACTTCTAAATGCAGGACAAAATGCATGATTGGGGATGGAGATTGGAGTGGACTTGTTCAAAGAGCAGCAGCAAATGAGACATTAAAGGAATACATAGGAAGCCACTTCCAAGTACTTCCATTTTTCTTTAGTTGTGATTGTGAGATGGTTCCCTACTAGTTAGAGAAGGAAAATTTTAAAATGCTTTGCTAAACAGATGATCCTTAAATTGGTCACTGTATACCGTGATGCAGCCTAATCAAAATGGTATTCCTTTGAGTGAGTGAGCCACAGAGACTCTCGCCAACCCCTTGTGCAGCTTTCTATTAACAGTATAAATACTCCATTGTTGTAAAGCAGTTTATGGTTAACAAAGCGCTGTCACAGACACGTTATCTTAGTTTTGCAGATTGCCTTTGTACATGTTATTCTCATTTCCTAGCATGCCCTCTATCCCTGCTTTGCCTGCTTAGCAAGCTCATTCTTATCCTTCAGGACATAACACCAACTCTGCAAAGTCCTCTTGAGACCCTTCTGAGCAGGTAGATGGTCCCTTCCCCGTACTTACACAAGCCCTGATCTCATCTCTGTTGTCATTTGTTCACATCACTGTTTCTCCCTGGAGACTGAGTCTCTCAAGGGTAAGGACACTGTGTGCTCTTCATTTTTCTTCCCAGTGCCTTTGTAACCAGTCTTCCTGGGGGATACTTTGTAAGTAAAGGTGAATACTGTATGGTGTGCAGCTTAGGAGAGCTTAAGCCACTTCCTAAGTTAAGATACTAAGTAGTAGATAAGAGTAAAACTTAAGTGTCTTAACTCCTGTTTTTATCGGTTTTTCTGGTTTATCAGTTTATTGCTCATCTGAAAACAAGCTGTCCACATCATACTCATGCTGTTCTACCTGTCAGAGATATATTACATGGTAAATGTGAGTGATAAAGGAGGATAAGTTCTTTGTCAGAATGAGGACATTTCGGTTCTGTCATCATGCCTGAAATGCATGATTTCACATGATTTCCATGTGAAATAAAACATTGGTATAAAAGGGATATGGACAAATTTGTGGATGTTAGAACCACACCTTTTTCTCTGAATTTATTTTCTTCTCACTCCTACTTGGCATATTCCCTGTCATTGTTTGAGAGTGTGCACCAATGTCCTCGTCTCAGGGACACCATTTCTTTCCCGCTATTAGAGTGTCTGGATGATGCCGTACCCTTAGTGCACTGTCCTGTTGAAAATTTGGTACATTAGTTATTTTAAGGTTTAAAAACATTGCTGCCTACATAATATTCCACCTCTTTGGAGCATTTGCATTGGAGTGACCAGTGGCTTGAAGCTCTGTATGGTGGAGTGACTGATGGTAGTTGAAGACTGCAAAAGTAGGTATCTGAGGGCTGGAAGGCATTCCTGGCACCCCTAAAACTACCCCACTGGGGGCCATCCAAGCCTGTGATTAACAAACCCTAGTTATTTGCTAGGTAGTTTCCACATGGCATAGTAGGATATATATATGTGAGGCACAATACAGTGTTTATGTGAGAATAATATAGATTATTTGAATCTAGGCTGCAGAACCTACCTGAAAATGGGTTTTACAGTTTTGTGTAATTGCCTTTTCTTTGTGTTTGCATAGAAGGCATTGCATAGCTGGAAGATGATGGCAATTATAATTTATTATGCTGTAATTGTTACCTAAATGTTTTTGAATAAGCAAAAATCACATCTGTTTAGGAATAAGTTGCACAGCAAGAGAATTCCCTTTGAAATGAATACCGTGTTCTCATATTCTGTAACTGTACACATAAAACAACATATTTATTTCCCCACTGAGTCCATTACATTCCCAAGTCAAACTGCATCCTCTCTTCCTTTCCCATATTAAACCCTTTGATTTAATGGAGGTTTTAACTACTGGTTCTTTAGGGAATTTTCAGTAGGCTTTGCACAGATTAGGTTATTGGAAAGTATAGTTATTTGCTTGTAAAGTGGCAGTTCTGTGTCAAAATTGCTTTTCTCTGGAGCTGCAACAGTAAAAACGATAAGCTTCTGCTTTGCATCCAAAATGCCCTGATGTTCCTAGCATGATCGTTTTTCCTTTGCTTCTTGCTCAGCACCATTCGGTCACAGGCTGGTTTGGACAGGCGAATATGAGCACATGTAGCCCAGAGGACTTTGATATCCAGTGGTGATAATAGACAAGGCCTGTCTTCCATTCTGGTTGCCACTGGTCTGTGACAACCAGTGTTCCGGGCATGGTGAGCATAGTGCTGCTTCCCTTCTCCGTTAAATAGGAAATGCATAAGCCTGGAGTCGTTTTGTTTGTTCCACAGAAACGTAGCAGTTGAAATAATTGCCTTGCCATGCCCAGGCTAACAGGATTTATCTTCCATTATAGATCATGAAGACATAGGCAAGAATAGTTTACTCCTCTAAATTTACTAGGCTACTCACTTCGAAATGATTTCACTGTGTAAAAGAGAACAGTCCTAGCTGTGGCTTAGCCTAGAAAGGCTTTGATACCTAGAAAGATGAAGGGCAGAAGTGTATTCTCTATTTTTCTGCTCCCAGCTCATAAAATAGAATTGGAGTTTATGTAAATAGCAGATAGCCTGATTTTATTTTTTATGCCCCAGTTGCAAGTTAGTGTCTCCTTAAGATGGGTCTTAATCACTGACGTTGTGTGCTTCCATTCAGCACCTATCTGTCTATTAAGTGGCATTCTAGTGGCCTCCAAGAGTTGAGTACTTTATTCTGATCAGAGTCAGCCTGGGTGACCAAGATGGGCTGTATCAATCTGTTACACCTCAGACCCACTGGAGGCCACAATCTTTGAGTGTCTTTTGGAAGATACTGTCCTATGTTGTTCTAGAATGCTGACTCCTACTGCTTAAACCTCCGTTCTCTCTCTGTTTTTATCTTAGGCCAGATGTCCTTTATAAATTTTGATTTTTTGTTTTTTGGGTTTTGTTTTTGGAGTTTGGATCTCTTAGTTTTCATCCTGAATACTGTTCCACACTGCATATTTAATCAGTTAAATCTTGGTCTCCTGGCTTTGACCATCAAATGTTACTCTATTGCCTCAACTCTATTGAGTTACTCCAACTCAACTGCTCCCACCTCAGGGTCTTTCACTACCCATTCATAGGCAGTAGCCCCTTGTTTCTCTTCTTCGTGAAACCTGAGTTTTCCTTATTGTACTTATCTCAGGCATTAATGGATCTGTGAAGAAGTATGACGTTAAGCTTAAAGGATCAAAAACTGGGCTTCCCTATGTATGTTTCAAGTTTCATTTGTGTGACCAAGAGAGTTCATAGTATAGATTTGAAGAGTTCAATCAAGAAGCTAAGATATTAACTCATCTTAGTAATAGCCTTTTGTCTACTTCATCCATCTGCCCATCTGTCTGTCAATCTGTATACATTATTGATAACTTCCAATGTTGTAAACACTGGGAATACCAAAAAAAAAAGAATGAGCCATGCACCTTTCCTTCGTAATGACTACATTAAAGCCCCAAGACATGAAGCTACTTGCTGAGCCTTGCAGCTGACCTGTGGCATAGTGGAGACTAGAACCCATTTCTAGAGGGATCTTCCTCATACTTCCCAAGGTCAGTTCTCTTTAGGCCTTTGGTATTCCTGTCTTAGTTGTTGTAAGAGTAGATTTCGACTCATCAAACATTTGTGATTTGGAAGTATCGCATAGTTGAAGAATTGAAGAAAGCTGATGGGAACAAAGTCATTTTCAAGTTTACTTGAGCACATAGATATCATGTTGACTACTTTGCTGAATATTCAGAATCATTTATATTTAGTATAGTAAAAGTGAAAAGTATCTGTTTTTAAAATTTGGAAAACACACGAAATACAATGAAGAAAACTAAAGTAACAACCATTTTACTACTCTTTTTATGTATTTCCTTTGAGTAGATATCAAATATATCAGCATTTTCAGCATATACGTACAGTTTTGTGTCCTGCCTTTTTCCCTTCAACTATATAATCAGCATCTTCCCACATCGTGAGATGTGAATTTTTTGAAAACATGATAATTAATGCAATATGTTATTTCAAAGTAAAAACTTTTTATTTAACTATTATTGTGTGTGTAACTTTATTTTCTGTGTTTAGGTTGTTTCTGATTTTTCACCCTTATCAACCATGCTGAGGCATGAACTTCCTATTAATAAATCATTGTGTACATCTGTCAGTATTTCCTTAGGATAAATTTCTTTTAGTTCTATTACTGCATCTGAGGAAATTAACATATCAAAGCTATTGATATGTATTTCCCTGGGTATACATTTTTTTTTTTTTTTTTTTGAGACAGTGTCTTGCTCTGTCACCCAGGCTGGAGTTCAGTGGTGTTATCACAGCTCGCTGCAGCCTGGACTGCTTGGGCTCAAGTGATTCTCCCACCTTAGCCTCCTGAGTAGCTGGGACCACAGGTGTGCACCATAATGCCTGACTTTTTTTTTTTTTTTTTTTCAATTTATAGAGACAAGGTCTCACTATGTTGCCCAGGCTGGTTTCGAACTTTTGGACTCAAGCCATCCTCCCACCTTGACCTCCCAAACTTCTGGGATTACAGATGTAAGCTGCTATGCTAGGCCTCCCAGGGTATACTTTTAACCCTGCCTTACACCACCCAGAATTCAAAGCATGGAATCCTTGACCCAGTAGCCAGAGTATTTCTTATCTTAAGTTTAGGAAAGACTACTCTGTGGTCAAATGTAGTCACAGAATTTCTTTCCAACAAAGCTGTCTACGTAGTTAACTGAGAACCGTCTCCAAAGGGTTGTTCCTCTTGAGGGAGGTTTCAGAGAAGAGATGGCATTGATGTAAGTCTTGAAGAAGTTAGAGCTCAAAATATTGTGAAGAGGAAGATAATTTTTTTTTTTTTTTTTTTATCGAGACAGAGTCTCGCTCTGTCACCCAGACTGGAGTGCAGTGACGCATCTCGGCCCACTGCAAGCTCTGCCTCCCGGGTTCACGCCATTCTCCTGCCCCAGCCTCCCAAGTAGCTGGGACTACAGGCGCCTGCCACCACACCCGGGTAATTTTTTTTTTTATATTTGTAGTAGAGATGGGGTTTCACCGTGTTAGCCAGGATAGTCTCGATCTCCTGACCTCGTGATCCTCCCGCCTCAGCCTCCCAAAGTGTTGGGATTACAGGCGTGAGCCACCACACCTGAACGATGAATTTTTCTACCAGGACAAACAGGATGTTCAGAAGGAAGACATTGTTAGAACTGTACATAATCTTAGACATCATCTATCCCAGTGGTTTATCAAATATTTTCACAGACAAAACATTTTTTCAAGCCAAATCTTGTCTAGAGTACTACAAACTGATTGAAGTGAAATGTCTCCAGTTAAATCACAGTGGATGGGAGAGCTCGGAATTGAGGGTAGAACCTCCTTTGCTCAGCTTTCTTAGAGCTTCCTATGCACCTGAAAAACCCAAAGCCTCTTTTTTTGGTTTTTTTTGGGTTTTTTTTGTTTTGTTTTTTGAGACGGAATCTCACTTTTTTGCTGAGGCTGGAGTGCAGTGGCACTGTGTCAGCTCACTGCAACCTCTGTCTCCTGGATTCAAGCAATTCTTCTGCCTCAGCCTCCCGAGTAGCTGGGATTACAGGCGGCCACCACCACGCCCAGCTAGTTTTTATATTTTTAGTAGAGATGGGGTTTCACCATGTTGGCCAGACTGGTCTCGAACTCCTGACCTTAGGTGATCCACCCACCTCAGCCCCGCAAAGTGCTGGGATTCCAGGTGTAAGCCACTGCACCTGGCCCAAAGTCTCTTTAAAAAACAAATTTTAAGTCACTCCAGTTTGAAGTTTAGGACACAGAGACAAACTGTGACTTTCCTCAAGGTCAGTCAGAAGTGATTCTGAAACCACCTTTCAGTACTTTAACCCTGTCCAAAAGCAGCCATTTTAGTGCTTTTATCACTAGATGTTCCCATGCAGGTTGAGAGAGATTATTTCTGTTCTGTTAGGTTATGCATTGTTGCAGTGTCCCAAGAGATAAAGTCCCAAGATATTAATGTAAGTATTAGCTTCTGTAAGATGTTACCCCAATCCATATTAACCATGTCTGGCTGAGGCATGAAGGATCTATTAAATTATATCCAGGTTCCTATTAAATCACTACACTGGCAGTAATACCTGGGCTCACCTTCTCCTTAACCCAAATTAACACATGCTGTTAGTGGTCTCAAGTCTAAGGCAAGTTCCTGAGATGAACAAGTGACTGGGAAAACAGGAGAGGAGAAAATTAAAATAAATGATAGGCTGACCTTCTCACACCACTTGTGGTTTCTCAATTAACCAAAAGCCAGACAGCTCCACGTTGCTGTTCTCTCAGTAATAGGTTTCACCCTCCCATTTAATGCCAGCCCACACGGGTGCACACACAGACACACACTTTGCTAATCAGATTGGCAGCAAATAGAATTAAACCATTAAGGCAATTAAGCAATTCTTAGATAACATTTGATCAGTTCAATGAAAATGCAAATTCATTCTTCTTTTGGAGAAATAAGTTGATGGAAAGTCATTTCGTGTTCTATAATCATAATTAACTCTTTTCCAAATAAAGATTGCAATGTTTTGGGCTTGGAGCTACACAGATGGAAATGATTTTTTTCATTTTTTGCTTCACTCTGTTCATCCTTTTGTAATGCACCATGTTTTTCTGCCTCCAGACTCTTTGGGACATTTAGGTCATCTTACCTACAATCTCTTCCTTGTGCCTCAAGGCAAACTCTGTTATTTACTCTCACACATGATGACTCATGCATTAAACACCTCCTTAGACCCTGAGTTCGGAATAGATCCTACAGCATTCTGGAATGATTTTGGTCGGATATTCATGTGTTGTAGATGCACTACTTGGCTGCTTCTCATTTCTCTCTATTCCCCACACTTACGGTTTCTCCTCTCTCACAAGCTGGTGGGGAAGAGAATGTTGCACCCAAAAATAGGTGCTTGAAAATGAGCGTGTGGTGTCTGCATTTTCATTTCTAGATTGGTATCATTGAAGCCTACGTTCCATTCTGCCACCACAGCCTGAACTTTCAGCAAGAAAATGATGAGCACCTTGCAGCCCGTGCTTCCCTCACCTGCCAAGGTGCCTTTGTGCTCTAGCTCAGGGTTTCCAAACCTGGTACATCATCAGCTGGGGACATTTGGAAATATTTATAGTCCACAGGGTTTTAATCCAGACCTATAGAATCGGTATGTCCCAGGTTTGGCTTAGGGATTTTCTTTTGCTTTTGTTTTTTTCCTTTAAAAAAAAAAAAATCTTTCTGTTTGATAATAGGGATCAGCCAGTCTTAAGTCTAGATGCCATTTTTTTTCTACATTGGAGACCATAACATGTAGTCTGATGCATGATCTGTCAATGACACAGAAATCACTTGGATCCAAAGAATTTTATGATAGCCTTGCTTATAAAGAAAAATAACACCTTATGTGGCAGGTCATTTTATAGATACACACATATGAATAGTCCACTGCATCATGCGTGTGTATATGTGTATATCAAGTGTCTTTAGAGGTAGGTAAAACATAAGAGGCAGCTGTTATCACCTAGGGCAGGGGTGTCCAATCTTTTGGCTTCCTTGGGCTACATTGGAAGAAGAATTGTCTTAGGCCACGCATAAAATACAGTAACACTAACGATAGCTGATGAGCTAGAAAAATAATAATAATAATGGCAGAAACATCTCAAAATGTTTTAACAAAGTTTACAAATTTGTTGGGCCACATTCAGAGCTGTCCTGAGCCACGTGCGGGCTGCGGGTTCCACAAGCTTGGCCTAGCTAGATATTATATTTAATGTATCTCCTTTTCAGTCTTAATAAAGTATTGCAGCCAACTCCCATCCAGCAGGACACATGGACTTAGTGTGCCTACCTGCAGGTTTTTGAGCATGAATGTAAATATTAATAGAAAAATTGTGAATGCTTCTCAGGAATGTCACCAGTGATTTTTTTCCCCCAAAGAAACCTTTAGTTTTGCTAATCCCTTTACTAGTACATGTTTGTAGAACACATCTTTTTGAGAATTTTTTGGGGATACTGATCAGCTACTATTAAAGCCATCAAGCCAGCGGTGCCACCAGTGTCACAAGGAAGAACGATGTTTTGGGAAGGGATTGAGCTCAGCATTCCAGGAAATATTTTTTACCTATTCATTACTGCATGCATAGGCTTACATTTTCTCAATTTAAAAATACTTCTAAAGGGTGGGCTTTTGGGATGTAGACACATAATGTTCTCAGCAATACTGTAAAGCCTCATTAATTTGCTAAACAAATAAGTGAGATGGTAAAGGATATTGCATAGATTGTAAGGGCACATTTAATCATCTGAGGTTTAACTGGCTCTAAAGGCAACACCTTTTCAAGCTCTTAAGAGTCTATATTTACATGGATAGTAGGTCTTCTTCCTTCATTAAACTTGCCCTCTAAGACCTTTTAGCTGTTAGTTAGAATTACATTTTGAACTTCAGGATAATTCTATATTTCTTTCTTAAAATAAATTCTTTATATGAGCATTTAGACCATAATTCAAACTGAGGTTTCCTATAAGTTCTGTGTTATATTTTATTTGCGTGCATAGTGATATTCATACCACATCTGTTAAAGTATGAAGGGAGGAAAATGTCAGCAAGTGTATTGTGTCTCTGCTCACAATAATTTTCCAATGAAAGTTCACTTAAATGAGGGATTCATATATATTAAGGACTGTTGTTGGTGATTAGTACATAAAAATGTGGGTTTTTCTCATAAGTGGTTTTAAAACTTCAGACTGAGTACCTCTTTTGTTTAATTTTTGCACTTCTTGGAGGCATAAGGTATTTTAGTATGTGTGGATCTTTTTTATTGAGTTTGCATAGTTTAGGAGTTTTTTGGCTTAAAATAAAATAGGGAAAAAAAGCTCTCTTAAAATAGTATCCTTTCTTGAACCCATAAAGTAGGGCTTTGAAGACGTGCAACATTTGTGAGGTTCTAAAGAGGGGATTTTGTGGTGTTCTTTCCAGTGCTTCCTTCCTTCCGTCCTCACCACCCTGCTGTAATCTGATAACAAATAACTTTCCAGTCAGTCAATTTAAATTATATGTAGGCTGCAATTTTTTAAAATTTCATAATGGATGCTATTTAAACACAAACATACATTTAAAAAAAATGCCATACTAAAGTCCAAAAGGAATGGTGACAGACATTTTATTTATTTAGAGACAAGTTCTCGCCCTGTCACCCAGGATACAGTGGTGTGATCTTGGCTCACTGCAACTTCTGCCTCCCAGGCTCAAGCAATCCTCCCACCTCAGCCTCCCAAGTAGCTGGGACCACAAGTGTGCACCACGATGCCTGTGTTTTGTTTTTTGTGGTTTTTTTTTTTGGTATTTTTTGTAGAGGCGCATTCTCGCCATATTGCCCAGGCTTATCTGGAACTCCTGAGCTCAAGCTGTCTGCCCACCGCACCCAGCTGACATTTTAAATATTTATTTATAGAGCTTCATTATTTGTACAGTGCCCTTAAAGCCAAAGGCATTGATTAGGCTTATAGAAATTGCAATTAGGCCATGCACAGTGGCTCATGCTTGTAATCCCAGCACTTTGGGAGGCCAACGTGGGAGGATCGCTTGAGCTGAGGAGTTCGAGACTAGCCTGGGCAACATAGCAAGACCTTGTCTCTAGTAAAAATTCAGTTTAAAAAAGTGGGCATGGTGGTGCAGGCTGGTATTCCCAGGAGGCTAGGGTGAGAGGATTGCTTAAGCTGGGGAGATTGAGGCTGCAGTGAGCTATGATTGTGCCACTGCACTTCTGCCTAGGTGACAGCAAGACCTTGTCTCAAAAAAAAAACAATGTAGTGAGTCATAGTTATACTAAATGGGCTTGAATACTATAACTAGTTTTAGTGTTATAGTCATTAAAAAACACCATAATTCCAAATGGATATACCAATTACTGCTTGCTTATCTTATGCATCCTTTTCCTCTCCTCTCTATCCCCCAAAACCACTCTTGAAATCTTCCTGTCCTTTTGCTCTTATCCTACCTGGCCATCTATCCACCATTTATCTAGTATAATTTCCATAATAAAACCACCAGCTTGCATTAGTGTGTTGGTTACTTCAAAGGTGGCTAAATTAGAGACTTTGGTTAAGGACACCAAATTCTTACCAATTTGATGGTCTTGAGGGGCAGGCTGTCTGGCTCATCTCTTTTCTATCTGCTGCCCACCTTTTACTGCCTGCCCCACTAAGCACTTCTCATCATGTCCGAGGAGAGAGTAAGTGGGTGCGTGCATGCGTGCTGCAAGTATCTGCATGGCATTCTTTTTCCTGAAAGATCTTCTTTTTTTTTTTTTTTTTGGCCATCATTTCCATTCTGTCCTAATATATCCTTTCTCTTTAAAAACCAGCATCTAGCCAAGGCATTGATGAAAAGTTTTCTTTGAGCTCCCTTGTGGCTGTGCAGAAGAGTTTATTCCTGAGGTTGCTCTCATTTAGGGTTGGAATCTTTGAAGATAAAATACTTCTTCCTACCTCTCACTTGAGATCAAGGAAACCTACATAAGACTCCCAGAGCAAAAGGACCCTGTAACACTTGTGCCTTGGCATTGCCATATGCTCTGTTGCGCAGGAATGGGGAGGAACGGCCATCCACATGCCACCCCCACTTCCACTCGGAAATAATAGGGGGTGACAAATGGCTGCTGCATTCTATTCTGTTTTACCAGGCTGTTTCTTTCCTGCCCTCAAGAGGTTTCTGACTTTCTGACAGCAGGGAGCTGAGGTTGATCTAGCAACTGGGAGGATTGCACCTGGATTTGCAGAAATACACATGCACATGTGTGCACGCACACACACACGCGCGCGCGCGCACATACACACACACACACACACACACACACACACACACAGTGCTGCTGCAACTCCCAGAGTATCACATAATCACTCTTCTGGCTTTAGTGGTTTTCCTTTGGCCACACTCTGCTCTTGTTTGGCTTGCTAGCACAGTAATCAGAGGAAAGACAGAGACTCTTTGCACTCTAATCCCCTTGTGGGTTACAGTAGTTTCAGATAGAAGACACTCCAGAGGGTGCTATACAATTTGGAGGTTTATAAAGGCCATCTTCTGGCCCCCATTTCCCTTTAAGAAATGAGCCCCTCAATCTGCATTATACATGTTCCCTTACTGCTAGAAGGGTTTTACTGGTGCCCTGACACTCTTCTCTTCCTCACCCCTCCCAGAGCAAGAACTACAAAAACATAGTTTTTTTCTCATTTTCTTTTAGATGTATCTGCTGCCATTTATTTTCTCTCTGGTGATTGTGTGATATAGGAAGGGGAAGCATCAATGGCTTCTTTATATCCTAACCACATTCCTTGACTGGGCCCTGTTTCACATCTCTGACTCCTCTAGAGATTACTCAGCCAACATGCTGCCCCTCCTCAGCGCATCACCTTCTTGGGTCTCAGGGCTTGGCATTTTCATTCAGCCTTGCAGTTCCATGCTCATCACCAACACTGCAGACATCTGCTGCCACTTTCCTGCCTAAAGCAAGGGAATTCCTGTGATTCACACCGTGAGCAGAAGCAGGGGTCCTCTTCTACTCAGCATTATCCCAGTTTGTCTCACTCCTTTAGCCAATATCATGAAACTCTGAAACTTTATAGCAGGATGAAAACTTAAGCCTGTAGTCTAAAGACCCAGAATTATGAGTGAGGAAACTGAGGCCAGGAGAGCCATGAATGATAGTGTTTACTTGATTGCTGTTTCAGATTTCACCAGCTTTTATTGATACTTCAGCATTTTACTTAGTCGATATATCTCTTCGTGTGACTCAAAGTATCCCAGTGGAGCACAGTTAACTGCCCTGGATCCGAATTGCCACTGGAGGCCGTGGCAGTGTCGGCATCAATAGGGATCACCCATGACCTTTTATTTGGGATGTAGTAGGGGGTCTGAAGTTGGGAAAGTCTGAGGTGGTACTCAGTTCTGGGTTGAATGTCTTGTGAAAATCCTGTGAATACATCTTGCGGAGAAACACAGAGGGGAAAACTTCCTGTTGTGAGAGCAGGGCTGGTTCCCTTTTAAAAAGGTATAGGATGAATATTCCATATTTGAAATACTTGAGACCAGAAGTGTTTTGGATTTTTAACTTTTTTTTTTTTTTTTTTTTTTGGAAATGCTCTGGTGAACATTTCCTTAGAGTGTCATGTGACACTCAAATAGTTTCAGATTTTGGAGCATTTCGGATTTGGGATGCTCAACCTATAATACCCAAAGGCTCTATTTCAGTAGAATTTATTGGTTTGCTGATTATAGCAGTGACATAGTTGCATTCTAGAGACCTTAGAAAATGCAGAAAATTTCAAGAAAAACATTTAAATTGTGCTCATAGTGAAACTGAGAGGTGACCACTCTTAATATTTTGTGGCATAAGCATTCCAGTCTTTTATCTTTCTCAAAGTTTCACATAAACTTTCTCAAAGGCCATTAAATACTTTTCCATAGCCTGATTTTTTGTGACCACATAGTATCCTATTATATTGATAATACCATAATTTACCTAACCCATTTTTATATATTTGGATTTTTTCCAATTCATCATTATTATGAATAATGGTGTATCTCAGTGGTTATTACTTTGCACTGCATTTCTTATGAAAGTATTGAGTAAAAGGAAGTAAAGCCCTCTCAGAGTGTTTTGTAGGCTGTCACATTTCACTCCATAATGTCCTAGTGTTTGTTGCCACCAGTGATATATGAAGGTACCCACTGAAATGTCACACCTTTTTGGTTTTCCTTTTTAAAATAAAAAATAAAAAAGACATTTAACCATATAATATTGTTCTTATATATGATTTATTATAATGTAGATTCACATCTTTGAGTTCATAAAAATATTGAATTTGGATTCTCTCCAATTTCCCTTTTAGTAGAAAGGCTAAAGTTCGGTAAGAAATTCTACTTGGAATTTTATTGAATTGAGAAACATACTTGGATTTCTGTAACTCATGACAAGTAACAAATAAACAATTAGCCAATTAATTAAAATATCTGTTAAAACCTTGAGTAATGCAGAGATTTAGTTAGGCAGTGTAGTTTAAAAAAATCAAACAAACCAGACCTATGCTGATCTCCTTGGAGATGACCATCAACAGGAAAGATAGACTTTAAACAGTGTATGTTGACATAGAGCAAGTTTCTAATTTTCCATCATTTCAAGGTGCTGGAAATTATATGGACATAAATGCCTTTATAATATGTGTACATCTGGTGAGTATAAATTCTCAGATTTGAGGACATTTCCAATAAAAGACTCACATACAAAGTATAAAACCAGTAAGCAATGGAATGCTAATCAAGTAATGAAGGATTCAGGAAAGAAAATAAAATTATGCCAAACCATGTAGGCCAAGAAATGCAAGTGGGAAAAAAAAAAACTTAAGCTGATGTCAAAGTCAAAATAAAATGTAGAGACAAATCTCTAAATTTAATGTTTTATTTGGGAATCATAGAATCACATTTGGGGCATGCAAACAGACTGGGTGGTCTTCAGCATGTCCAAAGAACAAAGGAAAGATTGGGGGTTTTATTAGAAAGGGAAATGTTACTTACAGTTTTGAAAGAAAGCTCATTGACCCTAGAGAAGCTTGTGGGAGCTGCCCGGGTCTGATTGGTGAGTGATGGTAGTAGATAAAACTAGTCTTAAAGTCATAGCAGGTTGTTTCAGCAGCTGCTAAGTAAAACTGGTCTTATGGTTACAGCAGGCTGTTTCAACAGCTGGGCTTGGAGAAAACTCAATTCTTGGAGCATGTGCTGTGTCTTGAGTACTTTTTCCCGCTGCTCTGTCAACTCTTCTTTAGTTGGGCATGACAAGAATGATGCAATTTGCATAATCAACTTTCACACTGAGTTTCCTGTAGCCTATACAAAACATAAATATTAGTGTTTTTTTACCTTTTTACAGTTTTTATTGTATTGTCTATTGAAGTGAAACATTAAAGTTATCAGAATAGAGAAACATTTGCCTATCACTACACATTGAGAAGATACTGTAAAGAGACTTGAACAAACACTGGGCAGTATGATGCGTAGAACTTTCAGTCTAGTTTTTACAAGAAAAAGAAAAGAACTGTGCTAACCATTTTGTTCATCAATATAAACTCAAGTAATGAGGTTAAATTGTAGTTCTTTGCAGAGTGCCTGGCCACCAGGTCCGTAATCGCTGGAGGTTTGATTAGATATTGAGAAAGAAATCTGCAAACCTTGGCAAAATTTGCTGCATAATTCCAAGACTGCTGGTTCTTAAATTTATCTCCATCAAAACACAGATGTCCTGTGAGCTGGACTAAGCCATCTCACTATCTATAATCAAATTATTGCTTTCTTTTTTTTCCCACTGAAAGATCGAAAAAGAAAAAATGGGTAAAAATTCTTAGATAACTGTTTTTGTAATGTGTATTTTTGTTGAACCTTGCCTCATTGTATAATCAAGTAACAAATATGAATAGAAAATACTATTGACTATGGATGGTACTTAGCTCAACAGCTTATTTTGAAGAGGAAACCATCATGTTTTTAAATATGAAACATAATCATGTACTTTACGAATAAAATTCTTCCTATTTCTTACAACAAAATTGAACATTTCAGGATTTAATGGTGTTCCATAGCCACTAGCACGCAGTAGCTCATAATTTCAAGGTGTTTGACCACATCGGTCAGTTTGAAAATCATACCTGACCATCACTATTGAACACCTGAAGTGCAAGCATCCATGATGGAGACTGGAGCTGTCCATTGGCTACTGCCTTTCAGACTAGGGGTGGCAAACCTGACCCTTTGTTATAAAAATGAAAGCCCTCAAACGTGTTCTTGTCCTCACGAAGATTTTTGTCTCTACTGAAATGCCTGTAGGCCATTTTTGGAAATTATAGCTAGTGTGCTCACTAAAGTTTTTCTTATGTGCCAGACACATGCTCTAGCTTTACATACAATAGCTGTAAACCTCACACAACCTTGTAAGGTAGAGAGCATTATTATCTGTATTTTATTGGTAGGGAAACTGAGAGGCTAAGTGCCTTGGCCAAGATCACCAAGTTATGAAATCACACGAAAGGAGAGCCTAGATCCCTCTACCAGCACTCCTTCCTCTATATGCACTGCCTTGCAGTAATCAAGACTTCACTAAAAGCAATTTCAGATCTCTGCAAATGTTTGAACAAGAGCTCTGTTGAAATGCCATAAAATATAGGATATAACCTTAGCTTTGAAACATTTTGAGGGGAGTTACCAACTTAAAAAAAAAAATGTTTACCTTTGAGCATAACCACATCCGAAAGAGTCACAGAGCTAGTCACAGAATGTACCCCTCGATAAGTAAACAACATAACCTGTTGAATAAGTAAGTAGTTTAGTCTTCTCTGCCTGCATGTTGCTAAAAATAACTTTTGCTTTGGTATAGAAGTTTTGAAAGTTGTGTAGTTCAATGAATATTTGTTGACAGTGATTGAAACTTACATTGTTTCTCTCATGCTAATCTTGCCAAGCTTTGGTGGTCTTCAAGTATTTGAAACAAGAAAGGGCCAGGCCAGAGCCCTCGTTTTCAGATATGGGACAACAACCAGGCTTTCTCCATTTGAAGGAAGAGGAAAGAGATAAGGGAATTGTTGCAGTGAATCCTGTGGGCCCCAGGAGTTATAACAATTGTTTTCTAGGACATACCCATTTCACTCTTCTTAATTTTCTGCCATCAGCATTTCTGGGGATGTACTAGGAAAATGGAAGGAACATACCCAGCTTCCAGGGTTTCAGTAGTAAAGTATAGACTAGTTTAAGAGCAAATTGATTAGATCACTTCTACTCCTATGATGTCCATTTCTCATATAAAGATAAGCTGAGAAAGGTTTATTTTAAAATTAAAGCTAGTTGTTTAAAAGTGCGGCTGAAGTTAACTCATGGATTGCCCTAAAGTATTGAGCTGTGATTATAAAAAAATGTTTACCAAATATTGTCACTATGGCTCTTATGTAGTGAAGAGAAGAATTTAGCCTTAAATTAGTTAAAATGTGCAAACCGTTTAGAACAGTGCTTAACATATAGTAAGTGCTCCATAGGTATTACCTATGCTTTAGAACAGTAGTTCTCAACTGGTGTACCACACGGCACAAGTATATCTTTATCCTTTCTCAGACATGTGCCGAAACATCTATACACATATTAATTTTTTTTTGTATAGCCAAATATGTAGGTGAAGTGCACACTGATGTTTCACTTGGCTGAATAAAATAAGAGGTGAGAGACACAGTGTAATGTCAAGTCTTTGCTTACCAGAGTGAAATGGGGCATCGCCTTTCGGGTCTATAGGGGTGCACTGAGCAGTCCCGTTAAAAAGGCACATGTTCAAAAAGACTAACCAGGTGAGCAGCATGTTAATTACCACTGCTTTTAAGAACACTGGAAAGGCAAGTGGTTGTATGGTAGTAGCAATTACATTGTAATTACTGTGACTTAGTTAGAAGTTTTTGAACCCCTTTTGTATTTCAAATTGCCCTGTACATACAAAGTGGGTCAGAACCATCAGTTAAGAATTAGTGGGGTCAGTTCCTGTCTGTAGCTATTAAAGTGATTTATTTATTGTCTTATAACATTATACTATATTAATTTACACATAGCCTTGGAAAAACTCTTTCTCAGACTTCTAGGCCAGAGTCTAAATACATTTATGAAACTTCTCAGGACCAGGTTTTGATAGTGCGGAGATCAGGGAGAGCCTAAAATCATAAGACTTCTCTAATAGAGTTAGGTCATTAAAGAATATGAATATATGAAGAGTAGGGCATTAGAGACAACATTCTATACCTAACATTTTGGTCCAAATCCTATAAAGGTTTCTCACATAGAAAGCTGCCTTTTTGCATGTACTACAGCTTGTGTCTCTAATATCCTTTCTGTACCAATACACACCACATATCTGATTATTGTTCAAATACTCCTCTTAACTTACCAATGAAAGCTTCAGATCACTTAAAGAGATTGCAGATACTATAGTGAACATAGTAGAAAATCATTATTCTATTGTATAGTAAAACCCATGAGTTACATCTAAAATGTTACTACTGTTTTTATGTAGTCTTTAAAAAAAGAGATTATGAAGGTTTACAATTATAGTAAAACTTATTAAGTAGATGCATCAATAGGAAAAGAAACCATTATCCTTTCAACCCAGTCCTATTTCATAAATAGCACATCAGCGCTTCAGTGATTAAGAAACATGGCTCATCTTTGCAGCATGTTGCTTTTATTACTTTTTGCCCACGGACCTAAGAGGGGAGAGGTAAAGTGATAGAGGAAAAAGCTCCAAGGCAAATCAAGTTCACATATTTTTATTTAAGGATTCTAGGAACTCGAAGACTGAATCAAACTTGTTACTTAGTTTTTCACTGGAATAATGGCTCTATTTCTATAGTAGAGTGAGTAGAAGGTTAATGGTATCTGCCATTGATGGTTTACTAACTGGTTAAATAACTGATTGAAATGTGGTAAAGGGAGATGAAAACAAACTAAATCTTTTTTTTTTTTTTTGGCCCAGATTTTCACGTTTAGATGCCATGAAGCTTTTGATTGTGGGTCTAAAGACAAACTGTGACAGTGATTGGAGGCTTCTTTTAGGGGTCGGGAGATATATGGAAGGACAAGGAGGACAGAGGAATTCAATCTCCTATGCAGTCTCTGCACCTGTTCACTAAGAAATAAGTCAGCTGAGGCCGGACGCGGTGGCTCACGCCTGTAATCCCAGCACTTTGGGAGGCCAAGGTGGGCGGATCATGAGGTCAGGAAATCGCGACCATCCTGGCTAACATGGTGAAACCCCGTCTCTACTAAAAAAATACAAAAAAATTAGCTGGGCGTGGTGGTGGGCGCCTGTAGTCCCAGCTACTTGGGAGGCTGAGGCAGGAGAATGGCGTGAACCCAGGAGGCGGAGCTTGCAGTGAGCAGAGGTCGAGCCACTGCACTCCAGCCTGGGCGACTGAGCGAGACTCTGTCTTAAAAAAAAAAAAAAGAAAGAAGTCAGCTCAGTCCAGGCAGTAGACTTTGGGGTGGGCCTTGATGGACCATAAGACCTTTGCTGCCCTGTGACTTCTCCCTTAGTTCTCAGTCTGTTCAGAAAACAATTTGCAACAACATCAGAGAGAAATAGAATGCAAAACACAGCTCCCTTTTGATGAATTGGCTCCTGGCTCGGCCTGCAAAAGATAACATGGTTTTTCCCTTAGAATACTTGTCATGCCAAAATGATGGTATCGTCCTACTGGGGTTTTTAAATGTTAATACAAGTAAAATAAGATGGATTTTTTTAAAAAATGGCAAGCGTTTCTTAGTTTGGCTCTCTTGGCTTTTGTTTAAAACTGAAGATCACTAAGCCTAGATTTTTGTGTCTCCAGTTTAAAAAAAAGTAAATTTCAAAAGCAGTTCCTAGAACTCTCCCTCTCCATAGGCCTGTTGTGAGATGCCTATGTCCCTATAAGTGTGCTTCAATCTACCAGCTTTCCTAAAACAGGTTGATGGCTTAGTGGATAAAGATGGGACTTACAAAGCCTATTGATTCTCTTATTGTACTCATCTGTAGAATGGGAATAGCAATGGTACATGCTGATCTTACATGATGTGAGGATGTGATGAAATAATACATGGAAGGTATTGAGACTACTGTCTGGGTCATAGCAAGCAGTTTTGCCATTATTATATTTGTCATGACAGTTTTGCCATTATTATTAACCCAATAATAATGTCGTGTCCCCTTTCTCCATTCTTGTCTCCCAAAGATGTCACACATTCATTATTGCCAAAAAACATTTTTAAAGCTTTCTGTTTTTCTGGTACTTGCAGTGTGGCTGACGCCAGTAGGGTATAACTCCTCTGAGAATGGGTGCTGAATTCTGTTCCCAAGGCCTATGGGGAAATCTCTTTTTGTTGTTGTTTTTTGTTTTGTTTTGTTTTGTTTTGTTTTTTGTTACAGTCTCGTTCTGTCACCCGGGGTGGAGTGCAGTGATGCAATCTTGGCTCACTGCAACCTCTGCCTCCCGCATTCAAGCGATTCTTGTGCCTCAGCCTCCCTAATAGCTGGGATTACAGGTGCCCGCCACCACACTTAGCGAATTTTTTTTTTTGAGACGGAGTCTCGCTCTGTTGCCCAGGCTGGAGTGCAGTGGCGCCATCTCTGCTCACTGCAAGCTCCGCCTCCCGGGTTCACACTGTTCTCGTGCCTCAGCTTCCCAAGTAGCTGGGACTACAGCACCCACCACCACGCCTGGCTAATTTTTGTATTTTTAGTAGAGACGGGGTTTCACCGTGTTAGCCAGGATGGTCTTGATCTCTTGACCTCGTGATCCGCCCGCCTTGGCCTCCCAAAGTGCTGAGATTATAGGCATGAGCCACCGCGCCCGGCCACACTTGGCCGATTTTTGTATTTTTAATAGAGATGAAGTTTCACCACATTGGCTAGGCTGGTCTTGAACTCCTGACTTCAGGTGATCCACCTGCCTCAGCCTCCCACAGTGCTGGGATTACAAGCGTGAGCCACCACACCCCGCTGGGAAATATCTTAAAAGAATCAAAATAAGAAAGTTACTCTACTTAAATCGTGTGCTTTTTCTGTGTGTGATTTATGGTAATCTTACCATGGGGTATCTGATTACTTTAGAAAGATCCATTTAGCTTATTTTTTTCTTCTTTGGGTTATTTTTTTCTTCCTTCCATTTGCACAGCCTCCCCCCAAATAAAAAATAAAGATATAAAGTCTATCTTCTCCCTCTTGTCAGTTTAAGTAAAAAGAACTTTTGCTTCCATTTTAATAATAGAATTTGTGTGTATATAATATAGGCAGTGATTTGGCCTCAAGCTGAGTTTAGATTTGAAAAGATGAGAATATTAAAGCTTGTCAGCCAGCCCACAAACCACTTAAGTATTTCTGATCTGACAGGATGTGGGGTGGAGTTCTTTTTCTTTTCTCCACCAACACCCCTCACAATTAAAATAAATCAGATAAAATAGACACTGTGAAGGTGGGACTGAAAGTAGGTGATAGGAAAGGGTGGCCCCACACCAGGACCAGTACATATGCAGAAATTCCGTCCAAAGTACTTCAAGGGTCTAGGACAGTGCTGTCCAGTACAACTTTCTGTCACATTGAAAATGTTCTGCATGGCCCAACAGAGTAGCCACAAGTCACACGGGGCTGAAGGCAGATAGTGTAACTAGGATTTGAATTTTTAATTTTATGTCATTTTAATTTAAATAGCCACAGGTAGCTAATGTCTTGAACAGTGTAGGACTAGAAAAAATAGATTTTGACACACATTCTCATGTATGAAAAACTGCCAAAGAGCATCAGATTGCTCTAGTTGTGGAAGATTGATTTGGGAGTAAAAGAACGTCTAAACTGCTATCCTGTGGAAGAGAAATAGATTTCTATTTTGTTGTTCCATAGGGAAGAAACAGGACTACTTGGGAGAAACTGCAGAGCAACACATTTAGGCTCAGGCTAAAAAAACTTCCTCAGAATTAGTCATACAAAATTCTACTCAGATCTCTTCGAGTTTAAGGACGACCCCCAATTCTGAGAGTACTCAGGGTTAGACTTGATGGCAGTTTGACGAGGACCTGCAGTTCCCCATTTATAACACTTGTCCCACACAGAGTCACTAGTTGTGCTAAGTATTAGCTGAAACATTGTTTTCATAAGTGCTCTGAAGCTACCAAGACCATTGGTATCATTTTATTAGACATGACTATTATTTAGCTAAAGACAATGTACTTTGAGTCACTGTAAGGCCATTTGTTCTAAAAGAAACAAAAAGATTCTCCTTGGGATCCCAAGCGGAACCCTGTTGTTCTAACAGTAAACATGCTCCCCATGACTACGATAGGTGGCACTGGTCATTCAGTTGTTAATCTTAAACTTTTCAGTGATTATTTCACCTGGAGGGGATGCTGACATTGGCACAATAGCCTTTCCAAATACCCAGAAAATTTCTGATAATAAGCAAATGGATGAACTCACAGTAGTTCAGCTGTGGTAGATGCTCTCGTTGCTGGTTAGTACTTGTAGCATCCATCAGCCACGGACCCGCCGGTTCCTACTGTTGGATGTAACAGATTCATGGAAAAGAAGCCTTGTAGGTAATGTCACAGCAGTGGTCTTAAATTGCAAAGAATTTCTACCAGCCTCACGAACCAGGGCATGGCATGGAATTCATTGGCCCTGCTTATCCCCCCGTGGAGACGTGGGAATGGCAGGACTGTGAATGTGGAGCTCAGTTACCCAGCAGAGGGGTAACGCTCTCATAAAGAACTCCCACAGAATTAATTAGCCGCATTTTAGCACTGGAGACTGCACCTCTTACATAGTAGGAGCGATGGTTCAGAAAGATAATGAAGGCCCTTAGGTTATTATTGATAGACCCTGCCTTCTTTTTAAGCAGGAGGACATTTCCTCGTTCTTTCTCTTGTTAAAATGATAAGTGCAGAGCACTCTCATTAGGATGTAGCCCCTTGGCTCCCAAGGACACAGTGAGATTTCCTTTCCTTCCGTGCATGTTGTCTCTCTCTCTTTCCCTGCCATCTCATTCTGACATTTCAAGTAAACAGGCATACATTTACCTGTTGGTAGGTGATTACATACTAATAAAAACTACAAGTAAGGAACACTAGGCAGCCCCCATTTTACAAATTGGCATTTAGTCCCTCTATAATCTCTTCTCTGGAGAGGAGTAATATCCACCTGGATGTAAGGCTGGGTGGAATTATAATGCAGCCCTGTTACACAGATGGCTGTCTTCGTCTGTGACATGTGTGCACACGTAGACATTCTTGCATGTGCTTTTCTGTCAGCCCAGATTGATGTGTGCATAGGTTAAATTGCTAGAGAAATCAGCTTTCTACACCAGTTGCATCTGATACAAATTTCTACCTCTGGCTGGGCCCTGGTGCCAAGTGTTTGCTCATTTTGACAGTCCTCAAATTTGTTGCTTTAGATTTTTTTCCTCTCATCTTAAACCCTCTAGTCCAGACTTTCGTATCACACTTTATTATGTGTAGATAGCTCTACCAAGAATATCAAGGGTATCTAGTAAAATCACCCTCAACTTCCATCTCCGCCATTTAACATGAAAACATTGTTATTCATGTTTATGTCACTCCCTCTGGAGAAAAACATGTTCTTCATTCCCAAGGTCAAAGCCATGTTCTTCAACCAACGCTTACAGTCTCCTCCATGGTTTTGTCACATCAGTCATTCCTTTCCCTTTGCCTTGTACCTGCTGTCTTTTTCACCACTTCCCTCTCAGCTCATGAACTCTAGCGAGTTTCCTCCAATCTTTAAAAATCTAAAGGAGAAACCACCTCCATCTTGTGTGTCTCCATCCCTCAAGGTCAAAGAACTTTTATGCTTGCTGTCACCCTTCATAACCCGTGGATGAATAGTTACTGTATCCTATTGTGCTAATAAAATAGTTTCTTAATACCCACCAATGACTTTCTAATAAAATAGCTTCTTAATGCCCACCAGTGACCGCATTCTGCCTAGTTGACAAGCTGTTCCACTTTGGATCTCTCTCATCCCATGGACTGCCTGACTTTGCCACTCCTTGTTCCCATCCTTTTCTGTATCTTTGTCAGGCTCTCTTCTCTTTCTCCTTAAATATTCGTCAGTATCCCAAAGTTTATAGAGAATGTTACTTAACAGCATGGATATGAGGAACAGGTAGGCCTGAATTCAAATCCTTGCTCCACTACTTATATGGCTATGGAAACTTGAGTAAATTAGTTTTTCTGAGTATGTTTTCTCATACTGACTTCAGATGGTTGTGAGGATGAAATTAGCAAATACATGCCATGTGCTTAGCAGAGTGCCTTAGGTCACTGCCCCTGGCCTGTCTTTCCCCTCTTCCCACTGTTCATGCTCTTACCTGCCATTGTTATTCTTTCTGTTCCTGGCCTCCTTCGGGAACCCAAAAGCCACATTGTCAACCACCTGCCAGACACCTTTCTCAAATAGAAATAACTATCCCTTTTTCCCAAAGTAAATTTCTCCTTCCCCAACTTGGCTTGATAGTCTCTCTCAAGTAGGAAGCACAGATGTCCATTTGACCTCCTCCCTCTCTCTTACCCTCATATCCGGTCGACAATCCATGTCTATCCTAGCCCCTGGATTCTTGAGTCTAGACCTTTCTTTGATTCTTAATACCACCATCTTGGCTAAGGCTTCTCCTACCTCCAGCTTAGATTATTGTTCTGGCATCCCAAGTCGTTCCCCATCTCTATTCTATTGTAAGCATTCTCCCTGAAATTGTACATATATTATTTAGTTGCCTTCTCAAGTTGTTCTCCTTTGTACTTTCCAATCCCTTATTAACTTTTGGCTGAAGGTTTCATAGCCAATCTGTAGCTCAGGGGTAGAAAGGCAAAAATGGTTGATGCCCTGCATAGAGTTAGAACTCATTAAATGCTGAATTAATGCAGTATAAAATAAAGCAAAATAGGAAGTGTAGTAAGTCATAATGTAATAAGAAGTGGGGATAAGTGGTTGATTAACCAAAAGTTAGCTTTCCATTGATAAATACTACAGAATTAGTTGTAGAAAAAAGAGATTTATAACTTGATCTTCATTTCTCACCTGAGCCTATGACAAGAGGGTAATGGATTGGACAAACAAGTGGAAAATCTCAGCTGGCATCAATGGGCTGTCTTCTGCTCCCACCCAGTGGGTGTGAAGTCACTCTCTGGCTCTCTGTATACCTCTCCTTCCAGCCATTGCTGATGGAGCCAGGTCTCTATTTTTTTTTTTTTTTTTTTTTTTTGAGACAGAGTCACTCTGTTGCCCAGGCTGGAGTGCAATGGCATGATCTCAGCTCACTGCAACACCCACCTTCCAGATTCAAGCGACTCTCCTGCCTCAGCCACCCGAGCAGCTGGGATTACCCGCCACCACATCTGGTTAAATTTTTTGTATTTTTAGTAGAGCTGAGTTTTGCTGTGTTGGCCAGGCTGGTCTCGAACTCCTGGCCTCAAGTGATCCACCCACCTTGGCCTCCCAAAGTGCTTGGATTACAGGTGTGAGCCACCACACCCAGCCTGGATCTCCATTCTTGATATAGGTGTTTTGATCCTAAGGAGACAATCGTTGGTGAATTTGAAACAGATTCTTCAGGAAATATAGTGCAAGACCAAAATTGGGTCCCAGGAAAAATCATGTGATACTTCGTAATGCAGGTCTCTTGTAGACACAAGAAGGCACACTTGCTCGTTTCCCTGGGTTTGGTTTTTGTTTTGTTTTCTTCCCCCTATGTCTCACATCCTCTCCTGCAACCCCAACCCTCCGTACCGCAGGCAAGAAAACATTGATGTTTCTGCATCTGGCAGCATGTCTCTGGGAGAAGAGGCCGGCGGAAGGGAGTTTGATGTGTGAGTGACAGATCCCCAGGTAACACCACTGGGGAACACTTGATCTGACCTGTTTGAAGGTGAAAACTCACCAGGTCACACTGGAAACAGTTGCTGCTGGGCATGGCTTTGATCCTTGTTTATCTTTTTCTCTTTTTTTTAACCTTCTTGAAAAAAATGTTTTGTACAAATGGATACTTTTTCCTGTGTATATTTTGTCTGCTGGAGCATTTGTATATTTTGTGTGTGTGTTCCTTGTCACTGCAGGGCGGGGTTTTGTAACCTTTTGATGCAGATTGTGAATCTTAATGAATTTGTCATTTGCCATGGAAAGATGTTTGTTCAAATAGAGCAGAGACATTTTCGTCCAACAATATTACAGGAATATTGTGTAGAAAATAATGACTAATACTTTGAGCATTCCATGTTGGCTCCCATTTTAAACACTTCATGTATTAACTTGTTTAATCTTCAGAAGAATTCATTTTTCCTGGTTTTCCTGTTGACATTTGATGAAACTAAAGCAGAGGGAAGTTAAGTAGTTTGCCTGAGGTCACACATTTAGTAAGTGAGAGACCCAGGACTCAAACTCAGGCAGGGGTTCTAGTACCAGCAGTGTTTATCAACTGCTTTCCAACCCTGACAAGCATGAGTGGGCACAAGCATGGAGCACTAGGGCTTACAAAAAGCTCCCTCAGGCTGGCACATTGCCTGACTTAAAGGTACCGAAGGCATGGCCCTGCCTTCAAGGTCATTATTGCATGCTGGTTAGAGGAGAAATCTGTCTGTCTCATTTGCGGACGTGTCTCCGTTGCTAAGTAGTGTCAGGCATGTAGGAGATGCTTAGTACAATCTTTTTGGATTGTATCAATGTAGGTTTTGAAAGGTTATTAGAGCTTGTGAATCATCAAGGTTGAACCATAATCAATTAACAAGAAAGGGGAATCTGAGACTTCTAAAATGTAATGGTCATGACTTGCTACCTTTAGAAACACCAGCGAAAAAAACCTGTGGTGTCGGTTGGATCATGGCTCTTATTCACTGCGGCGTTTTTAAAGCTTTTTCAAGGATTATGTGGGGATCCCAGGCTCCTTTATGATTTATAAATCTATTATGCATGTCACGTAGAGATTTTCATGACAGAATCGTCAGATGAACTCATTCAGGGTATAATATTGTAGGAGAAGGGTTGGCGAGGTTGAGGGGGATGCCATAAGAAAATGCCTAATTCATAGGTAGAGTGTAGGACAGAAATGGATGGGGACTGGAGGCCAGTTAGGACGACACTGTAGAGGCCAGTGTGAGGAGCAAGGACGTGGGCTAGAGGAGGAGGAGATGAGCATGGGGAGGAAAGTCCAGGGAGAGTTAACAGGACCTACCGACTAGACAAGAGGATCCAGGGAAAGAGAATGAAGCATTGTTAGGAAAGTTTCACAGTATAGCGGCCCACCGATAACCTTAAGAACCTACAAACCTAACAGTTTTAAAACGATGAGCTTGAGGCTCAGAAGGAAAGGCATGTTAAGCTGTCATATCAGGTTGATTGAATAGATTGGGTAAGTCTTTCAGACATCCTACCACCACCTTCTGCCCCATGCTGTTAATTCTTTAAGCATTGGGACCATGAGTTCTGTCTAGCAGTGTGGGTGTTGAGACCACATGAATCAAGGAAGAGGGCTTCTAGAGGCCCAAGGGCTGTTTGCTGTAGAGGAGGCAGAGGAGGGTTCCAAGAATTTCAGAAGGCACTGTATAGCTCTGCCAGGAAGTGTTTAGAGAACTGAGGTGCAGCCCCCACTTCTCATTACAACATTTTACTACCATCAACCTCTCAGCAGAACTGCTGCATTAGGTACCTAGTGTTTGATTTGAACTTTGTATTTATTCTCCATGAAAAGGCACCGTGCCCATTGATGTCACTTTGGTGCTGCTGAGACAGAAAGTGAGTATTTTATGTGCTGTCTCTTTTCAAGCAAGATGGAAGGGTCTTGTAAAAGTGGTTTCTAAGGAATAACCTAACATTTTAAAGATTTATAGAACAAGCATCCACTTACCAGTTCATTTAAGTTTTACAAAACATCTCTGCTTCTGCCTTGCCATGTCAGCAAAAGATTCTGACATTTAAATAAATAAAATATGGTGGGATATAATAAAGTGCAAAAAAAATGATGCATCAAGTTACTACTGAAAGGAATATTGAGGCCTGAGTCATCTCCCTGCTGCTGTCTCCCAAACAGAAGATAGCTTTAATCTTCAGGCTCTGTGTTATTTAAATAAGCTGAGGGATTTGCGAGTTGGGGGATGCTGCCAAATGTATCCACTGAAGATAATGATCCCATTTCAGATCTGCAGGTCTATTTTAATGAAAGGAGACAGGTGAGGGTGCAGAACAGAAATGTTCATAGCACCTGACCCTCCTTCTTTCCTTAGGAGTTTCTCAACCCAGCGAAATTGGTGAGATTTTTAAAAATAAATACTTTGGAGTATATCATGAGGTAGGATTACTGTAGTGAGACAGGGAGCAGTAATGGCAGTCAGGAAAACCTGTGTATGTTAAAAAGTGTTTGCTAAGTCTCTCCTGTGTGTTTAGTGTTGTGGGGGTTTTAGTCGAAACAAATTAGGGTCTCAGCCAACCTCAAAGGGTGTATTTTCTCAGTCTTTATTGATTCCTCTTGGTTTCCTCAGGGCTCAGAACATCCAACACCTTAGGAGCAAATGTCCTTTGAATGAATAGGTTTGGGATGAGGTTCTGGAAGACACTAACACAAACAACCTTGATAAATTACATGGTAGTGACTTCATCACATTCTTCCATCTAGTCGGAGTAGCTGGCCTTTGAAAATTACCCTTATGAAGCTTACATTTTACTGGAGAAGCCAGACAAAAGAATACGTAAATGAATGAATGAATGAGTGAATGAACAAAACAAAATTATCTCTCGTTCATAGATCAAATTGTCCTAAACTTGCTCATTAAGACTTACTTAGCTATGCATTTTATACCACTGTCCCTGAGCACTTTAATCATTTATTAATTATTCAACCTCTACATTGCTTTAGGTGAACTGGAGGCATGAGACAAGTTTGGGATGCAGACTTTTTCTTTTTATTGTCCTTAAGAACTATAATATATGCAGTTAGTTAGAAACCCTGTCCTATTGGTACTTTTGTTTCAGTGAACTTGAGTTTAAACTTTAAGGCACAGAGGTTATTACAGTATCATCTTCAGGAAGCTACTGGTACTGAAAAGAGCATTCTTCATGCCACCCCAGTATCATCTTTGTACTCTTACCTTTGTGTTGAGAAGGGATACATGTCACTTATAAAACCTGGGTATGACTACGCAAGCCACCTTCACATTTGGGATAGAAGATTCTACAAAAGTAAAATTCACAATCTTTGTACATACACAGAAGCCAGACTTACCAGCATGTATTAAATCTGTCTTTATTTTGGATCATGGCATTTATGGAGATCACTAAGCAGGCAGCTCATTTGAAGTGAGATTCAGAACACTTACTTATTTTATCCATTTAGCAAACATTTACTTAACTCCTACTGTGTGTACTACATCACTGGGGAAGACAATTAGGACCCAGTCCTTGTTTTCAAGGAGTAAGTACTCTAGTCCAACATGAAACAACTAATGAAACTGAGCAGGGATAGGCAAGGCAGAGGTAAGTGTGCCTTGGAAGAAAAGGGGAAGAAGAAATGGTGGATGTTGACCAAGGCTGGCACTAGGTAGGCTCCAGGTTCCCCTGGGATGCTAGTTTTAGAGGTGGAAGGGCAGTTTTGAAGTCTCATTTCAGGAGCAGGGAGAGGCTGTGCGTTGATGGTTCCAGTAGGATGGGGAAAGGAGGAGGAGTCAGTGCAGTTGGACCAGGCTCTTGTCTGTCCATCTCATCTCTCCCCAGGGATAGGATGACAAGGACCCCAGAAATCAACAGTGACACCAGCTGAGTGACCACAGGCAGTAAACACCTTACAATAGCTGCTTTGATTTGTATCCTTGCTGGCGTATCTTAACAACATGACGACATTTACCAAATGAATGACTGCTTACCAAGCACCAGTCTAAGTGCTTCACCCATGTTATCATGTTTAATCTTCCCAATTTTGTGAGATAGGTAGTATTATTCCCATTTGAAAGGTTGGAAATCTGAGGAGTGAAGAGGTCACCCAGCTAGTAAAAGGTAGAGATGATGCAACAGACATACATGTCCATGCTTGTTTGACTGTAACACGTTTACTCTTAACCTCTAAGCAATGGTGCTTTCCTTAATATAGAATGTCCTTCGAAACATCCCAATGCCAAAATTCAGCATATTTTCATATTAGAATAGCTTTGCGTTAGGTCTCTTTTTCCCTGAACATTTCTTTTCTCTGTTTTGCAGAATCTTGTTGGCCTCCTTTAAATATCATTATAAATGTTGGCAGTGTTGTTTTAAATAATTGTGAACAGAAAGTAAGGAAGCATATGCACTCTGATCTTTTTAAAGCGATTTCATTATTGTAAAAAATTCTGGTTACAACTCACTAAATTGGTAGTTTGGAGCACCTTTGGGTGTACTCCCAGATACTCTCTACTCCCCTCTCCTCCCTCCCACAAAAAAACAGCATTTCTAACCACAGTGACTAAGTCATGCACTTCTAAGTTAGAAAATTTATAGATGGGGGAAAAATGTAGTTGACCAGATAAATATGCAGATAGTTGGGACATGTCTAAAGTGAAACACTGGTTTCCTGACACATATTCATTAAACATACAGTCATGTCACAAAAAGAGATTATGGTCAGGTGAATTTATTATTATATGTCCCTCCCGCCCCGAGAATAGTACCCTATAGTTTATGAAGCATGTTGATAATGAAGTTATCTGTTTCATATACTCTTTATGAAAATAATATTTTCCCAAGAAGCCTGAAAAACTTACTTGGTCAGTCCAAGTGAGAAAAAATTGAATTATTTTGTATTTAGCATTTTAATCCCCAAGTTAGAAGGGACATTTAACAACTGTACTAAATTCAAAAGGTTACTTAGAGACAGAATTCCTCTTTAGATCTAATATGATTGTCTGGTTTTAACAGTTTGGCTTTACAGGAAGACTTGGAAGACCAGCAAAACTGCCCTTTATTTGTATAAACTCTGCTTGCATTTGTGACTTTTTTTAAAGGGAAAAAATAAAATTCTTTATAGGCATAATTTTTATAAATTAAAATACATTATAGTATATTTATGTGGGTGAAGCTTAGGAAATTCTTTATAAAATGAACTGTATTTTGAATTGGTCAACTGCTACATTGTCCAAAAATGGGAATGGTGATTCTGTGGATGAAGTGGAAGAACAAGGCTATTCTTTACTGTCAAAAAGGGCCTTTATGCTATGGTTTAAAATCTTTCTGCAAAGCCCTTGGATGTTATACCACACATCCTGTAGCTCCTACATGCCAAACTCCCAGCTTTTTTTATGTGGAGCCCCAGGAAAAGGTGATCACTTACCTGTTAGCCTCATGCCTGGTGGTGATAAGAAAGATGGCTTTGGTGATACTAACTGAATGCCTACTAGAAGTCAAATGTGTTGTTGTTTCAATTTTATGGCCTCTCTGCTGGTGAGTATTTAAAATGAGAATCGAGCAAGTGAAAGTGTGTCATAGTTTTTTGTTTGTTTGTTTTTTAATTAAGAGGACCAAACCAAAGAAATAGGCCCATTTTGTTGAGAGAGGCAGTCCAACACAGTGGCTCAAAGTTCCAGAGCTTGCCTGCAAGCTCAGGCAGATGCTGGTACCAGGAATGCCCTGTACGGATACCAATTCATTCGTGGGAGATAGTACAGGGGCAGGTAATGCTGAATCCCAGCTCCACTTATGTCCAGAGCACAAGTGATGGCACAAAGCCCTAGCTCTCTTCATCCTTCCACTCTCAGCACTTTACATGTGTTGCCTTCCTCTGATTTGATTCCAAGCTCAGGCCCCAGATGGGGGCCTCCCAGCAACATGTCCCTCTCCCTTTCCTGGCTTAAACCAATTAGAGTGGGTTCTGAAACTGGAGCTGGAGTTTATCCCACAGAAATTGAAAGTACAGCAGGGATATTTCCCAAAGGAAAGTTAGGATACTATTTTACTAAGAAGATTGAGAGGAGGAGGTGACAAAAACAACAGATGTCTGTACATATGTGAGGGTGGAGCTGAAATTGCTTGGTTTCTACAGTTAGCATTCGCTCAAAACAGGCAGACCTAAGTTTGCAGGTGAGGCCAGTCCACAACCCAACTCAGAGGCTGAGACAAGCAAAGTAAGTGGAAAGGAGACGGATGGTAGAAAGAAATAATATCTATTGGGTGTCTGTTCTGTGCCAGGATCTTTATGTTTGTGGCCCAGTGTACGCCTTGTCACCCTCATGAAGTGGTATTGGAAGGTTTAAAGGGTTTGGAGATAAGGGTAAAGATAGATGTAGAGTCAGGGTCAGCCACTGTAGCCAAGAGCTTTGGGTAGTTCCAGGGCAAACTGAGGAAGCAGACCTCTTAGAGGGTA
This sequence comes from Homo sapiens, assembly GCF_000001405.40. Classification (NCBI taxonomy): domain Eukaryota; kingdom Metazoa; phylum Chordata; class Mammalia; order Primates; family Hominidae; genus Homo; species Homo sapiens. Next base: position 70,323,531 of record NC_000007.14, read on the forward strand.
AAATGGGTTATGATTTTCTAAAGAGGAAATTCTTCTGTTTGACCTAGATGTGAACTGAATAATCACTTCTGTTGTTTGGAAAGCCATAAAGCCAGCCAACCATGCCACAATCCTGATCTCGCAACTCACATATCTTATTTTTCAACAAGGAAAATCCTTTCAAAGAGATAAATGTGAATTCTGTGTGCCATGTATATATTTGTACCACATTTAATTTCATTAGCTATAATATCATGTAGCTGTGCTTATTTAACTGCTTAGCCCAGATGGTAATGCCTTCTGAAGAAAAATGGCTACACAGTGTAATTGAACATGTCCTATTGACAGAGTTACAACAACCCATTTTCCCCATTAAATATAGGTGATTCAATAAAATGAACACAGAGTCTATTACTCTGCCACCATTTCTAGCTGAAAATGCAAGGAGGAAATGTTCTACAAGGTGAAGAAATGGCACAGTTATGTTGCATGCAGTGGGAGGACAGGCGTAAAGGCAGGCCTCCTCCTCCCGCCTTGGACAAAAGAGGAGCTATTTGTTGACACTCAGATTTGGTTGGGAACCAAGGGGAGAACCTTGGCGTCATCAGCTAAGACCTGTCTGAAAGTGATGATGATAGCAGATGTGAACATGAAAACTAGGCCGTACATTTTGGAAAATGATGTAAAAGGATTTGGCTTCTAAATGGAATCAAGTGGTAGAAACAGTTGTGTTGGCTCTCAGCAGATGAGGGTCTTGGGTCTTATGAATGTTGTCAATCACTAGTATAAAAATATTCTGGCCAAATTAGTATATGAGAACAACTATCTGATGAAGCTATCACTGCAAATATTTTTGTATTCATTGAAAAAAAATTGCCAAGGCAGAAGGATTGCTTGAGCCCAGGAGTTCAAGACCAGCCTGGGCAACATAGCAAGACCCTATCTCTACAAAAAATTTTAAAATTGACTGGGTGGGGTGATGGTGTGCATCTGTGGTCCCAACCACTCGGGAGGCTGAGGTGGGAGGATTGCTTGAGCCTAGCGGTTCAAGGCTACAGTAAACTGTGACCATACCACTGCACTCCAGCCTGGGCAACAGAGCAAGACCCTGTCTCAAAAAAAATAATAATTACAGGGTTGGCCTCCCTGATCCTGTATATATTGTCTATGAAATTGACAGGTTTGGTGTGGTCTAAGAAAGTAAGTCATACTCGACACTGAAACTTTCCTAGGAAGAGCACTAGAGATGATGTGAGAAGATGTTATTGAGGAAAAGTTTGGGAATGGCACCTTGCCATGTGGCGGGACTTATTGCAGTTGCTATGTGTATATTTTTTCTTAGTTTTCTTCATGTTTTATGAGTAAAGACTTACAGTCGTTCTCTGTCTTTGCTTATGGGGAAGTTGAGAATTTTAGAGTCAAAAAGACCCAAAAGCCCACTCTGGCTTACCCTCTCATTTTCCTGAAGAGGAAAGTGAGGCCCAGTGAAAACCCACACAACTCAGGAGAGATGAGCCAGGGTCCAATTGTCCCTTCTCTCATTACTGCATTTTGCCCTTATTCCAGTGCTAAGGGACTTTTGGGGATGAAAGGAGAGAAGTGGGAGGCTGGAAGGAGTGAGGTTTCTTGTCCTCACAGCTAGTCACCCAGAGAAGCTTAAGAAATCATTACAGGCATTGTGGCTCACACCTGTAATCCCAGCTCTTTGAGAGACTGAGGCGGGAGCATCGCTTGAGAACAGGAGTTTGAGGCTGCAGGGAGCTGTGATGGTACCACTTCACTCCAGCCGGAGTGACAGAGCAAGCCCCTGTCTCTCAAACAAATATAAAAATAAAACTGAAAAAAAGAAATTACTTAAAATATTTTTCTTATGTAAAGAAGTACAAAATTTGAAACCCACTCTCCTAAACAATAGGAATTCGTACGAAGAGTGATGGGCATATATTATGCCTCCCTCTTCTTCACTCCTGTCCAGTGTGTCCTAGATATGGGCGTCACAATGGCTAGTATATACCTAAATGAAATGACAAAAAGTGAAGCTGAACCTTGTCTTCTTATGGAGAATATATTCAGAAGGTAGAATAAAAAGATATTTTAGGGTGATTGAGTTTAAACAAGTAGAACCTGGTCACTCCAACCCCACCCCCGATCAGATTCTCAAAAATTAGACTTAGAAATCATAGTCCTGGATGTTAGTCACCCTTTCTGCAAGGGAATTGCTATCTGACCTTGCATATTGCATGTGGACAAGTTCAGAGCCATCAGATCCACCTGAGAAAGGAGGCAGGAAAAGAGGGCAAGCCTTATCAAGCTGCTGTGGGGATGAATCCAGTCCGGTGGAAGAAACTATCCCACCTCTGAGCCCTGCCAGCACAAGCCATCTGTCTGCATCTAACAACACCATGGGCCTCAGCTCTGAAGCCCCTCCCTTGGTGACTCAGCAATCAAACTGTTCATTTTGCACATGTTTTGTGTTTGATTCATTTAGTCACTGAGTCTTCAGTTTCTCTGCCTGCTTTTTGCCCTGCTGATGGGGACCAGCCTCCAGGTCAGCACAGCAGGTTGAGCCTAGAGAGGCAATCACAGTCCCAGGATGAACTTTTTTTTTTGTCCCTGAAAGGGGCCTTTCCAGGAGACTCCCCAGGGGCTGCTGATATGCTCTTCCAAGGCTTTCCTGATTGTCTGTCCACCCATACCCAAGGGGAACTGATGTTTCTATCCTCTCCCATAGGCCTTTTCTAGGCTTTTTACCCACTTCCAGCCTGTCTCCTAGGGGCCTGATTGGCCCTCTCCACTTCTCCCAAGGCAGCCTTTCTTCACTTGCCTCAGCCACCTAATCTCTGTCCCACCAGTTTTGGGGTTTTCCTTACTCCATGCGTTTACCTTTCCACACTTGCACATGCACACAGCACCGCATGAAAACTCCTAGGAATCTCTCCTTCAACATGGCTTAATAGTCCTTCTTACCTAATTTCCCAGTGACCTCTGACTCACAGTTACACAAAGGAAATGGACGTACACCTGGAGCCCAGCTGACTTGGGCTAAGGTTGGTCATGGCTCTAGGTTTGGTTTACCTTATTGGCTAGAAGACAGTAGAGGCCCAGGCACTGTGTGCTTTATGGATCGTCTTTCTAATTTACTTGAACCTGGGATCCATGGTCACTTCTAAGAGATCAAGTCTATTTTACTCTAAGTAGTTTCTTTGAGTAAGGTTGGACATTTATTTCCCTTGACATAAGGTAAACAAGTGTGCCTATGAGTGTGGCAACAATGAGGAGACATTGAATCCTCAAGTCACATTGGCATGCTTGTTGAGGCTTTTAAACGATCTCAGTATCACAGTTCTTGGTAATAACTGTAAAAACATAATCACAGGTGGCACTTGGCATGAAAGGTATGCTTGGTTCTTTTTTTTTTTTTTTTTTGTGACGGAATTTCGCTCTGTCGCCCAGGCTGGAGAGCAGTGGCATGATCTTGGCTCACTGCAACCTCCACCTTCTGGGTTCAAGTGATTCTCCTGCCTCAGCCTCCCAGGTAGCTGGGATTACAGGTGCCTGCCACTGCGCCTGGCTAATTTTTATATTTTTAGTAGAGACAGCATTTTGCCATGTTTGCCAGGCTGGTCTCAAACTCCTGACCTCAGGTGATCTGCCCGCCTTGGCATCCCAAAGTGCTGGGATTACAGGTGTAAGCCACCGCGCCCGGCCGCTCAGTTCTTACATAATGAGGGCATCCATGGATTTTTAAATGGAGGTCTTTATGTTTCCAGTTCCGTGTCTTCCCACCTTCAGAAAGCACTATTTTGCTGAATTTGTCTAAAGGGCAGTAGCTTCTAGAGTAACCCCAGGAGCAGGTCTTCTCAAAATGCCTATTTATCAGCCTTTGCATGAGTTTTGTGGGAGCTGGATAGAATGGAAAAAGAAATGAGGAATGTTCTTCAGATATGACATTGTACAGATCTATTCTTCCAAAGAAATTTGCCTTGAGAATAGTACTCCAGACATGGAAGGGGCTCTAGGTATTTAGGCTATGGCAGAAGGTAACTTGTAACATCTTTTCAGAATTTTTGCAACCTCTGATTCTTTATTTGACATTTTTCTTTCTTAATAAGATGCACAGCTAGTACAGCAGCATCCTGTAATCCATGGATTTGGATGTTCTGGGCGTAATCATCCCTCAAAATGCAATACAGGTGTGGTTAGTCTAAGCCATCTTCCTGCAAAAACTTTCTATTCCTCATCCCCTCCTTAGACTCCCTGTTTTTGTAATATGTTGTCAACTGAACCACATTTATCATAAAATTTATCATTTTCTTTGTATTTCTACTGAGATCTAGATAGTCATCAACATGGGACATCTTTCCAGCTTGAAGCAAAAATTCTTGGTACTTAGGTATCTCCTGTAGCCTTGGTAGAGGCATGTGTGGTTAGGCCTTTCTGAATATTGAAAAGAGCTCCCTTATCCCCCAGTTGGATCCATGGAACTCCTGGTCCCAACCACTGAATTCAGCACTGCCTTGTTTTTGCCTCAATACCACAATGATGGAGAGAAGCTCTACTTTAGGATTCTTATCTGACAAATTAGACAGCAGGACCCCTTCTACCTTCTAATATATTAGATTTAATAAAATAGGCATATACTCTCTACTCCAGAGAACCAAATGCCTTTCAGCTTGGGAAACTAAAATACAGGGGTGTTTGATTTGTGTGTGGTTTTGCTTGTTTGTTTTGAGACTGAGTCTAGGTTTGTCTCCCAGGCTGGAGTATGGTGGAATGATCATAGCTCACTGTAGCCTTGAACTCCCAGGCTCAAGCAGTCTTCCCACCTCAGCCTCCCTAGCAGCTGGGACTACAGATATGCAACACCACACCTGGTTTATTATTTTTTTTTTAATAGAGACAAGGTCTTGCTTTGTTGCCTAGGCTGGTCTTGAACCCCTGACCTCAAATGATCTTCCCACCTTTGTCTCCCAAAATGCTGAGAGTGCAGGTGTAAGCCGCCATGCCCAGCAGAGTGAGTTGTTTTTTAAGATCACACTGCAAGTTTATGTAAGAATCACTTGAATAACTTTTTGTTCCTGTTGGGTTAAGCTGGTGGGCTAGATGCTTGGAAGTTGTAGACCTTACTCTCAAGAAGTTTCTGTGCAAGAGAGCAAATAAGCAATAAGTAAAATTAACCACATTCAGCAGTAAAGAATGATTTTAAGCCAACAGTTTATGATGCAAGATTTAAGAGAATGGAAAAGAAGTTATTTCTTTTAAAAAAATCGTTTGAGATGAAATTCACGTAATATAAAATTAACAATTTTAAAGTGAACAGTTCAGTAGGATTTAGTATATCCACAGTGTTTTACAACCACTGCTTCTATCTTGTTCCCAAATATTTTCATCACTCCAGAGTAAAACCCCTTACCCATTAAGTAGTCTGTACCTATCCCTTCCTCCCCATTGCCCTTAGTCCCCAGTAAACCTCTGATCTGTGTTCTGCCTCTTCAGATTTATCTATTTTGGAATCATACACTCTGTGACCTTTTTTGTCTGGCTTCTTTCACTTAGCATAATGTTTTGGAGGTTCAGCCATGTATGTGTGTATAATTACTCCACTCCTTTTTATAGCTGAATAATACTCCAGTATTTGTATATAACATGATTTGTTTATCTGTACATGCACTGATGGATGTTTGGGCTGTTTATACCTTTTGGCTATTGTGAACAGTACTGCCATGAACATGTGTCACATATACTTGTTTATGTACCTCGTTTTGGTTCTTCTGCATATATACCTAGGAGTGGCATTGCAGGACGATATGATACTTCTACATTAAACTTTTTGAAGATTGCCGAACTATTTTCTAGAATGGCTGAACCATTTCAAGTTCCTACCAGCAATATATGAGGGTTCCAGTGACTCCACATCACTTCCAACACTTGATATTTTCCTTTTTCTTAAAATAGCCACTCTTATGGGTATGAAGTGGTACCTCATTGTAAATTTGATATGCATTTTCTTGACCAATGATGTTGAGCATCTTTTCATGTTTTTTGGCCATTTTTATATTTTTTTTTAGAGAAATGTCTACTCAGGTTTTTTGCTCATTTTTCAATTTGGTTATTTGTCTTTTTGTCATTGAATTGTAAGCATTCTTTATGTATTCTGGATACTAGATACATATGATTTGCAAATATTTTCACTCTCTAGGTTGTCTTTTCACTTTCTTGATAATAAATGCCTTTTGATGCACAAGGTTTTTAATTTGATGAAGTCTTAGCCTGTTTATTCTGTTGTAACAAACTACTTGACACTAGAGAATTTATAAACAAAGGAAATTTATTTCTTACAGTTATGGAGGCTGGGAAATCCAAGACCAAGATGCCAGTAGATTTGCTGTTGGGTGTGGGGTGCTCGCTCTGTTTCAAGATTACACCTTGTTGCTGTGTCCAAGTGGTGGAAAAGCAAAAATGCCAAACTCTGTGTGAAGCCTCTTGTATAAAGGCCTTAGTCCCATTCAAGAGGAAGGAGCCCTCATGACCCAGCCTCCTCCTGAAGGCCTCACCTTTAAAACTATTGCATTGGAGATTAAATTTCAACATGAATTTTGAGAAACATATTGAGAACATAGCAAAGTCCAGTTTATCTGTTTTTTCTTTTGTTGTTAATGCATTTGATATCACATCTAGGAATTTATGGCCAAATCCAAGATCATGAAGATTTACCACTTTACTTTCTTCTAAGAGTTTTATGGCTTTAGTTTTTATATTTAGGCTGTTGATCCACGTTGAATTAATTTTTGTACATGGTATGAGGTAGGGGTCCAATTTCATTGTTTTGTATGTGGATATCCAGTTGTCTCAGCATCATCTGTTGAAAAGATTATTCTTTTCCTGTTAAATAGCTTAGGCATCTTGTTGAAAATAAGTTGGCCATAGGCATATGGGTTTATTTCTCAACTCTCAATTCTATTTCATTGGTCTGCGTGTCTATCCTTATGCCAGTAGTACACTGGTTTGATTACTATAGGTTTGTAATTAAGTTTTGAAATCAGGAAGTATAAGTCTTCCAACTTTTTTCTCCTTTTACAAGACTATTTTGGCGATTGAGGGTCCATTGCAATTCCATACAAATCTGTGGATCAGCTTTTGCATTTCTGCAAAAAGATCACTAGAATTTTGATAGAGATTGCATTGGATCTGTACATTACCTTGGGTAGTACTGACATCTTAACAATACTGTCTCCCAACCCATGAACACAGGGTGTCCGTCTATTTATTCAAGTCTTTTAAAATTTCTTTTAGTAATGTTTATTTTATAATTTTCAGCATATAAGTCTTTCACCTTTTTGGTGAAATTGTTTCCTAGATATTTCATTCTTTTTGGATACTAGTGTAATTGTATTATTTTCTTAATTTCCTTTTTAGATTGTTCATTGCTGATGTGTAGAAAAACAGCTGGTTGAGAATTTTTGCATCAATGTTCATCGCAGATATTGGCCTGAAATTTTCTTTTTTTGTTGTGTCTCTGCCAGGTTTTGGTATCAGGATGATGCTGGCCTTATAAAATGAGTTAGGGAGGAGTCCCTTTTTTTCTATTGTTTGTAATAGTTTCAGAAGAGATGGTACCAGCTCCTCTTTGTACCTCTGGTAGAATTCAGCTGTGAATCCGTCTGGTCCTGGGCTTTTTTTGGTTGTTAGGCTATTAATTGCTGCTTCAATTTCAGAATTTGTTATTGGTCTATTCAGGAATTTGACTTCTTCCTGGTTTAGTCTTAGGAGGGTGTATGTGTCCAGAATTTATCCATTTCTTCTAGATTTTCTAGTTTATTTGCATAGAGGTATTTATAGCATTCTCTGATGGTAGTTTTTATTACTGTGGGTTCAGTGGTGATATCCCCTTTATCATTTTTTATTGTGTCCATTTAATTCTTCTCTCTTTTCTTATTTATTAGTCTGGCTAGTGGTCTATCTATTTTTGTTAATCTTTTCAAAAAAACTAGCTCCTGGACTCATTGATTTTTTTTTTTTTTGAAGGGTTTTTCATGTCTCTATCTCCTTCAGTTCTGTTCTGATCTATACTGGCAAACCAAATCCAGCAGCACATAAAAAGCTTATCCACCATAATCAAGTCGGCTTCATCCCTGGGATGCAAGGCTGGTTCAACATATGCAAATCAATAAACATAATCGATCATATAAACAGAACAAATGACAAAAACCACATGATTATCTCAATAGATGCAGAAAAGGCCTTCGATAAAATTCGACACCCCTTCATGCTGAAAACTCTCAATAAACTAGGTATTGATTTAACGTATATTGAAATAATAAAAGCTATTTATGACAGACCCACAGACATACTGAATGGGCAAAAGCTGAAAGCATTCCCTTTGAAAACTGGCACAAGATAAGGATGCCCTCTCTCACCACTCCTATTCCACACAGTATTGGAAGTTCTGGCTAGGCAGTCAGGCAAGAGAAAGAAATAAAGGCATTCAAATAGGAAGAGAGGAAGTCAAATTGTCTCTTTTTGCAGATGACATGATTGTATATTTAGAAAACCCCATTGTCTCAGCCCAAAATCTCCTTAAGCAGATAAGCAACTTCAGCAAAATCCCAGGATACAAAATCAATGTGCAAAAACCACAAGCATTCCTATACACCAATAATAGACAAACAGAGAGCCAAATCATGAGTGAACTCCCATTCACAATTGCTACAAAGAGAATAAAATACCTAGGAATACAGCTTACAAGGGATGTGAAGGACCTCTTCAAGGAGAACTACAAACCACTGTTCATAGAAATAAGAGAGGACACAAACAGATGGAAAAATAGTCCATGCTCATGGATAGGAAGAATCAATATCATGAAAATGGCCATACTGCCCAAAGTAATTTATAGATTCAATGTTATCCCTATCAAGCTACCATTGACTTTCTTCACAGAATTAGAAAAAACTACTTTAAATTTCATATGGAACCAAAAAAGAGCCTGTATAGCCAAGACAATCATAAGGAAAAAGAACAAAGCTGGAGGCGTCATGCTACCTGACTTCAAACTATACTACAAGGCTACAGTAACCACAACAGCATGGTACTGGTACCAAAACGTAGATATAGACCAATGGAACAGAACGGTGGCCTCAGAAATAACACCACACAACTACAACCATCTGATCTTTGACAAACCTGACAAAAACAAGCAATGAGAGAAAAGATTCCCTACTTAATAAATGGTGTTGGGAAGACCTGCTAGCCATATGCAGAAAACTGAAACTGGACCCCTTCCTTATACTTTATACAAAAATTAACTCAGGATGGATTAAAGACTTAAACATAAGACCTAGAACCATAAAAAGTCTAGAAGAAAACCTAAGCAATACCATTCAGGACATAGACATGGGCAAAGACTTCATGACTAAAACACCAAAAGCAATGGCAACAAAAGCCAAAATTGACAAATGGGATCTAATTAACTAAAGAGCTTCCGCACAGCAAAAGAAACTATCATTAGAGTGAACAGGCAACCTACAGAATGGGAGAAAATTTTTGCAATCTATCCATCTGACAAAGAGCTACTATCCAGAATCTACAAAGAACTTAAACAAATTTACAAGAAAGAAACAACCCCGTCAAAAAGTGGGCGAAGGATCTGAACAGACACTTCTCAAAAGAAGACATTTATGCGGCCAAGAAACATGAAAAAAACTCATCATCACTGGTCATTAGAGAAATGCAAATCAAAACTGCAATGAGATACGATTTCATGCCATTTAGAATGGCAATCATTAAAAAGTCAGGAAACAACAGATGCTGGAGAGGATGTGGAGAAATAGGAATGCTTTTACACTGTTGGTGGGAGTGTAACTTAGTTCAACCATTGTGGAAGACAGTGTGGTGATTCCTCAAGGATCTAGAACCAGAAATAGCATTTGACCCAGCAATCTTATTACCGGATATATACCTAAAGGATTATAAATCCTTCTACTATAAAGACACATGCACACATATGTTTATTGCAGCACTGTTCACAATAGCAAAGACTTGGAACCAACCCAAATGCCCATCAATGCTAGACTGGATAAAGAAAATGTGGCATATATATACCACAGAATACTATGCAGCCATAAAAAGGGATGAGTTCATGTCCTCTACGGAGACATGGATGAAGCTGGAAACCATCATTCTCAGCAAACTAACACAAGAACAGAAAACCAAACACCGCATGTTCTCACTCCTAAGTGGGAGATGAACAATGAGAACACATGGACACAGGGAGGGGAACATCACACACCAGGGCCTGTTGGGGGGTGGAGGGCTAGGGGAGGGATAGCATTAGCAGAAATACCTTATGTAGATGATGGGTTGATGGGTGCAGCAAACTACCATGGCATGTGTATACTTATGTAACAAACCTGCAGGTTCTGCAAATGTATCCCAGAATTTAAAGTGTAATAATAATAAAAAAAGAAATACAGCTGATTTTTGTGTGTTGATCTTGCAATTTTGCTGAATTAATTTTATTAGCTTTGGATTTTCTGTACATAGAATAATGTCTGCAAATAGAGAGGCCATTTCTTTCTTTTTCTTGTCTAATTGCCCTGGGTAGAACTTCCAGTGCAATGTTGAATAGCTATAGATAAAAGCAGGCATCTTCATCTTGTTCATGATCTTAGGAAGAAAAGCTTTGTCTTTTTCCACTGAGTACAATGTTAGCTGCAGGTTTTTCATAAATATTCTTTATCATGTTGAGGCAATTCCCTTCTATTTCTAGTTTTGTGAGTATTTCCAGCATGAATGGGTGTTGAATTTTGTCAAAGGCTTTCTTGCATCATTTGAGATGGTCCTGTGGTAAGTAAAATCTTAAAGAGTAGGACTGATAACAGATACAGAGAAATGCGATTCTGGAGAAGTAAGTAACTAACTTACAGTGGTAGGTGCATGACTAGTATCTGCAGAGATTAGTGCACAATCTAAATCACTGTGTAGAGTATTGGGGGCAGAGGACTGAATGCAGTACAGGCAAGGGCAGATTCTGAGTAGATCAGGGAGGACTTGATTGACAGATTGCCTTCATCTTGTCTCCATTCTGGAGATCCTTATGGTTTCTGAGCCCAGTCAAACTAGGAATTGTACGCCTTGCTCATTGTTCTCTCCTTCTGTGTCTTCACTTCTCTTCCTTCTATTGACTTTCATGTCCCTCTAACAATCTTTCCTTTTTAATTTTGGTAGAAAAGTGTCATGTAAAACAAAGAAAAAATGGAGTTTTTTGGTACTGTGTGATAAATCTTATGATTTTTTAGAATTTAGGAGTACACATAAAATTGAGAGGTGAGCCAACTTTTTTGTTGGTTTATTTCTAGTTATGTATGGAGATAGACCTGCTAACCAGCCAACAGCTAGTGTCAGGGCTGTAAATTAGACTGGAGGAAAGAATGAACTGCACATTTCTAGCTCCTGGGCCAAGGTTCCTGAGATTTTTGCCAGCCCTCTTCTAGACAGCAGCTTGGTACCTCAGCTGTCCTTCTCATCAGGGAGACAGATGGAACCTCTGAGGTTTCCTGTTGAGGCGTCTCAGAATTCAAAGTTGTTATGATGTGTGGGCTTTGAAAATGCCACACGTCAGGGAAGCTGAGTTTTTGTTTCTCAGGCTTTCTTATATTGAGCATGTGTTCCTTTCTGTCTTTGTGGCATTAAGTTTCATTATGTGTGTCCCCAAGCCTTTTCCTGGAATCTCAACAGAGGATGGGTTTTAGCTCTGTTGGAAGTTACATTCCATTAAGTGTGCTCAAAGATCTGCTTTACTACACACTCTCTCCTGCCCAATTCTTAGGCCAGCCCCTTTTCCTCTCCCTACTCTTGTCTAATTAGTCCTCTCCTTCAAAAGGCAGCCCTTTCATGGGATTCTGCTCCCCGAAGTAGTGGGCCCTGACTTAAGGGCCAGCCCATCTTTGTCCATGGCCATACTTATCAGGGATGTGACTATTTAGCTCTTTAACCAGGAGTCTGTCCTTTCTAGAGACCTTCCAGCATACTATTAACCTAAGTGCATAGGCAGAGGAGACCAGGAGCACTTGGTACAAATGTTAATGGCTTTTTCATTAGCGTACTTCATCACAGAATTCCAGCTGTTGGTGGCAGGAGGTGACAGTGAGGCGTCTCTTGGATAAGAAGGACGTGGAGATCTACGGAGATGAAAACTGAAAAGATGCATATGATTAGTCATCAGAAAGATGTTTGACTTCTAAGTTTTTTCCAACAGCAGGTATGGCTGCATGGAAAATGCATACATCCATTGTTGCAAGGCCTTTATTTCCTTATCACCATCATCAAGCAGTATTAATGAAGAAGCCAATTGTGCATGACATAGTGCAGGTCTCTGTATGTAGTTATGGAAAACGCTTCCACAGTTAAATTGAGTATGGATATGTAAAGTGATTAACCAAGACTTGACAGCTCACACAATTCTTTAATTGCAGCAAGCATCTCAAGTAAATACATAACTTTTAAGAAAATCCAGAACTATAAAGTCTTAATTTTTGAAACAAATCATGATCTTTCACGTTACAAACAGATCTTTCTTTCTAAAAAGATGATTCACAATCTTTTATGCTGGAACATCAAACATAGATTTTACTTTACTTCTTTTTAAAATAATTGGTTTGTTAACAGTTAGGAAAGCCATACGTGTTATTTGTTAAAAAAATAAAAATAAAATGGAACAATAAAGAAAATGTATCCAAACTATAAAAAGCAAAAGTCACCAACTTGTCCCAGCTGCACCCCCTCCACCCCACCCATGTTTCTGTTCCCACAGGACAACCATTGCTAGCATTTCTCTCTGTAGTTCATCTCTTTTGAAAGTACATATGTAAGTGTGTGTTAAATGATTATTTCAGAATTTATATTGATAAATGCCTATGTTTTCTATTATTTCAATTTGCCCACATGGAGGGTGATTGTTTTTTAGTGTGTTCCCTTAGCTTCTGGAATACAAAAGCTGATGCCTGTATACCTTGACTTTGCTGACGGCAGTGGTAGTGAGTTTAGTGCTTTCTACTTTTAGCTTTATGTTTTGCACTATTTTTGAATTATATCAATTAGCTATGATGTATACACATTCAGGATTCTTTAATTTTGGGTAAAAATAATTCTTCACTCTGTGCCTACTTAGCTAAGAATATCTTTAACAGAGGCAGAGCTGTGAAACCACCGAGCACCAACACTGCCTCTCTGGCTTTTGCAGGGACGCTTGGGTTTCAGGCTGTAACTCTTAGTTGCATTAGCCTCTGATAACTTTTTTGTTAATTGATAAGTATGTGTATGACTCATCAAGATGCTGGTTGCTCAGTAAGATAAAATTATATTCTCTAACACTACTTCTCCTTTAGAAGCTTACTTACCTGCCTTGGTGTCTTCTGTCTCGGTCTTACTTTGTTTTTTAGTTTGTAGTTTGTTCTTCAGCTTACTAAACCTCTTTCATTGACTGTGGTATTGGCTACCGATTTAAAAATCCTTGAAGACTTAAAACTCAGCAGACACGTACAGGGTGGACCCCTGCTTTTTCTCAAGTCTCCCTTCATCTCCAGGAACTGAATTTTTCATGCAGTAATTAAAATTTGTAGGTCAAGCCTCCCATGGCACCGTTTGCTGCTAATATGGGAAAGCAGTGATCAGATTCGCTTATGCTGCTCTTCACTGAGCTGAGACTTAAAGGATGAAGGGTGACATTTTCCCCCATTTTGTAAATTAATGCCATTGATCTGCCTAACAAGAACAAAGTTAGGCTTCAAAATACCAAATGATAAAGAGATTAAGACTTTAAATGGCTTTCCAAAAGGCAACCTCTATTGTAAGGCTCCGAGCTGACTATTGAACTTTCAATTAGAATTTCTAATAGGCTATTGACTTAAATGGACAAAATGTTACAAGTGATAGCTTTCAAGATGACAAAGATTGCTTCTTACGTTCTGGAATATTACTTTATGTAGCGTGCACTGTTCTGGAGGGTGAATAATAATAAACTGCCCTCCCCCTGTAGAGTGTCTTCTGCATCTGTGCTATAGTTTTCTCAAAGGTGAATAAATGCATTTTTTAAAGGCATTTTTGAAATACTTGCTTTTTCATGTGTTTGCTGAACACAGGTTTTATGAAACCTTTCATGGCAGGGAAGTCCCATTAGTCTTTAGCACTGTGGCACTATTCTTCTTTTATGAAAAATAGCCCATGTGGTATGTATTTCTCTGCACACATGTGTGTTCATGCATGTTAACATGTGTGTTCACAGTTGGGACACCAGCAGATCTGTTGTCTATCATTGCCATGAGGATCAGTCCCTGAGGCCTTGCTCTCTGCCTCAGTTTACTGTTGTTGGAAGCTATGATTCTTTTCCACAATGGGCTTGCAGTGTAGTGTGACTCAATTTAGGCCTTGTTGTGAAACACTAGCTCTAATACATTTTTAAATACTAATTTTACAAAGACCAGCTACCTCTTCTAGGATAAAGGGTTAATATTATGCTTATGTTACAGTGCATTAAAAACTCTAATTAAAACAGCATTACATTCCCATCTGCCAATCTCCAGTAATCTTCTTTAATTGCAGTAATTAAACTATATTTACATGTTCAGAATACTTGTAATTTAGCAAATTGCACTCTCTGCTCTACATTTAATCAAACAACCAGTTCCAGTATATTTAGTGTGGAAAGAAGTAATTTCAATGTTTTGATTACTATAGCAGATTTGACAGAGTAAGTGCCCCTCTAGTAGAGGGCTTGAAAGGGAAGGCAAACATGAAATATAGTCATGGTTTTGATTGTCATGTGAATGCCTAATTACATGTTGGAGGATTAACTATTAAAGGGTATCATGGTTGCAGTTGATGTTTAGAAACAGCCGGTATTACAGATAGCATAGACTGTCTTTTAGGAAAATTTCACAAGAAGTTTTCTCTTTAAAGGTTGTGAGATCATAGGAAAATTTAGTGAAAAGATCGCCTACATTGTATAATTGTTATTATGTCTTCTACCTGTGATCCCAAAGCCTGCTATACAAGATGGTTATTTTAGTCTTCCCAGTTAAAGCCCAGAAGAAATTCAATGATAAACAACCAAGAGAAATTGCAATGATTATATCAATTCAGGGATGAGTATTCCCTCATTTCGGTATCTTTTGGCAAGTCTGGTTGACTCTGGAGAGGACATGTGGTTTCCTGGAAAGGACTCATCAGTAGAAGTCAGGCTTTTTTTATTTTACCTTTTGCTGCTGTTGTTGTTTTAAACCATGACTCTCTACTAGGCTGTTCCACCTAACCCATCTCCAGCCTCATCTCTTATTTATTTATTTATTTATTTATTTATTTATTTATTTATTTATTTTGAGACAGAGTCTCACTCTGTTGCCCAGGCTGGAGTGCAGTGGCGTGATCTCGGCTCACTGCAAGCTCCGCCTCCCGGGTTCACGCCATTCTCCTGCCTCAGCCTCCCAAGTAGCTAGGACTACAGGCGCCCGCCAGCACGCCCAGCTAATTTTTTTTGTATTTTTAGTAGAGACAGGTTTCACCATGTTGGCCAGGATGGTTTCGATCTCCTGACCTCGTGATCCGCCCGCCTCAGCCTCCCAAAGTGCTGGGATTACAGGGGTGAGCCACCGCGCCCGGCCTGGCCTCATCTCTTTTTTTCTTGGTTTTCTCATTTTAAAAACAAGTAACAGTGTTGTGAATATTGATTAGATTCAAAGGAACAATGTCTTAGTCATCTCAAAGCTATTTTTAAAATTCTTATTGTTATTATCTCTTTGCACCAGTATGAAAGTTTCTGTTTCTTTATCTAGATAAATTTGACTGGGATATTGGGTATTGCCATCAAATCTCTGTTATCCAAAACAACGTGCTAATTTATTCAACACAGAAATATAAGTAATACTCTCTTTTTCAGTAGCTTCTTTTTAATTATTTGATGTTAACAGTATTTCTGAGAATTTTTCTCTCTCTCCACTTCGGGGTCATCTATTGTATTAATAAGGATTATGAATTAATGAAAACAAAAAGCTAGTCTAGCGTACCTGTTTAAACCAATGTGAAACCTTGCTTCTTGACCATATGAAAGAGCAAAGCTACTGAATTGTTAAAATGATATGCAGGAGTGAGGATCCAAGATTTTCTTCATGGGTCAGCTAGTAACTTACTGTGATACTGAGAGCAACATGTTTGACTGATTTAAGTCTCAGATTGTTCAAGGTGGGGTAGAGAATAGGGCCTGGATTTTTTTGGTTCATGAAGAGTCTTGACATAAAGTAAGTATTAGACTTTAGACTGTCACAGGAATAACCATTCAGTTCAAATCTACACTCATTTCTGTGTTAGATTAGTGAGAATTTAACTTCTGAAAAAAGTTCAGGCAAAATACCGCTGATGTACTGCACTAAGGAGATTTGAGAGTGCCAGAGATACTTTGAAAGGAAAAGAGATGTAATTTGAAGTGGAGGACAGGGCTAGCCAGGGTTAAAATTGCAGCTCTTTTACTTAGCTATTTAATACCAAGCAAATTACCTTATCCTCTGAGGTCTTGTCTGTAAAAATGGGGATAATAATACATACATAGTACTACACTATTAGTTTTTCTCTCCTATGACTTGCCATCTGTGTCCATGTATGGAGAGAAACACACACACACACACACACACACACACACACCCCGTAATAAGTTAAGAGTCTTTGGAATGGTAAATGATTTGAACATAAATACCAGTACACATTTTTTTTAATAATGCAGCATAAATGTCAAGATATATATGCATAAGGGATGAGGTGTGCCTAGAAGCTGTAATATCTAGAATTTTCGCAAACCTTATTTATAACCATTTGTTTCTGAACCCTAACAATTCTTTTCTGAAACTGTTAACTGAAAGATCTGAATCTCACTATTTATTTCACACTCTTCACATAGAGGTGCTAATGAGCAGCAGAATAACCCCAAAAATGGTCCTTAATCCAAACACCGAGAAGTCAAGTTATAAGTAATTAAGAATACACTGGATGGAACATACCTACATGGCAGCTAGCATCTGTGCTTTCCAGAGGTTGCTGGGGACGGTTAGTTCAGTTCTCATTTTTGATCCTCTTTGGAAACTCAGGAGTTAAGGTCAGCATCCTCAGTACAAAGGTACTTGAACATGTATGAATCTTTGCCTTCTTGAAAACTTTTTATCTTGGGAATAAGGAACCTGATACAAAGAGAATCTCTAGTATTTCATTCCATCGAGAGAAGTTTTGACATTTACAATTCTGCTAATTTCACACATCATTTCGCAGCATGCAGGATTTTGGCGCCTGCCAAGGGGACTGCAAATTCTTTTTGGAAAAAGTACTTTTTTGGGTGTTGGAAGAGTTTTGAGTTACAGACACATTTCTTTAATAGTGTTCTTGAAATGTCCATGTGGTCTTAATATGTAAATCATATGAAACTCAAAACCCACTCCTGAACTTACTCTTCCAAGAAAGCTTTAAAACAGCCCTCATTCTAATAGTAAGGCTGTTTTCCTCTTTTCCAATGTTTATGTATACTGTATAATGTTTACTGTATAATGAGTTTATTGTATAATAAGGGACTCTGATTTATTAGCTCTTCATTATTCTCATTCTGTCAGCTTCCCAATAAATGCTACAACCCTTGGCAGAGACATGAGTCTCAATCAGGTGATATCATTGCTTTTTAATGAACTCTTCTTACCGGAGTAACAGCATTACATGTGAAATACCTTATCCTGCATTATTAACGGACCGCAGCATAAAAGGCACAAAGGCACTGAGAAGGTTGCACTGAAAAATGGGGCAGAATTCATTACCAATTCGATATACTGTCAGCTAACAGTCTTTGATTATCATATTTACCCTTCTGAAACTGTGAAAAATCATGGGCGGAGCCGCTGTGAACAATAGCATGTGTAGGCATTTTGTAAATGTTGCCTTAGTTGTTTAATGCCCAGGCTGACTGCTGGAATTTAACACAGTGACAACTTTCTCAGATGGGGCATGAAAAAAACTGTGATATTTTACTACCTGAGAAGTTAAGCACTGAGATAGTTAGGACCCAGCTCTCATTAGCTGAATGGTAGATTTTTCTAATTAGTTCTTTCTAGTGCAATTAGCACGAAAAGAGTCTAATCACCTCATGTGAAACCAATCTAATGCTCAGAAAAGAATTCCCTTGGCCTCTCTTTCAGATTGGATCTTAGGATTTTCAGTCTGCCTCCTTAAAGAATGGAATCTGTTAGTGACTGATTATTTGAACGGTAAGGACAGATCTGTAGAAAAGGCAAGAAATGGACAACTTATTGACTTGCAGTGCAAGTTTGGCTGGAGAAGGTGTTTAGAAATATTCATTAATTGGCAGTTATCACTTCAACTATAGGTTCTGGTTTTCTTGATTTCTTTCATTTTGAAATGGGAGACTTGGGCCCGGGACAGCTATAGTTCAGCATGGCTGCCTCTCTGGAGGGCATGAAACATACTGCACATTAGAATCAAATGCATTCGGGGCCTGGGACTACTGGGCTTGCTTTCTTAGCCTCTGCAGTGCCCAGATTCCCCCATCAGTTTTTGCTAATCTGTGTGTTCAGGGCTTTGCCTGTCCTCTCTCTCTCCCTGCCTTGCAGTCATCTGTAGGCACCACATTCATTTTTGAACTGTTCTCTAATTTCTAGTGCCCATCCATCACTTCACATTTCTTAAGTAAGCCAACTCTGGGCATCTCAGTTGATATTGTTCATTTTTAACTGGAAAGGAAACTATAATGACAGCATTTCTGGCACATAATTTTTTCTTTTTTTTTTTTTGCGGGGGGGAAGTCGCTTGCCAGAAGATCGATGAGAAAATGCTGAGTATGTGTGTATTTATTATCAACTATGCAGAAAATGGGCATCCTTGCTCATCAGGCTACAGAGGGTGACAATATTGAATTTCCATTGTTCATCCCATCACTGCCCAGTAGAACTTCCCATGATGTTGGAAGTGTTCTGTACCTGCACTGTCCAATACAGGAGGCACTAGCGACATGTGGCTGTTGAGCACTTGAAATGTGGCTAGTGAGACTAAGGAGCTAAATTTTAAAATTTCATTTAATTTTAATGAGTTTAAATTTAAATAGACCCATGTGGCTAATGGCTACCATACTGAACAGGGCAGATGTAGATCTCTTCCACCTCCTAACCACTGTACCCCACCTTACACATAGCTGCATCCTTAACAGAGAATACACTGCCCTCCGCAGCCTCTTGCTATCCATTCTCTTCAGCTTTGCCTTAAAAGCAATCAGACTTTTTCCAGTGCTGTCTGGAGTTTGACACAAGGCATTCCCTTGGCTTGTGCTATCTGTAGATCATTCTGTATTTCACCGTGGCAGTGTTTTGTTCTAAAGTTGGAAAAGACCTTGTAGTTTTTTAAAGAGCCAAAATACAGGATTGTTTCTAAGAAAGGAGGTGGCCAGAATCAGTAAATTTAAGCTCATTTGTGGAAGCTTCCAAATCTCAAACCTAGGGCAGTATTGAACACCTCTCCAAAAAGTCAGATTAAGTATTTGCAAATGGCTTCAACAAACTCCCTCTCTATGAAATTTTAATTATAGTTGATTAAATATTCACTTTAATCATCTTAATTAATGATATTTGACAAATATTTTAGCTTTGCTTATGATATTCACTTGCTCTGTCAGAACTCTCCAGTTCACACTGAAAGGGTAAAGTTAACAACCTGGACAGACAGGCCCATCATGTGTGTTATGACCTATCTGGTTTCCTACTCGCATGGTTAGAAGGCTCATTTTATTGCTTTGAACTCTGGAATTAATCCTGCTTAAAGGAGAATAGTAAGAATACTGTGGTTTTCTGCTCAACAGAATGCATGTTCATTTATTCCACAGACACTAATTGAAGGCCCATTGTGTGCTAGTAATTGTGGTAGTCACTGAGAACGCATGGATGGAAAGACACTATCTATCCCACTGGATTGTAACCTCAAGCCACTGGAACATAAACAGTTAAAAGTACTATATGATAAATCTTCTGGAAGACGGGTGATGGAATGTAAGGGAAGAAACACTAAGTGGTGGTTTCAAAACAGAAAGACTTTTAAGATGTAACATGTAAGGGAAATTTTATGGATATAAGGGAATACAAGGGAGAGTCTTAAGGGGATTACAGGATTTTGCCCGGGATAAAGAGAAGGTGGGGCATTTGTGAAGGGGATTATGTTTTCCTAATTAACTGTATTCTTGAATGTCTTTGAAGAAAGGAGTCTCTCCTTTCTTCATTTTGTAAAGCAACAGTGTGTGTTAGAGGAATTGCTGTTAGGAAAGGAATGAGGATATTTGGTGTGTAACTGTGAGTGCTGGGAAATGAAACAAAAGGCAGCCCTACCTCAGGTCCTGGAAAGGCACATAGTGGTGTGAGTGTTGCAGCCCATTGAAGCTACATCCTCAATTCTGGAAACTAACAAGAACAGCATTAGGGTGAGGCCAGAGATCCACCTAAGGTGCAAAATGTAAGGGGGCACTCACTTTGAGGGTCGTGCAGGTTCAGGATCAGTACTGACACAACCCTGAGAATGAGTGTCTCCTAAAATTGTGTGCCCTAGACACCTTACTTACGCCCTGAAACATCCCAGCCCTGGGTTTTTGTGCAGTGAATGGGCTTGAAAAGCAAGTAGATAAGAATCTGAACCATGGAAATATGGCAGACATGGCAGAATAGAAATCAATGAGACCTATTTGCAAGGTAAAGTCAAGAGAACCTAGGGCAGAAAAAAATACGAGGCATGAGAGAGGGGACCCTAATTGTCCTGTCACTGAATTCTGGGGATCTTTTCTATTGCCTGATACTGACTTTTCTCCAATTTCTCATATTCCTCAGCTCCTGCCCTGTCCTGAAGGTCATGCCCAGTTCAAATTCAGCCCTTACCTCTTTGCTAAGTCCCATGCCCTCAACCTTGTTTTCAGAGAAGGCCATGAGAACTGGAGTTTTTAAAATGTCCAACTCTAGATAGATCTGCTTTACTGAGTGGTCTTAACACATTCAGAGAACTGCATTCTTCTTGGCTCTCTAAATTCAGTGACCTTATTTTAAAAGATGATCAACATGGGTTAGAACCTTTTGAGGATTAGGAGACATTTTAGCAAGTTTATCAAGAATAAGCAAAGATGACATTTGGCTAGCAGTATGTCTCCCCCACCCCATCCTGCAAAACCATTTTTTTTGGAGTGAAGCTTTTCCATTTGACAAGTTTAGAATTACCAATACTGCTTGCAACTCCTTCCTTACTCCAAACTCTGGGATGTTTTCAGGAGGGACTCTTTTCTTCAAAGGCATCCAAGAATATAGTTAATTAGGAAAACATGCAAGAAAAGACATCTTGGCTCCTCTGGCCGCCTGTTGTACTCTTCCAGCATATGCTATTACTTGTCTCAGATAAGTAGACAGGTGGCTGTTTGCAAAGCAGGGTCCAATGTGCCTTTGACTCAGAGAAGTTTGGAAACAAAGCCCTCTGTATAATAAGCTTCTCACTGTATGCTGACGTCTTCTGATCTTGCCTATTCCCCATTACCTACAGTCTGAAAGAATTTTGTAGGGAGTGTGTGGTATTCTGCAGAAGGCTATTGTAGCATAACTTAGACTTAGCCGGCATTTATTGGGCTTAGAATCACAAAATCTCAAGATTGGGTGACTACTGGATGGTTATCTAATCCAACTTCCCTCCAGAAAGTCTCCCATACAGTTTTTCCCGCAAAGTGGCCCTCGAGCCATAACTTCCTATGACAGAGTGCTTACTGCCTCTTTGTTCAACGCTGGTGAAACCTCAGTGATACTTATAAGTTAACTTTCATTCCTTCAGCATTCTTCTCTTTAGTGTTAATTTCTTTGATGGTGGTACCACTTTCCAACTTTTATATGTGGCCTCTTAAAATCAGCTTACCCAGAGAAACTTCCTGCCTAGCTCCTGATTTATGTAGCTTCTCACCACCATGCCCTTTCTCCCTTCTTATAGGGGCAGTTTCACAATTTTGAAGCTCCTTGATTCCCTTGAGCCATTGTCCTTTCCAAAACTTGTCACTATGAAAAGTAGACTATGTTTTAGCCTTTGAACTATAAAATCTGCCTTTCAGTAAGCTTAGCTCCATATTTTGAGGTCTCTAGATCCCCCCTTAGTATGCATCATGAGACTTGTATTACTCGCCAAGACTCTCATGACTTTCTTCAAGCATTCAGTTTTGTCTAAGAAGCCATCGTTTGATCCAGAATGGAGTAGACCTAATTATATCTCCTGTTTTTTTGGACTTGAAATTTACTTCAAGCCTGATGATAACCTGTTGGTCAGATGCTCTGCCATTAACTAAATGACACCATCAGCAAATATCCAGATAGTTGAGGTCCCAGTGTCCTGAATCTGTGGTTTTATAATCTATGTCAGAAGTCTATCATTTTTTTTTTCACCTGGCTGTCATCTGGTATATTCTCAAAAGGATATCACTTTTCTTCTTATCCAGGTACGTGCCAGTGTGCTTCATCTCTCATGCTCATGGATCTCCATGCAAATTGATCTGCTTTTCCAAAAACTATTTATTAAGCATTATTATGTGTCTGGTACTATGTCAGGTGGTAGAGCTACAGTGGTGAGCAATGGAAATCTACGTGTTTTTTGACATATGACACTGCTTTTCCACAATACCTTTCCCACCTTAAATCCTATCCCATGAGCCTGGGTGATACTCAGGAGATTATTTTTATCATGTCTCTAAAAATCTCTGCTTATTTTATAACTGATGATACATAGACATCTAAAGAGATGAGGGCCTCACACAGGGATTGGCCATGAGAGAAGCTTTCAGTGCTGCGATCTGAGGCCAGTCTGATCTGACACCCTCTTAAAGGCTTTCAAGTATAGGCCACTGGGTTCCACATCCCATACCTCTTACCTCCATTGTGGCTAGTTTCTCATTTGCGGAGGAGGTTAGAGATGTTACTCTCTTCCCCTCCACCTTCAGTGTAAATTTCTCTTAATCAGGTCAGCTCACCTCCCCAGGCAAGCAAACACATGTCTCTCTGTCTTCCTGAGCTACCCCCGGGAAAGTCTGCATTATTTTAGTACCATAGACACAGTCTAGAAATCTGATTCCTATGGGTTGACAACATCCTCATGACAAACCCTTCACCTACCACATCATCTTATTTTTATAATCACCGAACTTTGTTAGGATGAAGAACTAGAGCACTCACCAGGCACCCAACTCTGCGCCAGGCTCCATGGTCCCCAAATGAAGCTTCCTAGGTCTCTTGTGTCCAAGCCATTCCCCTCACGTGAAACAACATGAATAGGTAGAGATAAGTGGCTTTGTGACTTGGAACAGACAGTAGCCCAAGAAGACCACATGCCTCCCTTCTGGCCACGTGAACTACATGAAGCAGTCTCCTTTCTGTTCAGCCAAGAGTCCGTGCCATCTCAGTGCTTGTTTTCCTTCCTGTCCCTTTATCTGGCTCTGTGCATGACTGTTTGAGCAGCCTGTGTCTTCTCCTTCCAGCCACACAGAGTACTGGTAACTTCTCACAGGATATTGCGGTGTGCCTCCGTTTACACTGTCTCTTCTTCCTGGATGCTTTCCTCTATCCCCTGCAATCACTTCTTACTTACCTGAAACTTACTTCTTGTATTACTGCTTAATGACAGCTTAACTTCCATGATACCTCCCCACCTCCTTCTGCTCAATTCTAGGTTTGAGTATGTGCCTTCACTAAGTCCTCCCATAATACCTAAGCAGGTCTCTATCACAGTCCATACATTGTTTCCTGTGTGTGTCTGTTTCTTCCATTAGACTATAATTTCCTTGAGGACTGCTCTTGTGCCTCACTCATCTTTGTGAGTACAGTGCCAAGCATACAGTAGATGCTATTTAATGAAGGTGGGCATGTATGGGTGAATATTCCCAGTGTTTCAGGATGTTTTTTCTTTCTCCTCTGGCTTTTCTATTCTCTGCTCACCTGGAATGAGAGCGGATAAAATAATACAGACAGGAAACCAGGAAGCAGAAGAGAACCCCAGCCACCTACCTACACTTCCCCCTCTTAGATGCCCTGCAACAGAGATCTGTCCTGGGGACTCCACCTCATCTTTGCCAGCGGTGTGCAGCTGGCTTCCTAAAATCCACCCAGAGTAGGGGTTAGCTTGTCAGAAAAATACAAATTGGATGTCTTCTGCAGGGCTTTGCACAGTCCCCTCAGCACCCACACTTCTGTGTCAGGGAGGGGATGCAGGGACACATCTCCTTCTACCCTCTGGGAGACTTGTAGTCTACGGCTCCAGGAGATGACTCCCTGGCCTAGAGGACTGTATCCTTAAACCACTCTCTGCTCTGCTGGCTTATGTCATCCTCCTGCTCCTTTGGGTAGAAGTTCTAGAGTCTTATCCACAAATTGTCACCAGTTATAGGCTTGAGTAGGCACTAAATATGAAACATGAATAATGACATGAGCCAGCAGAGCAGAGAGTGGTTTAAGAGTGGTTTAAGGGTCAGAGGGAAGGGAAATGAAAGCCTTGGAGGATTTCAGATTCACTCACTCTTCTTTACCTTATAGCCTGTGCTGCAAAGTCAGAGTAAAGAAACTTCTGTTCTGCCTCATTGCATCCCCACCACAACAGGCTGTAAGCAGGAGCTACTCCATGTTTTAATATAAGGAAACTGAGGCCCCAAAAATTAAAAATAACTTTATAGTACCAGCTAGCCATTGGCAAAACACGATTATACATTCAGATTTGTCCAATTGTTTCCCCATGTAAATGAGACCACAGATTAAAATTATTATTGTCAATTAAGAAAAAATAAAAGAAACCCCTGAAAAGAGGATCTGATATGTGTCTAACTACCTTTAAATCTCCTTGAGATAAATTATAAGGTGTTGTTTCTATTGAGCCACCCCCATCACCAGTTTCTCACAATTCAGTGCTCAGCAGGCAGTGGCTACTCAAGAATTCCAGCTGGCTGGGCACGGTGGCTCACGCCTGTAATCCCAGCACTTTGGGAGGCCGAGGCGGGTGGATCACAAGGTCAGGAGATCGAGACCATCCTGGCTAACACGGTGAAACCCCGTCTCTACTAAAAAATACAAAAAAAAAAATTAGCCAGGCGAGGTGGCGGGCGCCTGTAGTCCCAGCTGCTAGGGAGGCTGAGGCAGGAGAATGGCGTGAACCCCGGGAGGCGTTGCTTGCAGTGAGCCGAGATCATGCCACTGCACTCCAGCCTGGGCGACAGAGCGAGACTCCGTCTCAAAAAAACAAAAAACAAAAAAAGAATTCCAGCTAAGTGGCAGTGAACTAATGAGATTTCATCACAGAGCATGGTGAACGCTTTTCTAAGGTCTAAATATGTGCTCTATAGTTGTCATGGAGGGCCAAAGAAATGAAGAAAATAAAGAACAATATTAGTCTTAAGAACTTTTTTAAATAACAAAAATGACTGAGTTACTAAGGTCAGGAACTATTCTAATGCTTTTATACTCATCTCATCTAATTGCTCCAAACCCCATATGAAGTAGACACTACTACTACTATCATGACCCATTTTACAAATGAACAAACTGAGTCTTGAAGAAGCTAAGTAACTTGCCAAAGCACATCCCAGACTTACAGGCAGTCTGGCTCAGAGACCTCTGCTCACAGACACTCCTCTTCCTGGGTCTAATTCAAGAGGGGTGACGTGCGACTTAGAGCAGCCTGTGGGCTTAGTGATTCTGCTGCTTGGTGCACAGCAAGACAGACCATAATCAGCACTAGAATAATAGAATTTTTATAAGTGATTAAAGTAAAACCAGGATTTAGAGATTGAGAGTTGATTGTTAAAGGATAAATGATATTTGGAACATCTTACTGGATTTGATTAAAGTGAAATTCAAAAACCATCACAAAGAGAATGATTATTTACCAGTGGTACTTGAAGGACTTTTTTTGTGGCTTAAGTCATTGGCACTCCAATGCTTAAAATCTCTGTGCTCAAAACCAGAATGTAATTGATCCTTAGAAAATCAGAGGTTAGCGCCTTCTTTGGCAAGCTACTTCTGAGCTTTGTTACACTGTAACATAATCATCCTTTGAAGACTGAGATCTGGTTTTCCAGGCTTTTTTTTTTTTCTTCACATGGTGCCTGGTATCTTCTCTTGAACATAATAGATACTTTGAGATGGGTGGACAAACCGAAGTCATTTTATATTGCTTTAGGGGCTCTGAATTTAAGAAAGAGTTGATTTCTGAAAGAAACATAATAGCAAAGATTACTTAAACACAAAAATCTCATTTCTGTTCTTAATCAGCTGGACGTCAATACCCAGGTTCCAGTCCAAGTGTCACACTGTGCCTCTATAAGTTAATCTTTTCTGGAAGGGAAACCAAATATGAAATAGTATCAAGAACTGGGACAGTGTTGGAACACCCTGCATGTCCTCTGTTGGCCACTACAAAAGGTTAAACAACAGGAGAGGCTGGATTAGGGTTTGTGTTTGGAAGTGCATTTGAGGCAAGCTTGACAGTTAAGCTCATGGCCAGTACTACATGCCACAGCAAGAGGACAATAGGAGATTTAAAAGTGTGAGCAGGCTGTGGCCAAATGCTGGAATTCATGGGCTAAGTAGATGAAGAGTGGATGGAGTTAACTAGTAAACAAGTTTCATGGTCCTTGAAGAGACCTATTTTTTTTTATGGTATGAATTTAAGATGTACAACATAATGTTTTGATATACATACAATTAGTGAAATAGCGATAATTTGATATTTCATATATATACCAAAATGATTACTCTGGGTGTATTATTTCCTTCTCATGCTGCTAATAAACAAATACCTGAGACTGGGTAATTTATAAAGAAAAAGAGGTTTAATGGACTCAGTTGCACATGGCTGGGGAGGCCTCACAATCATGGCACAAGGTGCGAAGGAGGTGCAAAAGTACGTCTTACATGGTGGCAGGCAAGGGACCATGTGCAGAGTTTATAAAACCATCAGCTCTCCTGAGACTTATTCACTATCACGAGAGCAGCACAGGAAAAACCCACCCTCATGATTCAGTTACCTCCCACCTGGTCCCTCCCATGACACATGGGAGCTACAATTCAAGATGAGATTTGGGTGGGGACACAGCCAAACCATATCAACAGGGAAGCAATTTAACATATCTGTCACCTTCCATATTTACCCTTTTTATGTGGCAAGACCACCTAAAATTTACTCTCCTGGCAAATTTTCAGTCTACAATATTATTAACTAGAGTCCTCCTGCCCTACATTAGATCTCTAGACTTAACTGCAAGTTTCTGCTCTTTGACCTATATCTGCCCATTTCCTCCTCCTCCCTACCCCTGGTAACCGCCATTGTGTTTTTTGTTTCTATGTCTTTGACTGTTGTTTTTTAGATGCCATATATGAGTGAGATCATGCAGTACTTTTTTTTTCTGTGTCTGGCTTATTTCACTTATCATCGTGTTCTCCATGTTGTTGCAAATGACAGGATTTTGTCTTCTTCTTTTTTTTTTTTTTTTTAGATGGAGTCTCGCTCTGTCACCCAGGCTGGAGTGCAATGGCACAATCTCGGCTCACTGCAACCTCCGCCTTCCAGGCTCAAGCGATTCTCCTTCCTCAGCCTCCCGAATAGCTGGGATTACAGGCGTGCGCCAATACGCCTGGCTAATTTTTGTATTTTTTTTAGTAGAGATGGGGTTTCACCATGTAGGCCAGGCTGGTCTCGAACTCCTGACCTCTGGCGATCCACCCGCCTCAGCCTCCCAAAGTGTCTGGATTATAGGCGTGAGGCACCGCGCCCAGCCGATTTCCTTCTTTTTTAAGGAGATGTATATGTGTACACACACACTACAGCACATTATCACATTTTCTTTATCTATTCATCCATTGATGGACACTTGGTTGATTTCCTATCTTGGTTATTGTGAATAGTGCTGCAGTGAACATGGGGGTGCAGGTATCTCTTCAAGATGTTAATTTCATTTTCTTTGGAGGGATTGCTGTGTTGTATGGTATTCTATTTTTAAATTTTGGTGGGGTCTTCATACTGGTTTTCACAATAGCTATACCAACTTACATTCCTCCTAACAGTATACAAGTACCTTTTTCTCCACAACCTTACCACATAAGTGTTGACTTTTTCTTTTTCTTTTTTCTTTTTTTTCTTTTTTGATACGAAGTCTTGCTCTGTTGCCCAGGCTGGCGTGCAGTGGTGTGATCTCGGCTTACTGCAAACTCCGCCTCCCAGGTTCAGGTGATTCTTGTGCCTCAGCCTCCCACGTAGCTGGGATTACAGGTGCCTGCTAGCACACCCAACTAATTTTTGTATTTTTAGTAGAGACAGTGGTTTCACCATGTTAGCCAGGCTGGTCTCGAACTCCTGACCTCAGGTGATCCACCTGTTTCGGCCTCCCAAAATGCTGGGATTACAGGCATGAGCTACCAGGCCCAGCCTTGACCATTATTTTTAATAGCTAACAATTATTGAGGGCTTACCATTTCTATGAGTCTAAGCACTTTACAAATATTTAATCTTCATAACAATCTCTGACATAGATACTACTGTTAATCCCATCACACATACTAAAAAACTGAGGCACAAGGAGTTTAAGGAACTCGCTCAAAATGTCACAATTAGTAAGTCATGAAGCCAGCCAGAACGCATGCTCTTAACCCCTGCACTGTTCTGCCAACTCTTTGGAGTGGTTTGTTTCAGTTGTCAGTTTTTGTTTGCTGTCTCTGAAAATCCTTGCTCTTACAGTGTCAGCCAGAGTCCTGCATTGATCACATGGCCTAACTTGCCTCTCTCAGTACAGTGACTTTTTAATCTTCGGCTGCAATCCTTTTTTTCCTAGACTGTAAACTCCCTGAGGGTAGAAAGTCTGTCTCATTCATTTGTGCCCATTTTAATGAATGTTGAAAGGGAGCGTCAGGAGGGGTTATCTAGATGCCTGTGGATCTAGATTATTCATCATCCACTGGGATCTTTATTGGTGTTCCTTGTCCCCAAGGAGGGAGTCAGCAGCAACAGAAGGCAGCAGAGATCTCATCAGTGTTCATCAAACACATGTTGAGTGCCTACTACGAGGTAAACAGAACAGACGTTATCTTCTGTGCCCTCTCAGAACTTAAGGTACAGCAAAGAAACAAATGAGATAAGCACAGGTGTGATAAATGCTTGTTTAAAAAACATTTTAAATGAAATGCTTCGTTTAAAAAAAGCGAAGAGGCTGAGGTAGAGAATAATGGAGGTTGGGTGGGGTAGGACCTACTTTAGGTAGGTAGGCATGGGAAATTCCTCATCGAAGAAGTGACATTCTAAGCGAAGATTTAACCAACAAGAATGACATAGCTAAGAATGAGAAGACTGCTGGGGAAGCTCCTTGTTGGCAAAGAAAACAGCATCTGCAGAGGCTCTGAGGTTGGAAAGGCTTTGTTTCATCTGTTTAATAGTGGAATTCAGTGACACTCATTAGTTACCTCTTCACACATTCCCGCCAAACACTTGTCCCTGAGTCTGTTCTTTTTCATTAGTGGTTCCTAATCCAGTTTTCAAAACTGCTCAATATTTGGAGAGGTTTTGACCAGTTGCTCTGGAAACAGAGGCGGTTCCACCATAGCCAACAGAGTTCAGAACATAAATTGTCCATTTATATCCCCATTTGTATCTTAAGCTTAGCTTGCATAGGACTCAGCAAAGCAATATGTCAAATTCCTTATATTTGTTATATCTCTTTTTTCACTGACTCAAAGCATGAAAAATTTGAAATTAATAAAACAATTTTTTAGATGATCAGAGATTCTTTTTTCTAAAATTTTCTAAATACTATGGTTGTGTCCCTTAACCACAGGCATGGTGGTTTCACTGCATTTTACTCAAGAGAAGATTGCTTACAAATATCACACAGGAGACCTTTCTAGTCTCCTGCAGGAGGGTGGCTGACCCAGGGAACCTCCAGGCAAGCAGGACATATGCCAAGTATCCTACATGTGGACAGTGTCTAACTTGATCCGATCTTTCTCCTTCCCCATGTTTTAGTTAAGTCCCCTGAAAGCCCCCATTACCCACTGTTCATAAAGGGTCTGTAAATTATTTAAGAGAAGGAAACACAGCCTTTATCCCATCGGATTTTTCCTCTCAATCACTTGAGTCTTTTCTCTGAGCACACACACATGGCCCAGACTCACTGTCAGGGGAGATGTAATGCCAGCATCTGGTGTTAATATCTATTGTTGACATTTTGGGAATGAGAACATGAGCTGTTAGGGAAGATGTTTGCTTGTACCTAATTAATGTCCCATTGTATCCTCTCTTGTTGTCAGCTCTGCCTCACCATCCTGCCTTGGCATTTTCTTTTACTGGCTAACTTTAAAAGTTAATTATTTCTCTGTTGAATGTTAAATGCCACCGGTTTTTAATGCCGTTCCTTGGTGTGAGTTATTAGTTATCAAAAATCAAAATGATCTGTGCAATTATCAGCTCTTTACCTAAAGCCACTGTTCTTGCTAATCGCGTAAAGTGTGATAGCATTTGCTGATGTCTGGCAACATGGATCTTTCTAGCAGATTTAAGTTTCTCACTCAGTACATTCCTGTCCCTGTCTGGCTTTCCTTGTGGAGATCAGATACAAAGTCCTGGTACATCATCTAATGGAAACAATTACTGACAGGGCCAAGTCTTCAAGGCCCATTTTGCTTGAATCTCAAATCACTGTTAAAATTCATTTGGCAACTCCAATAAGTACAGAGAGTAATGAGGAACTTCAAATAGAATATTTCCTAATAGCTTTCGTAAAACATGTCTTGGTAGGAGATCACAACTCTTTCTTTACTTGAGATTGGTTTATAAAAATAATAGTACAAGTTCCAACTAACAGCTACTAAGTGCATACTCTGTGCCAGGCTTTGTCATTAGCTTTTCGCATGGATTATCTTAATCCTCTCAACAATCCTGTGAGGTAAAGTCTTATTATTATTCCCAACTTAAAGATGAGCAATTTGAAGACTAAAGACTTGAGTAATTAATGCAGCATCACATGGCTGGTAAGTCATGGGCCAGGATCCCCAGCCAGCAGTCACTGCAGAGCTGCACTGTCCCAGGCAGTGACTGTGACTCACACGTGGCTACTGAGCACTTGAAATGGGGTGAGTCCAAATGAGATGGGCCATAAGTGTAAAACCTACGCCCTGTTCCTAAGCTTTAGTCAATAAAATAGCGTAAAATGTCTCGTTAAGAATGTGTTCATACCAATTACATGTTGAAGTGATAATATTTTGGATGCATTGAGTTACAGGAAATATGTTATTAAAATTAACTTTTTGTTTCTTTTTCACTTCTTTAATGTGGCTACTAGAAAATTTTAAATTTCCTGTACTGCTTGCCTTATATTTCTATTAGAAAGGGCTGCTGTGTGTGTGTGTGTGTGTATGTATGGGTGTGTGTGTGTATGGGTGTGTGTGTATGTATGTGTGTGTGTATGGGTGTGTGTGTATGTATGTGTGTGTGTGTATGTATGGGTGTGTGTGTATATATGTGTGCGTGTGTGTGTATGTATGGGTGTGTGTGTGTGTGTGTGTATATATACGGAGAGAGATTTCTGGAGTTTTTCTTGTCTTAACGAGTTTCCGATCCTAAACTATTGAGGAATAGGCACAAATTTCTGACCCTTCCTCCCCTTTCTGGTTGTTTCACTTCCAGAAATCCGACAGAAAGTACAAATTTTTACATCTGAGTCTCTACCAAGAGCCCATCTGTTGGCTCTTCTCAAGTATGGAAAGATGAAACACTGACATGCCAGGCATTAACGAGATCAAAAGCAGGGCTAATGACAGAAATGTGGCTGCTGTTAAAGTGTCTCCAGAGGATTATCGGGGAGGACTTTTTGTTCTCCTTACGGCGACCCCCTCAAATGTCTTCCAGAGAGTGCCTCTCAGTTCCAGTTCCTGAAGTCCTCCTTTGCCTTCCTTTCCAATCCTTGTCCACCACTTTCCTGGTCCACCTCCCTCTCTCTCCTGGACGCCCATCTCTGGGGTGTCTGTGCAGCTGAGGCGGCCCCTCTGTTAAGCACTTCTGACACGAGGCAGGTCTTTTTTCCCTGCCAGTGAGAGCAGAGTGTATAATGGTGTTGCCCTCCACCGGGGATCTTTGAGAAGCTTTATGGCTCTAGCAGACATGGGGGAACCAATCACAGGCACTGCAGCTGATATATGACACTAATATAGGGTTCACTTTTATTCTCAACCTAAAAAAAGATAGATTGTTCCAAGTTTAGACAGGCTGTAAAATCATGTGCTTCTGGAACCATGCTGCCTTACCCCTGGGACCACTGTAATTGCTTTACATCTGTACAAAGGTTCCTTGTAATCGGGCTTTCTGCCTTCATTTGTCTTCTTTTCAGCCTCTTAGTAAAGACCTTAATTGGTCTTAGTGGGGCTTTTTTCAGTTAGTGCAACTGTACCTTTAGGGCTGAACAAGTACCAGACACTACCTGCGGGGAGAAGTGAGGAGATGGGAAAGACATCAATACTCCTTTACCTTTAACAGTTTAATTAATGTGCTCAGAACAAGGAGCAGTTTGAAGAAATTTTGGCTCCTCTGGGACCCTGCTACAGATCAGACATAACTAGGGTTAGGTGGAATTTTCTAGATTTCTTTCCTGCTTCAGTCTCTGTGAACACTCATTAGCCTCATAATTGTCTCACAGTAAACTGCTGTATCAAGTTTCAGTCTGTCTCTTTGGAGGATCAAGTTGCTTTATATCAATAGACTGAAGTACTAGGGGATGTGTGTGAAGGGAAGTAGCCTCTAATTTCTTCTGTTTCTTAGCTACTAATTATTTAATAATACATTTTATTGCCTATTAAAATGTGGCATAACTTGCTTGTCAGCAAAACTAGATGGAACCTAATCATTTGAGGAGAAGGATAATTGGCACTTGTACAGATGGCTTTTATTGCCAGTTGGGTTTGTTATTGCAGATAGAATTCCTTGCCAGGTTTCTTGGTTCTGTTTGTGGGCTGGTCAGTGTTGTGAGGGGGTTACTTACTGTATTACAACCCAGGCGGTTAAATGTGGTATTATTGCAAATGCAGTGTGTACTCAGTTATAGATCATAAAGGCTTCTGCTGTGTAGGTACTTTTTTTCTTCTCCTCCCCCCACCTCCCCACCCCTGGTTTTAAAGGACCCTAGTGAGTTTTGTACCACACTGAAAATTACCTTATGTGCTGGAAAATGCATCAGTGGAGACTTTGTTTAAACAAAGGGCGTTTTTATGATGGATAGAAGTGGCCAAAACTTCTGGATTTCCATCTAGTAAAAATTTGTGTAGGAAAATTGGACCAGTCCCAGTTCCTTAGTAGAATTTCACGAAGGTTTTCCTGTTGCTTCAAAATGACCCCTTGAGGAATGTTGTATAAATTCCAGAAAATTGCTCCCAATGTTTCCTGGAGCACATTAAAAAATGAAGGAGACACATTGTGTGTGGGATAGTTTGGTAACAGAATTAGTTCACTGGGTAGAACAGAGGGGATCCCAGGTAGTTGGGCTCTAAGTGGGAAGCGTTGGCCAACATTTGTAACTGGAGGCAGATTTGGCAGGCACTTGGGTAAGGAACATTTTGGTGGTAATGAAGTAGGCAGGAACAAACCGCGCAGGGGAAGAATGCTTCACACTGCCAGGCTTTGTGGCCCAGAGCCTAGCATTCTCATCCCCAGGTGCCCAGCTCCTCTGCCTTCCCAAGGTGCTCAAGTTTGCTTTCTACTCAGATATGGCCCAGTTTCACTGGCAACCACCTCCCTTATTTGTTGAAAGTATGGCTTGTGTTCTGACCCAAGAGAGCCATTTAAAACCTATAATGATGTCCATCTTTGTACGTTTTCTGGGTCCCATCTTCCCATCCATTACTACTTTGTCATTGTTCTTATGTCTCATAGTTGAACTCCTGAGGTCTAATTGTGCCAGAACAACATGTCTCCCATCTGTCTGGCAACTCTCTTGGCAACTGCATTCCTCTTCCCTTGAAAGAGGTACACACTCTTGACCCCTCCCTTCCAAAAGCCTCAGTGAAGACCTATGTGTTTTACCTGTAAACGCACGGCCTTTTTAAGTGTGGAAGGGAATGTCTAGACTTGATACTTTAGAAAATCATTATGAAGTAAGCTTGACGTAGGTAGCTTTGTTTCTTAGGGGTTGAACTTGGGAATTACTGTAATTTAATACCTACAATAAATGTGTTAAAATAGGGAAGAAAGCCAATTCTGAGGTTTTGTGTGTTATATGAAGGGTGTGTGTTATGCATCGTCATTAAATTTTCTTAAGCAAAAGCTACTAGCAAGTGGAAGCCAATTTAAAAGGTGTATATTGGAACCAGAACATGTAGCCAGAAACTGGCTTGGGAGGTGCAAATCCTTTAGACCATTGAGAGCATGGAGGTTGGCGAGACCTAGAATGTCTATAACCTTAGTGGTCACAGTCTACAGTCCACTCCGGATGACGTGGGGCTATGGATGAGCAGATGGGTGGGTATGTGTTGGGGACACGATTTTGGACAACGTTACATCTGTTGATTTCTTTCTGTCCTGTAGTTGACTCTTCTGAGTTTATTTGTAAATCACCAGTTATGCCAATAGTATTTTCTTATCAGCCCTCACCCTGGTAACTTTTCTCTTGTTGATCTAGATGGACAGACCCAAATGGAGGGAAAGGATTTTAAACAGTATGCCATTCTTTATTAAATGAAGCACCATTAAAACTACTTCCATCTCTGAGTTTCCTTTTTCCAGGCCCACGCCTAACATTTGCAAGGCAAGCATACACATGGAGGCCCAGCTTACTTCTCTTCACTTCTCTTTCCAGCACCATGAGGAGCTTTGCTCCTCACCTCACTCACTCCATACATCCAAGCTCCACCCATACTTTTTGCCCTCACCAGCCCAGTAAACAGCTGCCTGTTGACCACCCTCAAGCCTATAGGTGTGTGTACCAACAGCATGGCCTGCCCTTGGGAGGATGGCTTCCAGGGTAGGAACCTGCCTATGCAGGCCCTAGAAGCAGCTTAGGCCATCTGGGAAGAGGAGTCCTGTCTCCTTGGTGTGCACCACATGGTCCTAAGGGGGAATGTGTCAGCTAGGTGGGCCCATCCCCACGACTTCATGGATTCTTGCCCCATGTGGAGGGACACAGCTGGAGGGGCCAAGAAGGATCCCCTTATGCATGGTCTCAAGGCAGGGGCTGGATCTAACCTGTATTGCCTCTGCCTTTTCATTTCAGTCTTCATAACCTCACACTTCATGTCCTGCAAAAATAAAATGAAATAAAATGGATCCAGCTCTCCTTCAGAAAAGCTAAATGGATGAGCTAGTTAACTCATCAGTGTCTGCGGACACAAGGTGTGAAGGCTTAGTCTTTAGATTCAATACTGGAAAGTCAGCTGGGGTCTTGTGCAAAAGATGTGATGCATTTTGTGTAAGAAGTCTGTTTTTTCCATTAGCATTTAAAGTATAGCATACTGCTAACCAGACACAAGGAATGCTCTACTATACAGTGAAAGAACTATGCAAGGGAAAATTGCAGCTGAAGGACCAAATTAGGAATGTTTTCAATTTCAAGAGTCCAGAGAAGAAACAAAGCATTATATTGACATAGTTTGAACAAAGTAAAGCACTTCGAACCTTGCTAACATTTTTAAATACACCTTTGTTAAACCTCTTTAAAGAATGACGATAATTGCGTTGTTGTTGTTAGTATTCCTAATGTCCAAAGGGTTGCTGTAATTTACTCTCCCTTCAAATTTGAATATGGTTCATAGGCTTCTGTCTTAGTCCATTTCATGTTGCCATAACAGAATACCTGACACTGGGTAATTTATAAATAAAAGAGGTTATTTAGTACAAGGTTCTGCAGGCTAGGAAGTTCAAGGGGCGTGGCACTGGCATCTGCTTGGCTTCTGGTGAGGGCCACATGCTGGTCAAAACATGGCAGAGAAGGTCAAAGGGGAAGTGGACACGGGTGAAGAAACCCAAGGGGCGCCCTTGCTTTATCTCAGCCGGCTCTTGAGGGATCTAATCCATTCCCTGGAGAGTGAGAACTTACTCACTTCCAAGGAGAGTGTTCATCTATTCTTGAGGGATCTGCTTCCAGGACCCAAAAGCCTCCCACTACACCCCACCTCCCAACACTGCCACACTGGGGATTAAATTTCCACGTGAGTTTTGGTGGAGACAAACCACATCCAAAACACAGCAGCTTCTAAAATTAGGTTAAGAGGACACAAACTCTATCCAGAAGCCAATGTAGTATGTGTTTTCTATTGTGCTGCTACCCAAATTTTAACAATGAGAATTCTGACTTTGATGTGGCAGTGATAGTCCTTAAAGTATTTGAAGGTCTTTGTCAGTTGCCACTTATTTTTGTGTAGCAGAAGCACGGGTTTTTATGATTTTGATCTTCCTTTAAAAAGATGTAGGTTAATTATTCTGTCATCTTTATCTGACAGACAATGGCTAATATTGTTTATTGTGTAAATGAGACGCTTTACTTTCAAAGAATGCTAATATTGGCTTTGAAAGGAAAAAATAAGCAAGTATCTTTTTTTTAAAGAAAAACAGTCTCACTCTGTCACCCAGGCTGGAGTGCAGTGGTGCGATCATAGCTCACTGGAGCCTCAACCTCCTGGGCTCAGGCAATCCTCTCACTTCA
Organism: Homo sapiens; assembly: GCF_000001405.40. Lineage (NCBI taxonomy): Eukaryota > Metazoa > Chordata > Mammalia > Primates > Hominidae > Homo > Homo sapiens. The sequence goes on from NC_000007.14 coordinate 70,360,246, forward strand.
GCCTCCTGAGTAGCTGGGACTAGGTACATCCACCATGCCCAGCTAAGTTTTAAACTTTTTTTCTAGGGATGGGAGCCTCACTTGGGATATAGAAACCCCTAGTGTTGTCCAGGCTGGTCTCAAACTCCTGGCCTCAAGTGATCTGTCGTCTCCCAAAGTGCTGGGACTTGAGGCATGAGCCACTAAGCTCGGCCTAAGCAAGTATCTTTAAATGGGTCCTTGTTAGTCAGCTTTTTTCATTATCTCAAGAGAGGAGAGTATTAGGAGAGCACATTTTCAGACACACTAGAAGACAACAATAATACCTGTGACAGGTGTATGACCCCGGCTCATGGTGGCCTTCTCACTCACCTGACTCAAAGTTGGGCAGCGGGACTAATTTTACATAATCTTAAATCTTATAAATGACTTTCTGCTCTCTTTTCCTTACACCACTGATTTCTCTTCCCTGGCACCCTTGCTAGTGAGATAAAACAGGGAACAGAGCCAGGACCAGTGAGCTGCCATGTGGAGTGCTGCATCTCCCTGAAGGCTGACCGTGAGCTGTGTTCATGAAGGACTCATTGTCACATTCTACCCAGAGGCCTCTAAGCTGCTCTTTTCTGGAGTTTAAGCCTCATTCTTAGGACATGCCGTGAATTTGCTCTCCAAAATGATTCCACACACAAAAGTCCTCTCTCTATAAGCCCTACCAGCATTAGCCAGAGTCCTCCTGGTATTCTTTCTCATCTCCACCTGGGTTAAAAAGTGAGTGTGTAGCAGATTTGTTTAAAAGGGTCCTCAGCTACACCCAGCCTCCCATATAAAAATCGATTCTTGGCCAGGCGCGGTGGCTCACGCGTGTAATCCCAGCACTTTGGGAGGCCGAGGTGGGCGGATCATGAGGTCAGGAGATCAAAACCACAGTGAAACCCTGTCTCTACTAAAAATACAAAAAATTAGCTGGGCGTGGTGGCGGACGCCCGTAGTCCCAGCTACTCGGGAGGCTGAGGCAGGAGAATGGCGTGAACACGGGAGGCGGAGCTTGCAGTGAGCCGAGATCGCGCCACTGCACTCCAGCCTGGGTAACAGAGCGAGACTCCGTCTGAAAAAAAAAAAATCGATTCTTGGAAAATCAAGTCAGATAATGACGATAGAGCAAAGTATTTTGCTCGTGTCTTTTGTTTGGCTCAGTGTTCATTTGTCATTACGCCTCAGCCTCCTTTTCTTTAAGCACTTGTTGTGATCTCCGGGCATGTGCTTATGTTCGTGACTGTTTTCCAGAGCATTGCTGGGCTGCTTAACTTTTGATGCTCCCGTCTAAATAATGACTAGGTTCCTAAGATGCCTTTACGCTTCCTAGAAGAATCTGCCACCATTTGAATTCTCTAGCAGCACCCCAAAAGTGCTAAATTATACAGTCCAAGGAGGACAGTCATCCACCAAAGAAACAAGGGTAGGATGAACAGAAAGGGAGAAAGATGTTGAATTGAGCCAATTCAGGGAGTAAGTAATACATGCTCTCTGGTTGAACTGATTTTTCATATGGCTAGGTGGCTGGGTTCTGCCTGTGACTTGTTCAACTCTGCAAGCTACTAAATAGAATAAAACTTGCTGAAATCAGAGAACTTCAAGAAGATAAGTTTTATGTATATGTATATGTATATAGGCATATATTCATATACATACCCATGCTCTCACACACTCATACACAAACTTAAAGGATTCTAGTTTAGGGTAGACTTAACCCTTTGACAGTTCAAAGAGAGAAGTTAGAGTCTACAAAGTGATTATTATGTAAACCCAACAGGGCCTTTCCTGGAAATACCACAAAAATTTCTTAGAATTGAAAAGATGACAAATGCTGATTTATGCAGAACTCGGGACTTCATTGATAGAGCACTGTCACTTACTACTTCCATCAGCAGGAATGGTTCCTTTTAACATCAGATTGGGTGTTTACATGGATGACAATTAGGGCTGGTGAAATAGTTCAAATAAAAGAAGAACCAGACCGGCATGGGGAGTGAACCTAGTTAGTTCCCAAGTATTAAATACCTGTCTTCCCTCCCTTGTCTCTCTCCTCTTCCCTTCCTTTCTCCACTTTGTTTCTCACTTCACTCCCTTTCCAGACTGTTCTTCCCTGTCAGGGAAGGCTGAACAGAGATTGAACCACACAATACATTGAGATTCTGCAGCAGAGAAGACATTCAAATCCTGAAATACTGTAGTGGGATCTGGTTTTCAAATGTTTCTTCCCCGGGAAAGTGAAACATTCCTTGCAGTCTTATAAAATAAGTATGTTCGTTGATATTTCAAGCAGGAGAAATTCATTTTAAGAAGTTGGAGTATTTATATGTGACAGGATAGTAGTTCCTCTTTCTCTCCCCCGTCCCTCCCTCCCTCTCTCCTTCCTCCCGTCCTCTCTTCCTTCCTCCCTCCCTTTCTCTCTCCTCTTTGATTTTATTTTTTAATCAGAAAGTTCTTTTTAAAGGAAGAGAAATATCAACATTGTACATTCTAACATTCCAAATGCTTCATATAGTTCCTTGTTTTATTGCTTTAAACATTTTTTCAACAGATACTTAAGGACATTTTTCAGGAGTTGTGCAAGGCATGAACACCTGGAGATACGTAAGCTACAGTGGTGAACATGGAGGTGTCCACAGTAAGCGGGAGAGAGGCAGGTACTCTGCAGTAAGAGACGGGTGTTAAAGAAAGATAAATTATCTCAATAACTCTGGAATGACATCAACCCCACTTAGAATTAAAGGAACAGAAGTCTTTGTGATAAATATTCTCTCAGTCTTTCCCTCTCTGTGTGTGTATAATATTTTTGTTAATACACAGATGGTAATCTAATGAGATGCATTTATTCCTCCTGATATTTGTAAGTACAGTGTATCTTTTCATTGTATTAACTGTTGTTCTACATCTGTTTGGATCCATTCTGTGGATTCAAAATCATGTAGATCACCAGTCTCTAATGGTTGGACATTTAGGATTTATCTGGTTTCTCATCTGAGTGTTTATTAGATGACTATTGGATTTCCTTAGACATATTCTTGGAAATAGAATTGCTATATCAAAAATTATGGAAAATCTGAAGCTATTGATATACCTAATGCTAGATGACACATTGGTGGGTGCAGCGCACCAGCATGGCACATGTATACATATGTAACTAACCTGCACAATGTGCACATGTACCCTAAAACTTAGAGTATAATATAAAAAAAAGAAAAAAAAAAAAAAAAAAATCTGAAGCTATTGATAGTCTTATTTTTAATTGCTCTAAAATAAGTATTAATTTCTTAGAAAGAATTATTTATTTAAATTAAGATATTTATGCAGATGAAATACCCAAATATTCTGGTTTGCTGTTTATTTTTATCCCATAACTCAACGGGTATTTATATAATTAATTATACTTTTCAAGTTTTTCACCCCTATGTTCTACATATATTGCTACCCATGTACTCCATACTCTATTCTTTTATGCTTCTTTGAATTCTGTAATTTAAAAAATCAAAGCAAACTAAAAACAAAACAATTCAGCTCAAATAACATTTTTTCCTAAAAACCTAAGTCTCCCAGCTTCTTTGAACTCCTCCTTCTATGGACTCTTACAGTCCTCCTCTAGCCTATTTATCTCATTTGTTAATTAGCTAGCTAGCTTTTATGCTATGTTTTATTATTAGAATCCTGTTTCTTTTAGTAGATTGCAAACTACTCAGAGCCAGAGACCATGCCTTGTGTTATTTGTGTACACAGCTAGCAGAGCACCTTACACATCATAGGAATGGGATCTATTTTAGTGATTAATCTGTTCTGTTTTTATTTCAGCAGGGTTTGTGGAAGGGCATGGCCAAGTTGATGGTGATCATATGCCTTCAAATATCATGTTGACAATTATCACGTTGATATGGAAGGAAGGGAGACTGGCTTACTAAAAAAGCATTCTAGTTGTCTAGATTGGAAAAAAATGCATTTAGTCTTTCAACTGTCTAGCACCTAGTAGGCAGTCAGTAAATAGAAGCTTAAAAAAAAAAAATTAGGCCGGGCGCAGTGGCTCACGCCTGTAATCCCAGCACTTTGGGAGGCCAAGATGGGCAGATCACGAGGTCAGGAGATAAGAGAACATCCTGGCCAACATGGTGAAACCCAGTCTCTACTAAAAATACAAAAAAAATTAGCTGGGCATGGTGGCACGTGCCTGTAGTCCCAGCTACTTGGGAAGCTGAGGCAGGAGAATTGCTTGAACCTGGGAGGCAGAGGTTGCGGTGAGCCAGGATCACGCCACTGCACTCCAGCCTGGTGACAAAGCAAGACTCTGTCTCAAAAATAAATAAATAAATAAATAAATAAATAAATAAATAAATAAATAAATAAAAATTAAAAAGGGCTCAAAAGTCCTTTTAAATAAGTATTTCAATTTAAATAAATTTATTAACTTCTTTTTACTCCATTTCCTTGTCTAGGAAAGGTGGATCAGACTCATTCATTATAAAGAACTCTTTCTGATTGAAAACATTTAGTTAACTCTCTCTGGTCATGGGCATTCACATATTGGAGACAGAAGCAGAACCAGTTGTGTAAACACTGACCAATGTGTTCAATGTAGTTTTAAGGAAATAAAATATTTTTTATTTATGGATAAGTCTTGATACTAAAATGCTAAAAACTTTTCAGTTAGCTGGCTGGCACATATCTCTCAGCAGTAATACTGCTGTAGGTAAAGTTGGCGTGCTACTTCCTTTTTCATCAGGTACAGTAGCTCAGTTTAGACATCATATGTAAATGGAGAAAGGTACTGGGAAAGCCTATTAACAAAAAGGATTAGTAGGAATTTTAAAAATTAACTGTGAAAAAAATTCTTTCTGCTCTAAGACATCATCTCTGCAGAAAAGATATTTGGTAAAGGAATAATTGGTTCAGATTTTCTCCCCTAGTATCTTTACTATCTGCCCTGAATTTCCCTCTTTACTCTTCAGAAGAGAGGGTCAGTTCCATCACCAACCCGGATACAAAGATTCTCATTTCCCGTTAGGTCATAGCATTTAGAATAATGTTTATTTTGGTATTTTTAAATATTTTGTGGTTTTATGAGGAACCAATACATGTGGTCAAGCATTCCCTTATTAAGGGAAATAAAGCTCAAGCTCAGAACAGATGGAGAAACTTGTCCATACATTTGCATGTGACGTGTGGTGTAGACCAGAAGTTTAAAGAATATTATATTCCAATGACACATATAAAGCACCTGCAATTGACAGAGAACGTAAATGGTATTTTTTAAAGGCTAGAAGTTCATAGACTCCTTCCATTCATGTCTGACATCAGCAAGCTCTTAATAATGCAGTGTGTACTTATCTATTGATCAGACCATTTAAGTAGTAAGACATGAGAAAGTAGACACTATTGTCTGGTAATTGACCATATTGGAGAGTTAAGTGTTCTGACAAGGAACTAAGTGTATTTAACCTTCAGATAAGATCAATTTTAAGATAATGCCTACTTTAGTAATGAACCAAAGCTGTTAAGAAAACTTTGTTCTTCTAAAGCAGTGCTGTTTTGATGACAACTATCATAGTTTTAATGACCAGATTTGTTCCTGACCAGATTGGTCTTCCAGGGCAACCTGGAAAGGAGTTACTAACATTCATCCTTTACTTACCATAAAAGCTCAAATGGAAAGAGACGGTGGGAAGCAGCACTGCCCAAAGAGCCACTGATTGGTTTAGGAGACATCTTTTGGGTACCTACCATAAGCCAGTCATCATGCTATATTGTAGGGCTTCCAAGTTTAGTAACATATCTGACTTCAAGAAACTTATGTTTCAGTAAAATGGTTTTCCAGTTGTATTTTATATGTTAAATCTCTAAAACCAAAGCTTATGTTAGTCCTTCATTTATTAAAGAGAGAGAGAGAGGAAGTTCTCCTATATTTGCCTCTGAGTCTTTTCCCTGTGACCTAATTGAACACCACTTGAAACCTCCTTCTCTTAGAGACAGATCCATAAGCAAATAACACATTATAAGTTATATAATACAAACATGAACAAAATTGACAAGAGAACACAAAGAAGGACGTAGCTAAAGCGGCTCTGCATTTAGGAAAGGCTTCCTAGAGGAAGCAATGTTGAACTCTTGTCTCGTTGGATGAGTAAAGCTCCCCAGAGAGAGAGAAAGTGGAGGCAGTGTGAGCAAAGCAGGTGAAGGCTGTGGTATGTTTGTGGAAGTAGGTAGCCCTACTTATATGTCTGGAATAGAGGCTTTTGAAAAGAAATAGTGAGAGATAAAACAGGAAAGTAGATTAGGCCCCAAATCCTCCAGAGGTTTTTAAGCAGAAGACTAAAAATCAGATTTGGATATCAGTGAGGTGATGCTGATAAACTCGGGGAAATCACAGGAGCTTTTTAAGAAGAGAGTTGATATTCACCTAGGGCAGCAGTAGTGACATTTGAGAAGAAGGAATGTTCCAAAGGTATTTTAGAGGTGATAGTGGATAGATTAAGTGACTGACCAAATGTGGAGAACGGAGAAACAAAAGAGGAGAGGAGGTAAGGGTAATTCTGAGACACCTAACCCCAAAGACTGCATGGGAGAGTATGTCCAATACAGGGGGAGGATTGAGTTGAAGATGAGAATAAGGAAGAATCAGTTCATTTTGGAGATGTTGAGTTTGAGGTACCTGTGGAACATCCAAGTGGAGAACTTTGGCTAACAAAGTTTGGGTCCTGAAGATAAAGGTTAGGATTAGAAATACTGATTTATGGGCTGGGCATGGTGGCTCACAGCTGTAATTCCAGCACTCTGGGTGGCTGAGATGGGCAGATCACTTAAGGCCAGGAGTTTTAGACCAGCCTCACCAACATTTGCGAAACCCCGTCTCTACTAAAAGTATAAAAATTAGCCGGGTGTGGTCTACTCAGGGGCTGAGGCACGAGAATCACTTGCACCAGGTGGCGCAGGTTGCAGTGAGCCAAGATGGTGCCACTGCTCTCCAGCCTGGGTAACAGAGCGAGAGTCTGTCTCAAAAAACAAAAAGGCCAGGCACGGTGGCTCATGCCTGTGATCCCAGCACTTTGGAAGGCCAAGGTGAGTGGATCACGAGGTCAGGAGATCGAGACCATCCTAGTTAACACGGTGAAACCCCATCTCTACTAAAAATACAAAAAATTAGCCCGGCATGGTGATGGGCGCTTGTAGTCCCAACTACTTGGGAGGCTAAGGCAGGAGAATGGCGTGAACCCATGAGGCGGAGCTTGCAGTGAGCTGAGAACGTGCCACAGCACTCCAGCCTGGGAGACAGAGCGAGACTCTGTCTCAAAAAAAAAAAAAATTGTAAAAAATAATAATAATAATAATACTGATTTATGAAATCACTGATGAAGAACGTAGTTTTGGGAATGTTCACTAATGATGGCTAGAAGAGGAATATTCATCAAAGGAAGCAGTCAGAGGTATTATTTGATATCTAGGAAGCAGTAGTTTTGCAAAAGAAGAGAGTTCTCAGAAAGTGCAAATAGCAATATCTGATACCATTGGGAGAACAGAAAGATATGAATCTTCTGAAGACCACTGGCTTTGCTAGCTATTATAGAAGGCCACTGACCTTTAGCAACAACTTTTTCAGGAGAATGATGAGAGTAGAGACTGGGTTAGAATCATTCGAAAAGAATGAAATAAAGAAATGGAGACAATGAATGTGTGTATTCAGTGTTTAGGGTGATGAGAAATGGAGAACTCTGGCTGAAAAGAGAAGCAAAGTGGAGTGGGTGTGTGTATGAGAGTGAGTTGAATATGTATATAGGCTAGGGATACCTGTATGTCTCTGGGATAGTAAGGGGTTTGGAATCACACTCGTGGAAGATCAAACCTCTGGCCTACTATTTAATAGATATGGACCTTGATCAAGTTCTTCTGTGAGCCTCAAGTTCCTTATGTATAAAATGAGATTAGTACTACCTACCTCTTGGAGTTCTTTAAGGATTTAATGAAATTATGACATAGAAAACACCTAGAACTCAGAAGGCACTCAGTAAGTATTAGTAGGATTTTTTGTTTGTTCATTCTTGTGAGGAAGGGAGATATTAAAGGTGCAAGAGAGGGAAAGGATGATGCCTATGATGTCAGAGAAAAGAGATGAGTAGACATGGGATTTGAGTAGAGGTAGAGGAGTAGTTTCAAAGTGAGATTGGACCTATTTTCCTGGGTAATAGAAGGGAAGGACAGTGATAAAATGAGGCATTGGGCAGGATAATTTAGGTTATGTTGCAGTAACAAGTAGCCCTAACTCTAAGTCTGTTAATGCAACAGAGGTTCTCTATTCATACTGTATGGCCAACATTAATTAGGAAGGGTTTCTGTTTTATCTCTGCCCCTCAGAGACCCAGCCTGATGGGAGCTCCATCTCGGTATTTGCCTCTGCAGTCATCATAGAGCAGTCACATGGCTACCTCTGACCTCAGGAGGCCAAGAAAGTGCCTGGAATTGGGGAAGCACAGGAAATATTTGGTGATCAGTGCTCAAGACCAGAACAATGAGTAGAGCTATAGGTATAAGTAAATAGGGAAGGGATGGCAGTGGCTTCTCTTTTTCCCAATGAAGGAGGCAGCAAAAATATGATCCACCAAGAGCAGCGTGAGGGGTCTTACAAGAGTGGTAAATGTTTGGAACAGCTGTTTGTTAAAATAATTAAACGGGAACATAGCAGCAAAGGAAAAGGAAGTTGTTCTGGTTAAATATTTATCATTAGGGCTCCATGCAGAATGAAATGGTAATATAGCTGTGATTCAGTTTCTTAGTTCAGCTTAAAATTAGAAGCTGCCCATCAATAATTTTCCCAAGAGAGCGATTTCTACTGTAACAGCACATAGCCTAGAGAAAAGGAAACGCACAAAGAACAGGCTTTCTTGGAATGGGAAGAGAAACCATTGCAGGGAGAGAATATGAGAGAGAAATTGATTGTACATCTATCCCTGGAAATAAAAGTGAGTTCCCTTTTATCAGTCATTCTGTAAATACATCTGCTGCTGGCCTAGCACTTTGGCACTAGGTGTAATCGAGAGAAGTTTAGGACTTTATTCATGTTCTCAGAGAATGTGTTGTTTGGTCAGTGGGGCAAAAAAGCTCATGCCATGAGTTTGAGGGTTGTTTCATATATGTCTTTTATTGCCCTAATTGCTATAATTTTTGGGGAAGAGTTTCATGGAACAGATGAGATTAAACCGAGGCCTTGAAGAATAGATTAACCTTGGAGGGTGTCAAAGGAAGGAAAGGAGGGCACCAGAGTGATGGTATCATTCAAGGGCCAATGGTGGGAGTGAAAATGGTTTCTAGGGGAGGCAAGAAGGAGAGTGGCCAGAAAGAAGAGGAGATGATTAGATCAAGAAATTATGGGACATCAGGTTGAACTGACAGGTTGCAACCTTATTATAAGGAGTTGGTACAATATGGAAGGAAAGCAGGAATTAGTTGTTGCATGAGAGAATGGCATTGTGACAAGGTACACTTGGTCAGTTGGGAAGAACATAATGAGAAGGATTAGTTAAAAGACTTCATAATAATCCAGGTATCTTCTCCTCATCTACTCCCCATACGACTTGAATGACTTCCTGTTACCTTCAGAATAAAGTCCCAGTCTTTAGTCCTGCTTGCCCATCCCCATTTTGAAGAGACTACCAGATATGCAAAGGGTACTAGAATGAGGAAGACTCGGATATGTTGGAACCAGGAGCCAGACCATGGATGTACAATTAGATTCCAACAATGCTATCAACAGGCAACATTTAGGAGTGCAGCCTAGCACCTTGCAAGGGCTGTGACCAAGTCAGACATAACCCTGCCCTAGTAGGATGTTGGAGGTTAGGTGGGCTTTCCAACACAGGCATCAAAGGAGAAACCTCTTTATTATTTTTTTAAACAGCTTTATTGAGTTATAGTTCACATACCACACAACTCACCCACTTAAGGTATACACTTCCATGTTTTTTAATAAATGCACAGAGTTGTGCATTCATCACCATAATCAATTTTAGAATCAATTTCATGACCCAAAAAAGAAACCCTGCACTCCCTATCCATACCTCCTTCCTTGCCCATTCCACTGCCCCAGCTCTCAGCCCTAGGTAACCAACCCTCTATTTTTCATCTCTATAGATTTGCCTATTCTGGGCATTTCATACAAATGGAATCATACAATATATGGTCCTTGTGGCTGATTTCTTTCACTTATTTTTCACTGGTTTTAAAGGTTTATCCATGTTGTAGTATATGTCAGTACTTCATCTCTTTACATTGCCTCATAATATTACATTACATTGATACACCACATTTTGTTTATCCATTCATTAATTGATAGACATTGGGATTGTTGCTACTTTTTGGCTGTGATGAAAAATGCTGTTACAAACATTCATGTGTAAGTTTTTTGTGGATATGTTTTCATTTCTCTTAGACATATACACATCTTATAGTGGAACTGCAGAGTCACTATCATTTAACCATTTGAGTAATTGCCAGACCATTTGCTACAGTGCCCGCATTTTACATTTCCATCAGCAGTGTATGAGTGTTCTAGTTTCTCCATATCCTTGCTAACACTTGTTGTCTTTTTTTTTTTATTATAGCCATTATTCTAGTGGGTGTGAAGTTGTATCTCATTGTGGTTTTAGTCTGCATTTCCATGATCAGAAGTTGTATTTTCAAAACTAAGGCATAAGTGAAAGCATGTTTGAGGGCTTTGACAGAAGACTGAGAAATAAATATTAAGAGATTGATATGGATAGGAGGATTTCAAGCAGTTAAAGGCTAAGAAGGAATTGGACGCAGCCTTTTATAGTATGCCCAGTCCGTGGTGTTGCCATGTTCCATGGAAATGAATAACCAGAGGTTGCTATTCTCATTCTAACCATTCTCAGTCCTTGGCAACACGAAGTTAGGTTCACCTGAAAAATAATTTTAAATATACCAGCGTTCAGGCCCTATCCTTGGCCAACTGAATAAGAATGTTTGGGGATATAGCCCAGGTATCTGTAGTTTTTAAAATCTCCTCACATGATTCTGATGCACAGTGAGGGTTGAAAGACACCATTGTAAATAATTCAGCAGGATTAAATAATAGAATGAATGTATTGATTGCATGCACTGATCAGATAACCATCTGCCTTTATTTTGACCTGTAAGCTTTTCTGAGACACCTGCTAACTGAATTTGATCAAACAGATGTAAGACATAATTGCAGTGTGCAGTCTTCTCCAACTAATGATAGAGGAAAACCTAGCGTGTGGTTCATAAAATCAATTAACTATTTCTCCCCAATTAAACCCCGAATTTAAAAGTTTTGTCACAGAGTTGAGTTCCTTCATTTTTTTCCCATTTATATTGGCTACACATGAGGCATTTGTTTATTTCAATGATTTCAATCTCTTTGAGTTCAACATACAGTGATGCTTTTCAAGGTAATGAATTAGTTCATTGATTAGTTTATCTATTATAAGACAGTAAATTGATGTAATGAGTCACTGATAGATATCCTAGTGGTTGGCTCATAGATACAAGCATTTTTTATGGTTGTGTTGATTTGAACACGTGCCATTTCTATGCAAACCTTGACCTTTGTAATTGACCTGATGTGTACAGATGACAGCAAATAGATCAATCAGGGTGATGTCTCATTACCATATGGCCAGTGATTTCTCTAGGACTAAAGTATGTTTTTTCTCTTTAGGGATTGAGGGCCATTTTTGTCTTCTGTTAAAATTCTAGGTCTAGTCACAAAACTGGAAAGGATGGGAACTAAAGTGCAATACTCTTCTGCTAGTTTGGCACCAAGTTTCCAATGCTGAAAAGAATGATTTTCCATTGTCCAGACTCTTCTTTAGAGGGGTCCTATGTCCCCAACTTAAAATTTGAGCTACACAGTTTCAGAAAATGAAAACTGATATTCCAGAAAGAAGAGGTAGATAATGCAGAAATGTCAGTAATTCAACATGTTCTGATGCCAACCTGGCCAGAGATGGCTTTGGTTTCATTGTAGATTGAGATTTCTTATAGAAGGTTTAAAATGCAGGGAAGGTCAAGTTGAGTTTTGTAGAGGAAGATATCCTAGTACTTTTTTAGGGAACCCGTATTTTTGTCTTAATGGAACTGCTAAAAAGATGTGCAGTAATCCAGGCCTTCTCTTCCTCTCAAAAACAAACTAGGCACTGGTTGTATTTAGTCTCACATTCGTTTAATCTAGAGTAAATGGAAGCCTGGCATATAGATCATTGATGTAAAGAGTATCATGGAAGAAATTGAAATGGAAACAAACAGTAGGGGGAAGACCTGTCTGGTAGCACATCCTCTCCATCTGGCTAGCCGTCAGATTTCCTGGCCATTTCTCATTGTACACTTCATCTTTGCTTGCTTCTTACTTCCTTTCTTTCTTTTTTTTTTTTTTAAAATACAAGTATTTTAAACTGCAACCTGGAAAGAAAACGAGAGGTATATAACACATCCTTAAAAACAAAGAGGAAAAAAAAATCAACCCTGTTAATAACTTCCACTTTGAGAGTTTGGGCTGGTTGCAAGGCCCAGGGGACTAATCTGCTGAATGTGGGAGGATATGGAGCCATTTGTCCTAGGAGAAGCACTACATTAAAAAGAAGAGGAAGAAGTCATGGGGGAAGGGCGAGGGTCTGCTGATGAAAGTAGCTGTCAAATTAGCAGGTCTGGAAGTTGTAGTGCATATTGTTATGAGCTGCTCAAGTTCACACCAGAGCAACCAGCTCCATCCATCTTTCTCAGTTTACATTTTAATTGGCTTGTAGTTAAGTTTTTTAAACACTGCGAGATTGCTGACATACACTGCAATATCACGTGAATAATTTATGGAGGTTGCTCAAGACAAGCTTTTTTTTTTTTTTATGTGAGAAACCAGGGGGGAGTGGGGGAAGAAGGATGAGAGGGTCTGTGGGAGGGGCCAGGACAGAAGAGCAGACACAACTGCATGTGCTGTGCTGGATGTTAAATGTTTCTGCTGGTGTAGGCAGCAGCATTTGGGATTTCAGGGAGGTTTGTACAATACGATCTTATTAATAACAATTCTGTCAAGAGAGCACCCGATTAAATTGAATTGGGTTTATGACTCCCTCTTGGTTTCTGAAAATGTGTGGATATAAAACCTCTGCGATGTGAATATTGGATAACAAGGGTAGGTTTCTTTATTTATTTATTTTTTTGGTTGGTTTTAATCATTCCTCCTACTACTGAGAATTTGCTTGTTTATAAATGCAGGGGTAGGCATTTTTCCCAAACTATCTTTCTGTTTTCTGCTCTCAAAATAATCTAGAGAAGATGGAACTGGCATCAGTGGGCAGTTATCCTAAGAACGTGACTGCTTCTAGGCATGGTTTGCTGGACAACTCTGAGTCTAGAATATCATCTAATTAACACCTGTGGGACAATCCTCTTCATCTGCTAAAATATACTTTTTTTCTCATTACAAAATGAGTAAATTATATAAAATGTCTAGAGTACAAAGAGGAGAATAAAAATAACCTGTAAGTCCTCCCCCTGCTAATAAAATTGGTATGGTTTTTGTTTATATCCTTCTAGTCTTTTTTCTGTTCATATTTAGTGAACATAATTTAGTGAATCGTATATACTGTTTAGAAGTCATCTTTTTTTTTTCACTAAACATTACATCACAAGCATATTCCCATGAATGGTCTATACGGAATGTCATTTCTAATGATTGTAGTGTGTATGTGTGAATTAACTATACTTTATATAACCTATCTCCTGCAACTAAAATGCAGTGTTAGTTTATAATTTTTATCCATTTTAGACAGGCAAGTTATAAATATATTTTTTGGTCAAATTTCAGTATACATTCTTGATCATTTCTTTAGGAAAGCTCTGAGAAGTAGAATTTCTACAAGAAGCAGAGTGAGTCTGAGGGAAAAAATCATTAATGTCTCAAGAATTTTGTCTCGAAAAGAGGGATAAAGCACATTTTAAATTAATGAAATTAACAGTTTATTCTATTTAAAAAGAAAAATGATGATAACATTCAACATGAGGTTCTTTTAAATTATTGAATTTTTTGCCTTGTGGGGTTTCTTAACCACAAAACCTATCTATTAGGATTAATGGAGGCTATTTTTTCTTTACCAATTGCTATATAACTACTTAAGACTTCATGTAATCAGCTGAGATGCTACAAATGTATTGCCTGTCAACTCCAGTAAAAAAGCGGGCAGTTAATTAAAGGGATGTCTTGCTGTTAAACAAACTTGCAGTCAATTGCTTGTAAGTAACATTTAGTTTGATATGTAGTCAAAGGGCAGGAAAATAAGTGTTTAGGCAGGACTGGCTTTTTGCAACGTAAAAAGAGAAGTGATTATATTGGGGTCAAGATGAGTAACCTTTCAACTGGCATATTTTCCTTCTAAAAAGTATATTCACATATCAGAAGAAAGGTGAAAGACATATAAGGCCTTAAGGTTGGTCAGTTTGAGATCTTTTCCACTTACAGTAACTAAGTCCTCATCTTCTTGCATCCCTTGAAGACACTGTTTTACCCTAATATAAAGCCTGGCTTTGAGGTCAGTGTGTGTGTGTTTGGACATGTGCGTGCACACAGACCGTAAGTAGATGAGGCAAGAACTCCCTAAACCAAGTGCCATACTCTGCAGATGGGAAACTGCCATCCATAGACCCAGTAGAAAGGCTGCAGTAGCACAGCAGCACTTGGGACAGCTGCTCCAACTCAGGCCCATTACCTGCTCCTCCTAGGAGTGCCCCGATGCTCCCTGCACCTTTGTTCAGCTCTTCCTTGATAATCCAGGATAGGATCGCACAGTTTCTGGTTGGTGAGCTTGTAGTCAGAAGCCCTTTTCAAGCTTAACACTTTCAGAGGGAGGGTTTATCCAAAAGACACCATACTGATTCAATATGTTAAATGTTGAAATGCTTGTGAAACAACGCATATATGATAGAGATTTTTTTCTATCTCAAAATCACTTGGATATGAGAGACCAGAGCTATTAGAAGCCCCATTGACTTTGCTTTGAGATTCCATTGGAGGTCATTGAACTTTGGAGCCTCACTCTGAAGCCAAGAAATTTCAACTTTGCCAGTAACCACATTAAAATGTGTGTACCTGGCAATGGTGAACCAGCCTCATTTACTGGTTTCCATTCTTTGTATTGGCTATTCATTATTTCATCAACAAGAATTTATTTTTTTACTGCCAATTTTACGTCCAACTAGGTAGTATGGAATGCAAGAGAAGGTGTAAGTTATGGCCATTCCCCTCATGGGCCTTTTAATAAAGCAAAGTAAATATGTAATCCACTTACAGTCAGTCAAGAGCAATATTTTTATTTGTAATGATTCCACATTTTAGCTTAAGAAAGTATTTATTATTCTGGGAAGAAAAACATTGGCTGAATTAATGGCAGATTCTGAATGGGCTTTGAGCAACATTTGGAATACAAGTGTGTAAGGTGGGGTTGGTGAGATTTGCTTTATTTCCTGAACTGCTATGAATTAGCAAATTCTAAACCAGCTGTTTTCCAATTACATACAATAACTTGTGCCTACCTAAGTCTGTCTTTCTGCCAAGCTTCTACTTGCAACTCATTTTAAAACTTATTCCTAAATACCCCCAAACCAGTGGAATAATAGTAGGCATCACCTTAAATCATAATATTTTCACAAGAACATGTTCAATCTTGAAATAATGGCCAGGTTTTAGAAAGTGGGAGGTGAGAACGGAGGAGTAGTTTGTTTTTTGTCGTTAAAAAAAAAAAAAAGAAGAAGAAGTGCTTGAATGAGCAAGTTGCTCAGATTTCTCTGCTGCTTTCTTCCCAGATGGCCAAAGGGAGAGAACACTTTCACTGAAGAAAGGGATAAATGAAAAGGACACCTCTGTATCCAGTTATTTATAGGATGATAATTGATGATAGGGTTGGAGTTTTAAAATGTTTCCGTGTGAACATCTTGCAGTTCGCTTTACCTGCCTTTTCTGTGGTATTAAACACATTGCTTAATTCCTATTTTCATTTTGGATTGGCAAATTTCTTTATAAAAGGTCAGATAGCACATATTTTAGCCTTTTTGACCACACAGGTCTCTGACATATATTCTTTGTTTCTCTTTTTTTTTAAACAACACTTTAAAAATGCAAAAACTCATTTTAATTTACAGGTTGTATAAAAATGGACTGTGGGTGAGATGTGGCCGGCACACCGTAGTTGGCCAGCTCATGCCTTAGAGAAACATGGGGGGATATCCTGGGTGGGCATGAGTATCAGTTAGGTCAGCAAGATTTCCCTCTTACTGCTGCTTGCTTTGTTCTCTTCTGGTCACTGGCCGTCTCAGGAGCTAGTCCCTGGAGCCCTGCTCTCCTGTGTGATGTAATGGTGTGAAATGGTGTTTCCAGTGGAAGGCCTGCAGGGGTAAATGCTGTCTCTAATTAACCTGTTCATTTAGTGCTATTATCCTTTATCTCGAATGCAGTTCTGCTCTGGGAGGATAAGGAAAGTGCTTAATTATAGTAACAGTTTCACATTGTCTTTGTTTGCATGATGAAGTACAAAAAGCCCAGGAGATGAAGCTGTCAGTCACTAAGTGTCTTTGGGAGCCTCTTGGTTTTTTGCATTTAATAATCATGCTCTGTTATTGCGTGTTGTTGAATGAAACCTCAGGTCACAGTCTTTGTCAATGATCTGACCCAAGACATCTGGCCTATGTAAGTTATGGCTAATGTCCACGAACTGGATAATATCATTGGCAAATTGTGGCTTCATTGATGCCTGTTTATTTGCTTTTTGCCTCAATTAGAATACTTTGGATTGTTATTTGTCTTTTTACTGTGTTTTCTAACTCCCTAATTGCATGTTAAGTACCTGTAGTCCAGGGAATGTGCCCCATGCTTCTTTGAAGCCTAAAGTCTTTTGGAATACCATCACAATATTTTTATAGGACTTTTTTATTAACCACAATAAAAAATGTCCTATAAAAACATTGCAGAGATCCTCATACTCAAACTCTGAGGAGCCAAAGTCAGCTGAATGGTGTTTGGGTCTCAAACAAACAAATATAAATATATATATATATATATATATATATATATATATATATATATATATATAGTGATATATATATCGCAATAAAAATGTTGTATAAAATATTGTAATGGTTAAAATGGTAAACCATTTATATATATTTAAATAGTTTATATTTAAACTATTTAAAGCCATAAAATGGCTTACCATTTTAACAATTTTTAAATGTATAGTTTAATGGCATTAAATACATTCGCATTGTCGTACAGCCATCACCACTGTTCATCTCCGGAACATTTTTCGTCTTCCCAAACTGAAACTCCATGTTCATTAAACAATAACTCTCCATTCTTCCTTCCCCAACCCTGCCAACCAGCATTCTACGGTCTGCCTCTATGAATTTGACTACTCTAGGTATCTCATAAAAGTAGAAACAAATAGTATTTATCCTTTTGTCTGGCTTATTTCGCTTAGGATAATGTCTTCTTTTTTTTTTTTTTTTGTGACAGAGTCTCACTTGTCGCCCAGGCTGGAGTGCAGTGGCGCAATCTCGGCTCACTGCAAGCTCCGCCTCCCGGGTTCATGCCATTCTCCTGCCTCAGCCTCCCAAGTAGCTGGGACTACAAGCGCCCGCCACCACGGCTGGCTAATTTTTTTTTTTTTTGTATTTTTAGTAGAGACGGGGTTTCACCGTGTTAGCCAATGGTCTTGATCTCCTGACCTTGTGATCCGCCCATCTCAGCCTCCCAAAGTGCTGGTATTACAGGCGTGAGCCACCGCGCCCGGCCAGCATAATGTCTTTAAAGTTCATCCATGTTGGCAGCATGTGTCAGAATTGCCTTCCTTTTTAAGGCTGAATAATATTCCATTGTATGGATATGCCACATTTTATCTATTCACTTATGAATGGACACTTGGTTGCTTTCACATTTTCTCTATTGTGAATAATGCTGCTATGAACATGTCTAAGTCCTGCTTTAATTTCTTTTATGCATACTCAGAAGTGGCTATTGAAATATTTTTGCATCTGCCAATGTAACAACTTTTAAGCTCTGTGGAACTTTAAATATTCTTACGGTTCTTTCCTATGTTATCTGCCTATAGTAAAATAAATTTTATAATAAAGAATTCAGTTATTAGCTATGATGCACAAAAAGATCTATGAGAACAAGCATGTATTCATGCTATGTACCAGGCACTGAGATTAGCTCTTATGTGAATTAATTTACTTAAGGCCCACAGAATATGTTATCTGTGTGCTACAGAAAAGGAAATAAAGGCTTAGAGAGGTTGAGAAACTTGCTTAAGTTCACACAGCTAGTATGTGGCAGACAGGGTTCTACTTCAGAGACCATGTTTGTAGATACCATGAAGCCATTCAGAAAAGTGGATTGCATCTATATTCCTCATTATATTCCCAGCATGGTTAGCAGAAGGCTTATCATTTTCCATTGCATGATGTCACTTTTAAATTTCAAAATCAAACTACATAAAATAACATGTAAAATTACTTGAAAGCTTTAAAAGTGCTATACATATGCAGAGTATTAACAGTAAATCCTAGTGATGGACAGATGTTAAAAGCTATAAGTATATGATTCAGAAACCATCTAAGAATTTTAAACTGTGGTCTAATTATTATGGAAGCTTACTGGAGCCTATCCTTGTGATTTGTTAGAACATTGTTTCATATGCCATTTTATTCGTATCTCTTCCAATTCTTATTAAGACTAGCACTGCTGTTATGAATTTCATGGCTTTTTTTTTAAGTTGCTGGATATAAGCCAGGTTATCATATAATGCCCTTTACTACCTGTAGTCACTTTGGGATAGGTACTGTGCCTTCAACCATCTTTGAAATCCTACAACTCGTAGGCTAGGTTTAGATGCCAAATAGCTAAAGAGCTATCATGTTGAAAAACTATTATTAGGGCGGGCACGGTGGCTCACGTCTGTAATCCCAGCACTTTGGGGGAGCCGAGGCAGGTGGATCACTTGCAGTTAGGAGTTCGAGACCGGCCTGGCCAACATGGTGAAACCCCTTCTCTATTAAAAGACACAAAAATTAGCAGGGCGTGGTGGTGTGCACCTGTGATCCCAGTGACTCAGAAGGCTGAGGTGGGAGAATCACTTGAATCTGGGAAGCAGAGGTTGCAGTGAGCTGAGATTGCACAACTGCACTCCACCCTGGGTGACAGAGCGAGCATCCGTCTCAAAAAAAAAAAAAGAAAGAAAGAAAAACTATCATTAGACTTAATTTGTGTCATTTCAGAGGACAGAATTGAGGCCATTCTGTGTGTGTAGGTTCTGGAAGGACACATTTCAGTGCAGAATAAAAGATGTAGTTGTAGCTTGGTAGACTGGCTGCCTTGAAAATTAGTAAACTGTCAACAGAAATATTCAAATACAGGCTAGAAAATCCTCTCAACAAGGAAGTAAAGGGGATTCCTACACTAAGAGACTGAATTTATTAATCTTCAGACTTGGTCTATTATGACATTTACTTGAAGTGTTCTAAGAACTTCACCTTTACCATTGTCTTATGTGGTATTGTTTTCTTCAGCAAAAGACAGGAGCTAAGAATTTTTGGTTGGCTTATTTGCTGTACCAGAGGCAAATAACTGTGCTGTGTTGGAATGACTTAGAAGTAGAAAATATTTCGATCAGGTGCAAATCATGGTCAGGAAGACAACAAGGTCAACTTTTTAAACCCAGATTCTCCAGGGTGAGGATGCATCATGTACAAAACATGACTGACACTAAGCAAAGAGTCTGAAGTGGTTTGATCAGTATATATTGATTATTTGATTTATTGACTTTGCTGCAGTCTTCTTGGAGCTCTTCAGCATCCAGTACTATAAAACTCACTTTTTCATTGTAACATTTGACTTGAGCAAGGACTTAGGTATTTGGCACAAATGACATTCTCTCCTCTTTTCTGATTAATGTGGCTCTGGGATCAAACAAAGTTAGTGCAAATACTGGAATATTTGCTCAAATAGAGACCAAAAGGGCTTAAAATTCAGTGCAGGTAGAATTGTTTAAGTATCAGAAGGGCAGACTTTGGTAATTTCAGCTGCATATGTTGGTTCTTATTTCATTTTGGTAGAAATTGAGTACTGGAGACTGCCTGGAAGCCAGCCTCCAGCATTGACGTCTGACAGTAACCGCAAAAGCAGTCCCCCTTTCCGCTGGCAGAGCCAGGACCACGTCCGTGGCTGTGATCTCAGGGGAGGGCTCCCAGTCCACAGCCTGGGCTTATGACTGGGAAGCCTGCTTCTTGTAAGGTGGGGAAAACAGAGCCAAACTGACCCCACAGAATTTGAACTTGGAGAAACTGTCGAATCCAAAGGATCCATCAAGGCCAGGGACAACGCCTAGTCTGAACTGGCGACCATGGGCTTTTTCAGAGCCAGGTGTCAGAAATGGGTAAATATCAAATTGTGTCTGATTAAAAACAGGAGGGAGCAGAGCTCCCCTTACTCACTGAGGAGCCAAAGTCAGCTGAATGGTGTTTGGCTCCAAATAATTCAAAAGCCACAGTCTCATGACCCAACCAAAGAAATATTCAAAACTAGCCTGAAATAGAACAGCCTGTTTTCAGAAATATGCTATCAAACACATTTATCTTTGGCTAAAAAACGAATTAAGTAGTTTTCTCTTAAAATGGCCAGATATCCATTAACATAGAAGAGTATAGGATAAATACCTCTTATGGAGATGGTCAGATTCATGATTTCATTTAAGTTAAAAATATTGGCAATGATACCGTATAAATAATATTTGCTCTCATCCAACACTTTTGGTTGAATTAGTCTATTACCTGGGGAAAACACTGAAATAGGATGAAATAATACTAAGAATAACATTAGAATTATATATTTGAAAATTACTGATTATATAGCTATTTCACCAATGAGATATTCACAAGATAAAGAAGAGGGATAATGATAGCCCAAGTGGACTTCCCAATAATGCAATAGTGAAGAAATCAAAATCCAGCCAACATGGACATGTCTTATATCTTGATTGGAAGGTAGATAACACAGTACATACATTTGTCAAAACTCAACCAACTGTACACTTTACAGCTGTGTGTTTTCCTGTGTACAAACTATACTTCAAGGAAAAAGTCAAATCAACTTATTTATGGAGCTACAATTTATGAGAAAGTACAACATTAAGCAAGCCTTGGGAGAAAAATTTCCCAGCATTCAGGAAACTTGCAAATCATTCGTTAGCCCTAGACACAAATGTAAGAAAATTTTAATAATAAAAATTAAGTCAATGATGAGGGATTTGAAGATTCTTAATATTGTGGACCTAAATGGAGCCTCTATGATCATTAACCCTCCAGTTACAAATATGGTAAAACAGACATTAAGAAAATTTTAGAAAATTTTCCAAAGAAAATCAGAGTCAGAATTTGACTAGATGGCAGAACGATAAGCTTAAAGCTCCTTCTCCTTTCTCCTTTGTCACATTGACTTCCTCCTGCTCCTACCTGCTAAATATTCTCAAGGGTCTGTTTTCAGCTCTCTTTACCTTTATTTTTATATTGCACTCCCGTTGATCCTTTAATTTCAAAGTTGTTATTTCTTTATTCAGTCAGTAAACACTTTTTGAGTGTATACCGTATACCAAGCACTGTTTTATAGGTGGGTGATACACAGTTAAACCAGAAAGACTAAAAGTCTTCACTCACAGAGCTTACTTTCTACTAATGTCTGTGTACCTGGAAGCCAGATACTGATTTCTGGAACAAGTATTCTCAGCAGTCCAGACACCATTGCCCTACAACTTCCCTTGCATATCACGACAGTGTCTCAAGCTCAACGTGTCTGTAATCTCCTCTTCTCTCCAAATCATCTCCTCCTATTTCCCCCAGCCTGAAGATCGTCATTGGCTGTCCTTGTTGAATCTCTAGGTCAACCAATTTGAAAAACTCTAAACTCTTCCAAATTGACTTTTTCTTAGATCAGTTCAGAATCTCCATGTTTCCTCACTTCTTTGTAATGTCCAGTAGCTTTCTAACTCATCTCTCTACTACAATCCCCAACTCTGATGTGTCCTACACATCACTGCCTGGCTAATTTTCCTAAAGCACACCTCCTATACCAACTTTTTCCCAAACACACACACACACTCTCTCTTGCTTTTCCTTTGATTTCATCTGCCTTTCAAATTAAATGGAAATTCCTCTATCTGGCAGTAAAGACTATTGAAAGCATGGCGCCACCCTCCCTTTCAAATCTGACTTCTCCACTACAGGTACCTGTACCTACTCCAGCTGAAGTGGATTTTTGGCTGCTCCTTTGGCAGGCCCTAGTTCTCTACCACTCTGCCTTTGCCCATTGTGTTTCTATCTGGACTCATTATGCAGCTTTGCCCCACTCCGTACTCATCATCATCCTCTGTGTACAACTCACTCACTGTCTTTTCTAAGACTCCTTTCTCATTCTGATCAGCATGATTTTTCCTTCATTTGAGTGTAGTCATCACTCACTGCATTGCATTATGGTCATTCTCTTCCTTTTTTATTAAAACAACACGATGGATTTTCATAAAATGACACATCCTTATTGAAAAAAAGTATACAGAAGAGTAATGAAAGTAAAAACCACCTGAAGCTGTATCACCCAGAGATATCTGGTTTTGAACATCCCTCTAGATGTTTCTTTGTGTGTATACACAATTTATGAAGTCTATATATTTTTCCAGAACTGAGATCAAATTCTACCTTTTTTCATGTTGATATATTCTGATGCTCTTTTAATGTTGATCAATAGAAAACTAAGCTATAATTTGCAGTGGCTGCAAGGTATCTCATCATTTGGCTTTACCATAATTTTTTGCTTTTTGTTGTTGATTTTTTTTTTTAGCTTGTGTTCCTCCCAGTAGAAGATGAGAGGAGGAGGTGCTTAGCATGTGTTCTGCCCATGTGCTTAGCACAGTCTTGTAAAATGCAAGTGAGCAGTCTGTCATGGTCCTTGACAGGGACTGTTTGTGACTTATCACTCCATGCGGTTTGGGACCTGGGAAAATGTTTAGAGATCTTGAGAACAGGTTAGAGAGGATTGACCTAAAGTCCCATAGTAAAATTTTAGCCTTTAAAAAAAACAATTATTACTGCTTTGAACAGCCTTATGCCCCCATTGCCTGTAAGAAAGCCATTCATTATTTCTTGTTACATAATCTGCAGAGAGCTTATTCACTTAGAAAGCAGTGCATTCATCATAGCTTCTATCTTATGAGTAGCTAAAAGCAGAATCTGTTCTGCATCTTTGAGGCATTCTTCGCAGCACAGACCTCATGCTATCACTAATTAGCCAGAGCATTCCCAGCCAAAAATCCCAGTGCCTGTCCTTGACAAAAAAGTCTGTTTTTTCCACAGTAAGGGTGAAAAGCCTGCCTCTCTGTCTAGGGACATCTCCATAAGACAAGCAAAAATAGGGTGGTGGTGAGCTCTCAGATCAGCCAGCGCAATGAAACAGACTGCAGCCTCTTAGGAGACTTACTGTTTGCTGCCTCCCTTTCTCTGCAAAGTGGGATCTCCATTAGACGATGCCTTTGTACTCTGACAAAATACCTAACCACCATGAGACAAGCCACTTCTGCATTATTCTGTACATTGTTCCTATCCATTCCCCATTTTTGGCTTCAGAAGTCATCCCCTAGCCAACTTCCAGCCACTTGCATTAATGATGAATGCGATTAGCAGCCTATGCTAGTCCATTAGGGAAAAGAAAGAAAGAAAGAAAGAAAAACCATGAGATTGTTTGCTTGTCACTGGGAAGTGAAGCTTGACGGGAACATCCTCACTGTCCCTCCCCACCGCCCCTCCTGCCATGTGCCTGTGATCTGTGCGCATGTGCTCATGGTTGCCCGTGTTCCATGGCTCTGCCATTTGCTCAGTGGGGGGACGTTTTCTTAGCTGAGCAGTGCACCACTCTGCCTGAGGGATTGAGAACATATTGCTTGGCAGGTGGGCCTACTCAGACGCACTGACTGTTGTTTCAGCACTGACAGGGAACATACATCATGCAGGCCCATTATGCCAGCATAAATCCATGGTAACCTGTTCAAAGGGCTGCAACCAGCAAACAACGTGTTTGGGTCTTAATAGGTGATATTTTTGAAACATATAATTGGGATCTGAGAAGTAATTCTGGATGACAAGCCACTCCTTCTGCCATCCTAACAGAAGCTGGGCCTACAGCAAAATACCACTCCTGTCATGCTGCACAAAGATGACTGCCATTCCAGCTCAGCTCCAGGCTGCTGTGCACGGCGCCAACGGTGCCAAGAGCTTGTCTGTGCAGGGAAAAGAGCCCTCAGGTTTGAGGGCTTTCCTTTGTGCCTTGTTGCTCTGGACTGCTGGCAAAAGGAGCTCCTAGGATTGTTGATAGACAATGTCAGAGCCTCTTTCTTCAGCCTACTATTACAAGTTTGAAAGGGATCTAGAGTTTGTTTGGCGTTGGGTAGTGGACAGATAATCCTCAAAGCAGAGGGTTCTGATCAAAGCTATCTTTCATATCCCCCACTGGCCTCCAGTAGGAGAATGAGATATTAATAAAGTCCTTGAACCGAGTGTGAAGGGGCTTGGTATCACTAGCCTTGCTGGCTGCTTCCCTACACAGAAGCCAGACATGTGGTGCCAGCACCTTGGAGATATAGTGGGTAAAGTCTGGCACAGCCCTGGTCACAAAAAACACTTTTTCCCTGCGTTTCTAGGATGAGGAGGTGAATGATTAGTTTACACGAGTTTCCATCCATTGGAGTCATGATACAGTTTCCTTACAACACACTTGCTCCATGACTCATGTTCTGCATTCCTGTTGTGCAGACTCTCACAAGATGCACCTCACCGCACATAATCATCTGTTGCTTTCTGCTTATCCACTAAACTGTTCTCCCTAAAGACAAGTACCATACTTTATTTGTACATAGCCAAGTGCTAGTTTCATGGGAGACACAGAAGGACTGAAGAAAGGAAGATGTTCATTCATAAAAAGAAAAGCCACAAGGAGGTCATTGTGGAGTTGTTGACTTTTTTATCTTCTTGATTTCTAAGAATCATAACATGGGTATTTCAGTATGACTTGCCAATTAAATTACAACTGGGTGGCAATAATATATTATTTAACTCTCATTCTGCCACACAATTAAACAAGTATCAACACAACCCAATATGCATGCTACACAGCATCTGCACTTTTCTCTTGCTACAACAGAAGTAGTTTCCTTAAAGCAAATTAGAAAATAGTCTCATGAGACCA